>NC_000004.12:18697916-19322916 GCF_000001405.40 Homo sapiens
GAATGGTGAGAGAAGGCTGGAAAGACCTTTCTGCTTCTGTTTTTTTTTTTTTTTAAATGCCAAGGTGGGATATTGTGGGTAGCATACCCTGAACAATTTCAGAAGTGTGCAACTGTATATCACAACTGTGTAGGGCCCCAAAACATTTTCCTCCCCTATCTGAATGAAGATTCTATAATCGAGTCTGCTGAAATGAACTGACAATAGACAAAGCTGGGGTAAAGGCATACAAATGTATTGTGTGCATAAACACGAGAGTCACACAAAATATGAGGTTCAAAGAGGGGACCAGGTGGCAGAAACTTAAGTAGAAAGAAACGGGGGCCTCTGAGAGGGAGGGGAGGTGGTGACACATACCATGGAAGGATAAGGAGAGAAACAATGGTGAGCAAAGGCTGTCTTATTACGCAGATCAAGTTTCTCAGGTAACAGCCCTTAGAAAAGTAGCTGAAAGAAGAAGTGAAAAGTCTGTCCTGGCGTGTTGTCCTGGGCCTGGCGACTTTTAGTTTCCTTTCCTGCAATACAAATTAATCTTCCCTGGTCAATAAGATTTCAGACAGGAGATTGAAGGCAATCGTGTTTCTTTTGGAAGAATTTCCCTCAGTCAGATAAGGAAATTTCAGGGACAGCTCCTCCCTGCACTTGGTAGGAGAAACTAGGGAGGGTCAGAGAGTCCTTGATTCCAAAGCAGCTTTGAAAGCTCTCATTTCCTTTAGTTCTTCGTGCTGAGCGTGCCAAAGCACCAAACGTTGGGGTATCATTTTCTGAGCCCAACACCTGGCCTGCTTACCTCTGGACTGCTGTGTGAGTGAGAAACAAACCTTCCGATTGTGTATGTGCTCTTATACTGGTCTTTATCACCTTGACTGGAAATCTCTTTGCATGGCACCCTGCCCTGGTTTCTGGTAGTGAGGTAGGTAATTATGTCTATCATTTCTTGTGGAATCTGGACAACATCACCACCTCCTCTCACTCCTGAAATGATTTCAAAGCTAAGACAATGTCACTTTACCAGCGATTGGTTTCTCCTCTCCCTTCCTGATTTTTGCATACTACTATAGTATGATCAAGAGGTAGTGCTTTTATTCATTATTCATTGATGAAACACACATTATTTAGAATTTGCTACTATCCAGGCTTCACTAAGTACCAAGTTAATTCAGGATTCCTTAAATAATTTATCATTTAACAGAGGGAGATGGAAGTATTAAAAAGTAAGCACACTAAAGCCAAAGAGAGGCACGTCCAGGTGACAGTGAGAACGTAGAGGAAGGGTGTTGACTCAACATAGCTCATACTGCTCTTATATACTTTTAAAGGAATTCATATCATTTTAATATCCCATTTCTATGATGCTTCCATCACATAAGCTGATTTTTGCCCTCTCTTTGTTGTGAGGAATAGATAAAGGGCAATTGGTTAATAAGTTTGAGATCATCGTTCATAAAGTCCTAAGCACTGGTCATATTGAGAAGTGATCTTAACAAGTTCTACAACTCAACTTAAATGCTTACGTACTAACATGCAGAATTATTTCCTGTCTGAACTCCTACAACAGATGCTTTTCTTGCTACAAAGTTTGCTATAAATTATATGGTAAGATAGGGCACAGACCCCCCCTGCCCATTGCAGTGCAAAGTGCTGGACAAGCAATACGATCAATAATCACTTGTTGAGTTTGGCAGGGAGGGAATGAAGAAGGGAAGGAAAGATGATAGGAAGGAAAGAAGGATATAGGAAGGAAAGAAGGAAGGGAGGGAGGGAGGAAGGAAGGAAGGAAGGGAGGCAGGCAGGCAGGCAGGAAGGAATCATGGCATAGCCTATGTTACTTTCTAGATCACAAGAAACCAAAAACAAATTGATTCTTAGTATGTCTGATGCATTGTTACAATTGTTATTATTGAAGCAAAAATAGAAAAACAGGTAGCTGTATCATCATTCAAGTTACTGTTAGGAGACCTAAGTTAGACTCCTAGCTTAGCGATTTACTAGCTAGGTGGTCCTTGGCATAATAATTAACCTCAGTGAATCTCAAATTCCACATCTGTTGTTTGGGCATCATCCCTGTCATGCAATGTTTTTGTGAAAATGAAATGGAGTGTCTATGGAACTTCTTAGCAAAGATCCAAGTTCATAGTAAATACTCAATAAATGTTAATGGCATATGCATTTTAATAATACACTTTTTATTTGCAATATATTAACTATGTTGAAAAGTACATATTTCAAATAATAAATATCCATTTACCAATCTCTCAAGATTTATTGGATGTTAAAGATATACACAAACTCCTTTGTAGGAGGTAGGCATTCTGCATCATTTTTTAGTCTTTGAAATCATTTTTCCATTACAATTTCCCCATATGTTATCCCAATATATTTTTGCTCTTCAAAAATTCTTTATTGATTCACCAATGTATATAATAAAATAATTTATTTTGAAATTTGAAATGAAAATAATTTGACATTAAAATTATTATTTATTTATTGTGGCCATAAAGGTCTATGTGTTTTGTAGCTTTTCCTGGATTAGATTCTGAAGTCAAAAGTTAATATATAATTGATAAGAGCTTAAACATTAAAATGTTGTTAATAGATATTAAATGCAAAATGTAAATTTTGCTGGAAATCCTTGTATTGTTGAGATAGGCAGGGCTGGATTATCTAGTTATGTAGGAGCTTTTGCAGATATTTCTATTTTGAACTGTACCTTTGTTAAATACACCAGAAGTTTTTCCTCTTTAAAGCAATTCATCATAGTTGTATTAGGGATGAGGGCATCTTCTTCTTTTGAGAAATAAAGGACTAGTGATTGTGAAACAGGATGTGAAGAAGCAGATCCTATTGTCACTTTCTCAGTTTAGGATATATGGCATATATTGAGGACATGAAAATTGCTTCCCTTAAATTATCTATGAATATTTAGCTTTATGATGAGGAACATTGTGAAGAGGAAGCAAAGATAATGCAAATAGGAGTTAAAACATCGCACATTGCCTTTGTGTATTTTTTAAAGCATTTGTGTTCCTTTTTCTAAGCATAAAATACACACATTAGTAGTAAAAATTTCTACCAGTTGAGGGCAAGCATATACATACAAACCCAAGATTCTATGATAAATACTATGAATACTTTGTATATTATACTTTCTGATATTTTTCCTTTTATTATTATACATTAAGTTCTGGGATACATGTGGAGAACGTGCAGGTTTGTTACGTAGGTTTACACATGCCATGGTGGTTTGCTGCACCCATCAAACCAGGTGTGTGATGGTTTGTGATGTTCCCCTCCTTGTGTCCACATGTTCTCATTGTTCAACTCCCACTTATGAGTGAGAACATGCGGTGGTTGGTTTTCTGTTCCTGTGTTTCCTGAGAATGATGGTTTCCAGCTTCATCCATGTCCGTGCAAAGGACATGAACTCATCCTTTTTTATGGCTGCATAGTATTCTATGGTATATATGTACCACATTTTCTTTATCCAATCTATAATTGATGGGCATTTGGATTGGTTCCAAGTCTTTGCTATTGTGAACAGAGCTGCAATAAACATACGTGTTCTTGCATTAACATATGTGTTCTTGCAATAAACATAAGTGTTCTTGCATTCTTTAAAGTAGAATGACTTGGAATCCTTGGGCATATACTCAGTTATGGGATTGCTTGGTCAAATGGTATTTCTGATTCTAGATCCTTGAGGAATTGCCACGCTGTCTTCCACAATGGTTGAACTAATTTACACTCCCACCAACAGTGTCAAAGCATTCCTATTTCTCCACATCCTATCCAGCATCTGTTCTTTCGTGACTCTTTAATGATCGCCATCCTAACTGGCATGAGATGGTATCTCATTGTGGTTTTGATTTGCATTTCTCTAATGACCAGTGACGATGAGCTTTTTTTCATATGTTTATTGGCCACACAAATGTCTTCTTTTGAGAAGTGTCTGTTCATATCCTTCGCCCACTTTTCGATGGAATTGTCTTTTTCTTGTAAATTTGTTTAAGTTCTTTGTAGATTCTGGATATTAGCCGTTTGTCAGATGGGTAGATTGCAAAAATTTTCTCTCATTCTGTAGGTTGTCTCTTCACTCTGATGATAGTTTCTTTTGCTGCGCAGAAAAGCTCCTTAGTTTAATTAGATCCCATTTGCCAATTTTGGCTTTTGTTGCCATTGCTTTTGGTGTTTTAGTCAGGAAGTCTTTGCCCATGCCTATGTCTTCAATGGTATTGCCTAGGTTTTCTTCTAGGGTTTTTATGCTTTTATGTCTTACATTTAAGTCTTTAATCCATCTTGAGTTAATTTTTGTATAAGATATAAGCAAGGGGTCCAGTTTCAGTTTTCTGCATTTGGCTAGCCAGTTTTCCCAACACCATTTATTAAATAGGGAATCCTTTCCCCATTTCTTGTTTTTGTCAGGTTTGTCAAAGATCAGATGGTTGTAGATGTACAACCATCTGATGTTTTTTTCCTAAGAATCTATTTACATTTTAAACTTTTAAAATTATATATGATATTTTCTTAGATTTTTTCTGCATAAAAGTATTTAAATAAATATATATATTTCCATCAGAATACAACATTTTATATTTTTTATTCATTATAATTCAGTTCAAAATATTTTTTAATTTTTCTTGTGATTTCTTCTTTAACTCTTGACATTTTTATAAATGTGTTATTTAATTTCCAAATAATTTGAATTGGTTTTTAGGCAGCCATTTGTATCCTTTGGTCTTTTTTTAAGCAGCAGCCAGAGATTTCATTCGTTTGTAAGTTGGCTTACTACAATTCTTCAAAATAAGATAACAAAGATTTTATAATACACTATTATTTTATACATGACGAAGAGAAAAAAGTTACCAATCATACCATGTATTACACCATTGGATATAAGACATAGCTCTATTTTAGTGCTGTTAATATGTGAAAACCAAAACAAAATCTATGCCTTTGAATTGACAGACTGTATTATTGACTTCTCAGCTCACAATTCATGACCTTCAATCTCTTAGGAAAATCCATGGTTATTACAATAACCTCCAAAGTCCTTATGTAGTCTACCAATTTCTCTCCCTGACTTCTAATCTCTCTCTCCTTATACCCTGCTACACTCACCCTTACCATGCTCGCCATTCTGAACTTACTGAGCTCAAGGACTCCAGATGTACTTCTACCTCGGAACCTTCATTACAACTTTCTCTCCTCCCAGTCGCCCACAGCTTACTCTCTCACTTCTCTCAAGTCATTGCTCAACTTTCTTCTTTACAGCGAGACCCTTCCCAGCCACCCAATTCAAACATGAAATATTTGCTTTCTTTATCACCTTCCTGATCGATATTCCCTCCCCATTTTCTTTCTCTTGATTGCCCTTATCCGAATTTGACCTACTACAGAACATTCTATGGAATTACTCCCACTTAATATTTTCCCAGTTGCATAGTACTATGTTATTAATATACATTGGATTTATATTTGAATGCAATATCTTTTGGGCATGTTTATACAGGAAAAAAAAATTATTATGCCCACAAGTCTAAAAGCAACATTTTTAAATGAAACAATATTCATGAATAGTCTTTAGTTATATTGCAAACATCATCGATAGAGCATACAAATCTCAGGAAGTTAGAGTAGAATGTCAACTAGGGTGATGCACAACATGCTACTATGTTGATGTTAACTATTTATTAACATCAGTTGTTGGGTGAGCAAAATCAGTGTTTTATGTATTTTACTTCCCAATGTAACCATTTGTTATTAATATTTATATATTTGATATTTTTATTATATTGTAGGATATTGGTTGGGTTGGAGGTTAATGTGTCATATATTATTTTTTCTGATCTTGAACAATGGGGAATATATTTCTGTAATATGTTTTACATTTTTCATAGAAGTTACAATTTTTGTGCAAAAACATTTTGCTTTCAAGAATGGATGAGAGAATTAGTGATGGGAGAATTAGTGATGGGAGATGCCTATGTGTATCTTACTTGTTGCTTTATTATTATTATTGCTGTTAATAGTGCCTTTCTCCTAAAGAAAAATTCAGTGAAGGAAAGGCTTTATGTCTGTTTTGTTCACTAGAGCTAGGATGGAGCCTAACACATAGTAAGTGACTAATAAATATTTGCCTAATGAATGAGCATTGCTGGCCTCTTTGATATTTTTTAAATATCACTGTAGCCAATTAACTGAATTAATTTTTCTATTGCTTCTAATAGGTTTTCAGTTGATTTTTGTATGTTTTCTCAGTAGAATATAGAATTATTTGTGAATGGTAATTTTGTCTTTCCTTTTTCAAAAATGTTTCATGTCTTATTGCATTAAAACTTTGAGAAGACATTCAGTTTTGTTTTTTGTAGCAGGCTGTCTTAGTCCATTTGGGTTGCTATAAAAAATACCTTAGACTGGGTAATTTATGCACAACATAAATTTTTGCTCACAGCTCTGGAGGCTGGGAAGTCCAAGATCAAGGCACTGGCAGATTCAGTATCTGGTGGGGGCCTGTTCCTCATAGAAGGTATCTTCTTGCTGTGTCCTAACAGGGCAGAAAGTGTTAACTAACTCCTTCAGGCCTCTTTTAATACGGGACTAATCCCATTCATGACGGCAGATCCATCATGACCAAATCACTTCCACAAGCCTCAGCTCTTACTACTATCACAATAGGGATTAGTTTTTCCTCTCTCTTCCTCCCTCCCTTCCTCCCTCCCTCCTTCCCTCTTTCTTTTCTTTTCTTTTCTTTTCTTTCTTCTTTCTTTCTTTTTCTTTCTTTTCTTTTCTTTCTTTCTTTCTTTCTTTCTTTCTTTCTTTCTTTCTTTCTTTCTTTCTTTTTCTTTCTCTTTCTTGCTTTCTTGCTTTTCTTCTTTTTCTTTCTTTTTTCAATGATGTCTCACTCTGTCATCCAGGCTGAAGTGCAGTGGCATGATCACAGCTCACTGTAGCCTTGATCTCCTAGACTCAATTGATCCTCCTACGTCGGCCTCCTGAGTAGCTGGGACTACAAGCATGCCACTACACCTAGCTCATTTTTCTTTTGTAGAGATTGGGTTTCACCATGTTGCCCAGGCTGGTCTCAAACTCCTGGGTTCAAGCTATCCTCCTGCCTCTGCCTCCCAAAGTGCTGGGATTACAAATGTGAGGCACCACACCCAGATGGATTAGTTTTCAACATATGAATTTTGGGATAACACAAATATTCAAACCATAGCACAAGTATAACTACCTTAGTCCTAATTTTAATGGTTTATGTTTTAATATCTCTTTGTTCACCAATAGCTATGATATCAATTGGTGTTGATTAATATTTATTATATAAAGAAAGAACTCTTACTATATAGAATGTTTTCATTTTTAAATGGAGTGATTAATTTTTATCAGAATTTTTACAAAGTTTTTCCTCAGTGATGTGAAGCTGGTACATTTCATGATCTTGATCTACCCTTTCTTTCCCTGTATAAACCCTAACTGGCTCTTACATATTACATTTTTAGTGTTCTATTGAAATTGATTTGTATGTCTGTCAGGATAGCCTAGATGATGTCATGGTTAAAAGCAATCTCAAATATCAGCGACTTAAAATAACAAAGACTATTTCTTGCCCCCATACAGTCGGCTTGGGCTTGGGTAAATCTCTGGAGCAACTGTTTTCCATGTGCTAGATCATTACTAAACCTATATATGGACACAGCTGCCACAGTCGCCAGAGAAAGGGAAGAAAGTGGTGAAGAACCAAGTGCTGGTAATTAGTTCCTACTACCCAGGAAACATGGAAGTTCTGGCTTACCTTTTATTGGCTATGGAAAAATCACATGGCCATGGTTGAATTCAAGAAGACATGGAAATCAAATCCTTCCATATGCCATGAAAGAGGTGGAAGATGAATACTGGTGAATACTAAAAAGGCTGCCAGACTAGGCTAGTATTTTATTGAGGATGTTTACACATTGATTTTTAAGTAAATTTTGTGTGTAACTTTTTTCTTGTTCTATTTTTGTCAAATTTAATTACTAAGGTTATAAAATGTATGTGACAATATAACTGGATTTCTATTTTTTCTTTAAAGTTTGATATGTTTGCTAAAAAGGCTTTCTTATACACCCAGGCTTTTTTGGGATTACAGTTTGGCATTTTGAAAAAGAAATATATAATCAGATCTTTAATGTCCTTTTGATCTGATTATTTCATTTGTATTTTTATAGAAAACTGTATATTTCATTGAGATTTTCAAAAACTTACAAAGAACCTTAAATGTTTATTTTTTATTGTTATACTTTTAGTCACTTCTGTTTTGATAGCATAATTTTAATTTTTAATTTTGTGTATTTATGTTTTTCTCCATTTCTCATGTTAAACAATCTGGAGACTTATCTATTGCAGTTTTTCCTTAAAAAATTATTTCTGAATCTTCTATATGTATTTTGTTGTATCATCTCATTTGTTGTGGTTTCTATTTTTCTCTTATTGTTAATTTTCTTGAATAGGCCATACAAACACAAGGATATGCAAGGAAAAATAAAACTTTCTATAACCTCTGTCCCTCAGCCACACATTTTTCTTATTCAGAGGCCAAATCAACGTCTTGTGAATTTATTCAGATATACTCTAAATTATATACATGTATTTATAGTAATATATACATATTTTCTACTAATCTTCTGTTTCACAGATGAGATTGTATTCTACACTGCATTTTGGAATTATCTTTTTGAATATAAAGTATATCTTCAAATTATCACATGCCTGTACCTATGGAGTTATTTTATTCATTTCTGTTGCTACACAGTGCTGGTTTATATTATGGAACCATTATTGGTTTATCCAGTTTTCCATTGTTAGACCTTTGAGCATTCTCTGACCCTCATACCTTGATGCTATAAAATGTAGTAATGAATATCCTTGTACATCTGTCATTTTACACACGTGCCAATGTACATGTAGAGGAGATACACAGGACTATAACCTGGACCAAAGGGGAGATGCAATTTTAACTCTGATAGAAACAAATTGCTCTCCATGGAAGTTTCAATTTACTCTCCCAGGAGTTGTGTATGAGAATACATATTTCCTGAGATAATACATTGCTATTAAATTATTTGATCTTTCCTAACCTGGCCAGTTAAAAAATATCAGATGTTATTGTAAATGTAATTTGCATTTTCTCTTATTATGAATGATGTCTATATATATTTGTTTAAGAGCCATTTGGAATTCCTTTTCAGTGAATGGAGTGAGCTTGTAGCCTCTGGCCATATTTTCTATCAGAATGTCATTCCTTTTTTGTCTTAATTGAAAAGTACATTAGCACTTCACCCGCGACATGAGTTGCAAATATTAACTCACAATTTTATCACTTTTCTTTTGACACTACATATAGTAGCTTTTTTCCAAGCAGATTATTTTTATGCCTTCAAAATTACTAGATTTTTATGGCTTCTGTATTTTGGACACTCCTGAAAAGGTTTTTGCTACACTGAAAATTTTTAAAAGCTCTATCACAGTTTGTTCTATGTCTTTTATGTTTCTTTTTTATGTGTTAAAATCTTTGAATCATGAGGTATTTATTTTGATGTGAAGTGTGAGGTAAGCATTTTACATTATTTTCTTACATATGGCTATTTAATTTGTTGAACAAAATATATTAAATAATACATATTTTCCCTCAGACTTGAAATGCCAAATCCATCATATATTAAAATTCCATATATATTTGGTTCTATATGTAGACATATTTTCTGATATCTGCATATTAATATACCAATACTAAACTATTCTTTTACTTTTTAGCATACCTTATTATCTACTATAACTAATTTCTCTTTATTCCCCTTCTTCAGAACTTTACAAGTTATTTCAAATTTATTTTTTCACTTAAACTGTAGAATCTTCTTTCATAGTTCCAGAAAAAGAAATCTATTTGTATTTTTACTGAGATCATAATAAATTTATAGATTAATTTAACCTACAGCATGGTATAGCTTCCCATTTTCTAAGGTCAGCTTCTGTTTATTCTTAACTTGTGTGCTCAGACCACTTCATCCCACCTTTATATGTATAGGCCTCTTTGGATTGGGGGCGAACTGGTCCGCTCAGGCTGTCAAAACAAAATGCCACAGGCTTAAACGTTAAAAATTTAAATTTAAATTAGACATTTATTTATCTTGGCTGGGAAGTCTAAGATTAAGGTGCCAGCCCTGCTGATTTCTAAATCACTTTTAGGGTCATTCTTCCCTTATCCTGAAGGATAATGCAGGTTTGCAGTTGAATAGCTCTACAGGCCCATTCTACAGGATTGCAGAAGTCCACCTTCCTCCCTTCCATCTAGTTTTTTATGTCCTTTAGTCCCAGCTGGCAGTATTTCTGCTGGTGTAGTCCCAAAGCTATTCCTGGCTCCTGCTGATATATCAGATTACATCTGTTGTTCACACCCATACCAATCTTCCTATCAAATGGTTGTCCAGCCACATCCCTAGCACTCTCTTCAGAATATACTTCCTCATATTTTTGAAATATGAACAGGCAGGTAATTTTTCAAATCTTTAAGTTCCTGTTACTTTTTGATTAACAATTCCTTTGTCAATTCAACTCTCACCTCTTGCATTTTATTATAAGTAGTCAGGAGGATCCAGGCTATACCTTGAACATTTTACTTGGAAATCTCCTCACATAAATATGCAATTCTACCTTTCACAAGTGCTATCTCCCCTAAAGCACTAGATCACAATTTAGGCAAGTCCTCTAGCACTTTGTAACAGTGATCACCTTTTCTCCATTGTCCGATAACAACTTCCTCATTTCTGTCTGATACCACACCAGAATGACTTTAACATTCATATTTTTACCAACATTCTATTCAGGATTATTCTCTACATATTCTCTAAGAACATGGAGGCTTTTTCTTTAGCTCTCGTCTTTTCTTCAAAGCCCTCAACACAATTGCCTTTAATATTTATATTTCTTCGTGACAATCTTAATTTTATTTTTAGCAAGCACCACAAAACTCATCTAGCCTCTACCCATCACCCAGTTCCAAAGCCACCTCCACATTTTTAGGCATTTGTTACAGCAGCACCTTACTTCTGGTACCCAAAACTTTATCAATCTGCTCAGCTACCATAACAAAATAACACATGCTGTGTTGCTCAAACTAGAGAAATTTATTTTTCACAGCTCTGGAAACTGTCCAAGATCAAGACAGTAGCGAGGTAGGTTTCATTTTGAGTTCTCTTCTCTTGGCTTTTGGCAGCCACCATCTTGCTGTGCTCACGACTTCTCTCTCCATGTACATGCCCCAAGGAAAGGCCATAGGAGGACACAGTGAGAAGATGGCCGTCTACAAGCCAGGAAAAATACATGACTGGAGGGTCATGGAGGCAGAGATGGAGGCTACCTATGGGCCCAACAGCATGGACAATCCATTACTAAGGCTGATCCTGCTATTGCTTCCTCTGAGTGTCCAACTTTTCAGTGAGAGAAATGAACACTGAGTTCCCTCCTCCCCAAACTCCTTTATGGCACTATTCCTCAGGGAGACCACCTGGCCACATGGTGGCAATTTGATATCAGGTCCCTTCCATCCACAAAGGGTCAGTCATTCCTCTATTTCAGGTATAGATTTGTTCTTCTTGCTAGTAGAGTCTTAGCCACTACCACTTTCCAGGTGCTTAAAGAATGCCTGGTACATGGGCCTGGAATCCCATGGAACATAACATCCAACCTGGGGACCTACCTTATAGTGAAGGGGATGCAGAAGTAGGCCATGGTCCCTGGTCCCACTGGTCATGTCATATACTTTATGATCCAAAGGCCAATGGCCATGATCATAGAATACTTCTAGCTGTACAACTGAAGTACTAGTTTAGAGAAAACACTCTAAAAATATGAAGTACCATCCTGTAGAAGGCAGTATGTCTATTAAATGAGATATTTTGATATGGCTCTGTGTTTGCACAAAGACAGATGAATGGTTCCAAGACCCAAGGCATGGAAGCAAGAGTGGCCTCATTTACCATTCCTCTCGAAGATCTCCAGAGGACATTCTCCATCCTGTCTCCTCAGCTCTGGGCTTCCCTGGGTTGGGGTTCTTGGTCTCAGAATGTACCAATAAACACAGCAAATGTCCTGTTGAATTATAATTTATAGCTACCACCTGGGCATTTTGAAGTCTTTGAGCCCAGACACCATCAGACAATAAGAGGACTTCCTATATTGGGAGGGGGAATTGACCTTGATCAGCAGGAACAGATAGGGCTGCTTATACCAATGGTGGTAGAGGAGAATACATGGCGAACCCAGGTGATCTACTTGGGTGCCTCTGGTACTCCCTTGTCCCATTGTAACTGCTAATGGATATGTGGACAAACCCTGCACTGAGGAGGGTATGGCTATCAAGTGTTCAGACCCTTCAGGTATGAAGGTTTAGGTCACACTATCAAAGTAATCCAGCAAACTTTGCCAAGATGACAGCTGAGGGTGAGCGGAATTTAGAACGGGCTAGTGAAGGTAGGAGAAGATGAGCACCCATCTCTCATGATCTGAGATCATGAGCAGTTGGTCTCAAGTCAACTGCATCCATAGGGGCTACACATCATCCTATTAATCTTTTTCTGAGTTTTCCCTCATGCCAACACCCCCCATAGGCCATAATAAGAGCTGTGTATCAGTGTAGGATACAGTCTGTTTTAATTTGAGCTGATGTTTCTGAAGGAGGCTTCTTCCAAAAGTCAACATTTTGCAGGAAGGAATAACTAATCATTACTACCCAGTCTGATAGAAGCTGTGAATAGCATTTTAATAGTTAAAATAATGTAAACATATTTAACCATGTTGTGAGGTGGAGAGAATAAAAATATATGAGTACATTTGAGTATGTGTGTTGGAGGCTGACACTGGAAATAGAAGCAAATATTTATCTTTCATGGAAAAAGTCAACAGATAAAGCTAAAATCGAAGAAGAAAGCAATAGAGTGTTAGCAGACAAAACGAAAGATAAATAAGAATATTCAACTCAAAGAATTGAGAGTGATTGCTTCTGGGAAAAGAGAAATAAGGTAGAGATTACTCTGTTTTAAAAGGAAAAGTAGTCTCCTTCTTGAATATGTGCATGCCTATCTATGATTGAAACGTAGAAAGAACACAAGCAAATAATACAATCTACTGAGTAATAAGAATAGTTTAGGAGGATTTTACCTTTTCTTAGTTCTTTCCCCATCATCTCTTTATAATAATATAGTTTTGAATTTTCAATTCATTGTTGTTAGTGTTAAATTATAAATGTTAACGTAAGGCCGGCTGTAGTGGCTCACACCTGTAATCCCAGCACTTTGGGAGGCTGAGGCGGGTGGATCACCTGAGGTCAGGAGTTCGAGACCAGCCTGACCAACATGGTGAAACCCTGTCTCTACTAAAAATACAAAAATTAGCCAGGCTTGGTGGTGGGCATCTGTATCTTCTGTTTCATGTTTAATTTTATATTTTTAATAATAATCATATTAAATAGCATTTTAGATGTAGCCACATTTAACTAGTTTTTCTTTCTTTCTCTCTCCTTTTCTTCTTTCCTGTCCTTTCTCCCTTCTTTGCCCCTTCCTTTATTTTGTTTTGTTTTGTTTTTTTGAGACAAAGTCTTGCTCTGTCACCCAGGCTGCAGTGCAATGATGTGATCTCGGCTTACTGCAACCTCTGCCTCCTCCTGGGTTCAAGTGATTCTCCTGCTGCAGCCTCCAAAGTAGCTGAGATTACAGATGCCTGCCACTAAGTCCACTAATTTTTGTAAGTTTAATAGAGACAGGGTTTCACCATGTTGGCTAGGGTGGTCTTGAACTCCTGACCTTCAGTGATCGGCCTGCCTTGGCCTCCCAAAATGCTGGGATTACAGATGTGAGCCACCACTCCTGGCCTCATTTTCTCTTTTCTTCCTCCCTCTTTCCTGGTCTCGTTTCCCTTTATCCTTCCTCTCCTTCCTTTCTTCCTGTGTTTTCCTTTTTTCTCTTCCTTCCTTTTTCCCATCCTCTCTTGATTTCTCTCTCCCTCCTTCTCTTCCCTCTCTTTCTCTTCCTTCTTTCCTTCCTTCCTCCCTCCCTCTCTTACTTTCTTTCTCCCTTCCTGTTTTTTTTTAATTTTCCCTTCTTTCTTTCTTTGTTTCATTTCTAAACTTAATTTTGTCATTCTCAAGTTTCTTACTTTGATTTATTTCTGCACAGCTGGACTAAACCTTGAATATTTTTAATAGCACAGTCAGAAAAAGCAAATGGGCACTTGTACCCAGTGATAAAATTCCAGAGACAGCATTATACAAGGAGTCAAACAGTGTTATTGCATAAAAAGTGCCATATTTCAAGAAAGTGACAATACTGTGCTCTGGAAATTGGTTTTGGATGACTTGAATCTTGTCTTCAGTGATGATAAAAGCAATGATGTTGACTATAAATTTGAACAATTGCAATAAAATAGATTCACAAAATATGAGTTGAAATAACAATTTTTAAAATTCAAATACTACTTTACATAAAACATTGTCTTACACAAGAGTTCATATCATATTATTATGAGAATACATTTGCATATTTTAAACATACCTATTAAAACATAAAATATCAGATTTGCCAAAAATTTATTTTTGTATATTCTTATTGAATAAAATGCTGTCAGTCTTTATTTAGGGAAATAAGATATTGACTATTCAATTTCAACGACCCAGTGAGTTACAGTCTTACCTATACAGATGAAAAAACTAAAGCTTAGAAAGTTTAAGCTCAGTGTCACACAGCTAGGACAGAGGAAAGGAGGGATTTGAATCCATTTATAATTTATGCCCAAGACACTCTTAAGACACCTTAGACTTAGTTATACCAATGCCTCCCTTTAGGGAACTAGTGTTAAAATCTGAGCTAAGGATGGGAATGGCCAGGTAAACAGGAGTTCATGTTTACCTAACAGTGATGTACAACCTAATAGTACATTCTTAGGTTGAAGGTTATTGTAGAGATTCTGGAAAACAAGGGAAATACTCTAAAGCACTAAAGTAAGAGATAAAAGGTTGCAATGAACTGAATGCTTATTTCCCCCCCAGTATCAGCTATAGCAATTCTAACCCCCAGTGTGATGGTATTTTGCAGCAGGGCCTTTAGGAGGTAACAGGTCATGAGGGTAGATCCCTCATGGATGGAATTAGAGGGAATGGGAAGTCGGCACTCTACACCCCAGAAGGTGGTTCTCACCAAAAGCTGACCATGCTGGTACTCTGATCTCAGGCTTTCAGCCTCCAGAACTGTGAGAAGAAATTTCTGTTGTTTATAAGCCACCAATCTATGGCAGTTTGTTATAGCATCCTGGACTGAATAAGGCAATGATGAAATACAACAAGTCTGTGGACAGACGGTACCTACCTTAAAATTTTGTTGTAAAGTATTCCTTCCCAAGGCTGCCATCTATGTAAAAGACCATCTCTCCTGAAATGGCTTATAAATCTCCTGCTCCTCCATTGAGGCTCTCTAACATTTCTACCCTCTGGAATACCTTCCCTGATCTACTCATTCCTTCCTCTGAGCTCCCTTGCACACAAGTCTATCCTCCTGCTCCTTTTCCACCACCACCTCCTGCTCCTCTTCATTCAGTAATTTAAATGACAATTCTTTATTTGAATGTCTGGGTCCACATTGTACTGCTAAATCCTTGAGGGCAGTGTTTATGTTTTTTTAAAGGTATTTCTCTGCACAGCCTGGTGAAGTATCTGGAACATAACATGTAACCAATAGTGGAGCTGTGATTTGAACCTAGCTCTGATTATTACATGAATGAATAATGAATGAAGGACAGACTCCTTTGCAAGTCTACATGGGCAATGGGGTTTGGGAGTACATTTGACATGAGTTTTTCTGTTTTTATTTTTTATCCTGGAGAAAATGTTGTGATATTACACAAAACAGTAGATATGTTTTAAAACTCAAAACATAATTTAATAAGTGATTATCTATCACTTTCTGATTAGTTTTCCAGAGAGAGTTGTTTCTTATCATCTCAGATATTTGAACCTTGCATTGAGAACATTAGGTGTTGAGATACACTATTAAGTTGTGTCATAAAGGATGAGAAGTGTATGGTTATGTGAGGGGGTGGTCGGAGCACACCCTTCTGTTACTCACCCCATGATACACTTACAAAAATTTCTACTGCCTTTAATTTGAAAGTTTTTAAAATTATAGAACCAACTTTGCTATTAGACATCTTGACATGTTTGAATAAAAAAAGTAATTGTGTTAAAATAATTTTAGAAAATGAGTCCCAGTCTTTGACTCATGGGGGTGGATATTCTGAATTGTCAGGGCATTGTAAATGCTATCCGTTGTACTTTGATCAATCAATCTGAAGGAGAAGACACAGGGTTTACTTTGGAGACCACATTTTAGAAGAGCTGCCTGCTTAGATATTTGCTAACCAATGGAGGGGTAACCTGATATTCCCCTCAGAACTGCTGTTCTTCTCATGAGTAGTCATTTCTCTTCATGTTACAGAAACAGAACCACAGACTCTCAAGAGTTTGTTCTAGGAAGTTATTCAGCTCTGCAGCAAACTAATATTTCTCTGCTGTCCTATGGAGACATTTCAGATATGCGTTTCATCCCTCACACCTAATTTATGCAAAGAATCTCTTGCCCTGGGGGCTGTTCTGCTTTTTAATGAATTCACTTTGATGACAACTAAATGTGGCAGGTGTTTCAGGAAGCAGTTCAACCAGGGATAGTTTAACTTTAAAATTCTCTCACATGTGTAATATCTCTGAACCTAATATTTTGGTTGAGATGTGTAGATTCAGTTTGCTTTTTCATTTCTTTCCTTATGAAGCATTGTGTCTGAACTTATTATGGACTTCATTGTTGGGCTGGGAGTGAAGAAATCTTTAGGTTGACTCTGCCTAAAAATAGCCATTTGCCCTAGCATATGTCACTGAGTAAACTTTTCTAAGCAACAGATTTCAAATCTGTAAAATGAGTTGGTGGCAGTGAGGAGAGTTGGATGAGATCATCTCTCCAGGGCTTCATATACCTCGTCCCTCCTCAGTGCTAAGGATTCACATATACGGATCCTCAGTGCAGATTGTGAAACGTAGACGGACATCTTCATTCAAAGATTCCTCAGGTATCTCAAGGCCAACATGCAAATGTGAGCCAGGCAGGCATCTTAACAGTTTGCCTGTGTTCTCTGTGGCTGTGAATAATGTCATCATCTCAATTAATGAGAAAGATACCTAGACATTACCCCTGGTGTGATAACTACGTTACCTACCAGGTAGAAGTCTGTGTAGGCATTTGCCCTGAAGTTCTCATTCATGACTCATGTGTTTGATTTGCCCTCATGAATTTAAAACTGGATCATTGTTTAATAAAGACAATATATTTATATTTATGGCTGTATTTTACCTTGGAATAGCTAAACTTTTTGCTGTTAAGAGATCGTGAGATTGAAGTAAGATACAAAAAGGACATAATATAAAGAAACAATAGAGGCAAAAAGGAAGTAGAAAGCTCTGTTCTGAGTTAGATGGCATACAGGGAAAGGGGATTTGAAAGACAAGGGGTTGGATGCCTACATACTGCTCCCCACTTCTCTCATTTCAGAGAAGGCTCATTATCCACTCATTGCGGCATAGTCTGGGGACATTCTATCCCTGCATTTACCAAAATGACAACGTATTCCTATGATGCATGGGATGTAGCTTACACCCAGCTGAAGAAAGTATCTAGATGGGTTTAATGGCCTTCCAGAACCTTCAAACCCAAAGTGATATAGAAAAGCACAGAAATGCTGAAGGAACTGGTACACAAATAGAGAGCTGGGGTTGGGATAAGGAGCTCACAGGGCAGGGACTTTGGGGATCTAGGACTAGAAGCTACAGCAGAGATGTTAGCAGTAAGTGGAATGTGAACACAATCAAGCAGGGATTTTTTTTTTCTTTTTGGCTGGTTACTGTATATTTCCAGAACCTAGTACACTGTCTAGTATATACTTGGTACCCAGTAAATATTTATTGAATAAATAGGTGGGCAAGATACCTAAGAAAATCAGAGTTGATCAATTGTACTTCAGTCGACATTATCACAAGATGTCCAGAAACAAGGCAGGGTGAGGGACATCTCCAGGAGATAAGAGAAGTTTCTGATAACACAAGAGCCCAAAAGCTGATGCCAGTTTGGTATGTAAATTCTCTCCCTCCATCTTAAAATGTAGTTCTTAAGTTAAGGCAAGAGAAGGGAAAACAAATCCAGAATTATTTGTGCTTGAACTGATAGAACAGCTTTAAACAAATAGAAGGGCACAAGTTATCTTTTATTATTTTAATTATTTTTTCTCCTATCAGTTTTTTCTCCTATCTCCATTTTTTCTCAACGTAGACTTGGGAGAATGTGAAATCAGTTACAGAAAATAAAGTAACGTCAACTTTGACTTCACTACAATTGCTGTCATCGTCTGCCTTTTCTTTGCTTCCAGTTTTTCTCCTTTGTAAAATTCCTTAGTGGATTCATGTTATATGGCAGAAAGTTTCATCCATCCAAACCCCACATGGCTTTCTTTACCTATCTTCAATTTTATCTCTTGTCTCCTCTGTATCTCTTTTGCATTCTGCATTTTGAGGTCACCACATTAGGCACGTGACCTAGTAGTGACTGCCAATATCTGGTCCAGTTAGGGGTACCCTATTCTGATTTACACCAGAGTGTTCTATGGGCTTGTGATGGTCAGCTCCCCATTGCCAGAACCTACAGGTCAGCACACACACGCACACGTGCACACTCACACACACACACACTCTCTCTCTCTCTAATTCATGCACACACTCAGTGTCAAGTCATGTGTTACTATTTGTAGTTACCCCCAAACCACCAAGCCTTTGGTTATAACAGTTCTCTATTCATCCCCCACCTCTTTATCCAATCTCTCCACTTTGGTGAACATCAATACGTTAAAAAAATTCCAACTAAAGTGTCACCTCCTCGGTGAATCTTTCCTTTTCATATGCCCAGCGACAAAATTAAGTATTCTCTTCTTTAAAGTGTCACCCCCTCTGTGAATCCTTTCTTTTCATGTGCCCAGTGGCAAAATTAAGCATTCTCTTCTTTGCTCCCACTTCTATCTTGCAAGTACTTCTAGCCCAGCAGCTATAATACTTTTTATCTTGTGTGCAAATAATTTGCATTATAGTCATTACTTCAGCTATTTAGAGTCATGGATTATGTCTTACTCATCTTTGTATCTCTGGAAACTCGTATGTTCTCTGGATGCTAAAAGGACAAAATAATGTTTGTTCAATGAATATTGTCTATAGTTCTTCCTGTTCTAATGAGCTGAGATTAAAAGAATAAATGGATCCTAAAATTAGAAACACAATTAGATTGAGTTCCAAATTGCCTCTAGGACATCATGGCTACCTGATACTGATGAAACTTCTCAATATTTTCTAGACCTGAGATAAGTTGAATTAAGTTCCAATGTAAAGAGGAAATACAGTAGACGGGCCATGACTACATTTTGGTTCTAACCCTTATTTCAGCCACACACTAGCTATGCAAACTTGGGAAAGTCACTAGATACACTTGACTTCAATTTCCTCTTTTATTTAAAGGAAAATAATGCCTACCTTTAATCTTTAAATAGTGGTTATAAGTTAAAAAAGTGTTGGCTGGGCACGGTGGCTCACGCCTGTAATCCCAACACTTTGGGAGGCCGTGGCGGGCAGATCACAAGATCAAGAGATTGAGACTATCCTGGTTAACATAAGGAAACCCTGTCTCTACTAAAAATACAAAAATTATCTGGGCGTGGTGGCGCGTGCCTGTAGTCCCAGCTACTCCGGAGGCAGAGGCAGGAGACTCGCTTTAACTCGGGAGGCGGAGGTTGCAGTGAGCTGAGATTGCGCCACTGCACTGCAGCCTAGTGACAGAGACTCCATGTCAAAAACAAAAACAAAAACAAAACAACAACAAAAAACCAAACAACAAAAGAGTGCTAATATATGTGGTTCTTCTTTGGAGATTGTAAAGCAATATTGTTTCTTGGGATAATGTCTTCTGGGAAGTTCCTTGGCCCTCTTTCATTCCTCTTTCAATTCAGAAGCAGAAAAAGAAATCCTAGTATAAAATTTGGAGGATATTGATTGGGAGAATAAAATGAGAAATATTTCTATAATAACTAGTGTTGTAATCATTGCTAAGATTGGCTCTCATTTTGTAATGAAACATGATTCTGTGAAGTCGTAGTTAACTAAATGTCAAATGAAAGTTCTTTCATTAAAATGCTGTTTTAGTCCAATCAAGCAAAGACACACTTATACTTCTATTACTATTACTGAGTACAGCTATTAGTGTTTTTGTATTTATGCAATTTTCTTTTGCTGGAGGAGTTTCTGCTATTCTTTATTCAGGCTTCCTACATTAGAAGAATTTGTCCGGCATTCTTTGTGCTAATGAAAAATTACACATTTCATATATAATGTATATTACAAATAATTCTGCAGTCTAATATGTGTGTTTGTATGCACATAATTATAATATGTTTTTTCAAATAGGACAATGTGTTAAAGGAATAAAAAAGCACATGTGATGCTTTGTCTTGATGCTGAGTTTGGTGAAACACATAATGCTCTACTGCAAGAAGAGCAGACTTTTGAACCAGGGCTGAATAAATGTCTTAGGCACTACAACATCAAGTGAGTCTGGGCAAATAACTTAAACTTTCTGATGCTCAGTTTGCCTATCTATGATATTAATGTTAAAATGCCTCAACTTTCTTATCTCTTACTTGTAGCAATGTTAAAAATAATCAGATATGTAAAAACAAAGCACTTTGATACTGGAATATACAGTAACAGATTAAACAAAGATTATTATGGAGCCCAGAACTTTGGGGCAGCCTACTGGGCTCATATTTTGTGTCTAATTACTAACTGGATAGCTTTAGGCTGATTAGTTAGAGCACTCAAATTTCTTTCTTTTTTTTTTTTTTTTTTAAATAATGCTTACAGTGTATTTTATTGAAGTAAAACTCATGTAACATAAAATTAACCATTTTAAAGTGTATAGTTCTATAGCCTCATTTGTATAAGGGGGGAAAAGAATGTGCCTTACAAAATTGTTTTGAAGAATCCACAGGGAGGGCATTTCTAATACTCAAATGCCAGACACTCAGATATTAGCAATCCCAGGGCTCTCCCCTCTAACCATGCCTCTGAATCCAAACAAATCAAGTTTTTTTTTTTTTTTGGAAAATTAGTTGAGTACATTCTCACTTGTAATTACCATAGCTTGCTTTCTATCATAGTTTTAATATTTATTTTTTGTTTTGTTTTTAAGAAATGAGGTACCTGTGCTGAATTTTTATAACTTGTGGACCACCTCTCACGCTCTTCTTTCTTCCTCTTTTCACATTTCCTTGGCAAATGAGTAAGTGGAGATGAGTCAAAGGCTGTCTACAAGTCACATAATATATACTTTCCCAGGACATGCCTTTACTAAAAATGCAGCAAAATTATTTACCTTTATTTGTATTAGTTTATTTTGGTTTATTGAGTCAGAATTTAGGGGCTAGAAAAAATCTGATGAAATAATGGACATGACAGAAAACACATTCATTGCTAATCCATCACAACTTTTCCCTGTACTCCTTGCTGAGAAGTAAAGAGTGACAGCTTCACCTGCAAAGTAATGATAAGTATCTTCAAAAGAGTCCACTTCTCTGTTTTTAAAGCATATAAATCGAAAACCTGTTTTATTGCAGCTAAATGGAGTTAGCACCATTTCTACCTCATCCCTTTGTCTTCTTTCTCATTCTTTATGCTTCTTTGAAGTTTCAACTTTTTTATATATCATGTATGTACACATATACAAATATTTATGTGTATACATATGTGTAAAATATGTGTGTATATACATATATATGTATTTACATATACATGTTGATATATGTGTGTGTACATTATGCACACATAGATACATATCTGTATCTCCATCTCTGTCTCTAATCTCTCTACCAATCTATGTATCTGTCTATCTATCATCTCTCTCTCTCTTTCTCTATCATCTATCTGTTATCTATCCATTCTGAGAAATGCTGCTGAATGTAATTCATGATCTCAACACACAATTCTAGAGTTTTAGACTTGGGAGGGACTATTGGTAGCTGGCATTTTTCTTTTCATGAAATCTCCTTTTCAGAATTTCCCTCTGAATATGGCCTGAGAAGGACTCTGTACTTCTATATTTGAGTCCTTGTGGACGAACTGCAACCTAGCTTAATAGGTAGACAAGACTGAAAGGCTAATCTAGGAGTATGTGCCTGTAACAATAGCTGAGTCTTGGCAAATCCCAGCAGCCATGCTTCAACCAGTCATACACTGCTGAGTGTTCAAATAGGGCAAACGCTGAGCTGTAACCGATCCAGTTGTTTCTGTACCTTGCCTCCGATTTCTGTATGTCACTTCCCTTTTTTGTCTATAAATTTGTTCTGACCATGAAACATTTCTGGAGTCTCTCTGAATCTGCTGTGATTTGGGGGGCTACCAAATTTGAGAATTGCTCATTGCTCAATTAAACTCCTTTAAATTTAATTCAGCTGAAGTTTTTCTTATAACACCTCTAAAACAGCTCCCTGGTTGGCACAAGCCCTGCTTTATTCCCAGACACCTTGTCAAATGACTGTGAATTGTGTGCTATGAAATTTCCTTCTCAATTTTTCCTTGTTTGAAGATTTACAACATCTTGAGTCCAAACTATCCATGGAAAGAGGCAAGATAGACCGAGAAATTTCCACAGCTAGAGGGATACATAGAGGCTCACTATTTAAGTTCTCTTCAGAGTTCAGAGGAACTAAAGGCTTGGGACTAGGGACACTGGAGATGTTCAAGGCTGTGGCCAATGTACAATATGCAGAATCCCAGAGTTTCAATCCAGTATGAACAACAGCAATTACTTTTTTTAAAAGGCTTTTTCATTTTCTGTGATTTTGCTGATAATACAAATTAAGAATATTTTCTAAAATGAAAATATTTGCAGAAGTTGACAACTGCCAATATGGATATTTAATCAAATATTGCCCCAAATGACATTCAATGTATTTCTTAGTAGGAAGATTCACTTATTAGTTCTGTGACCCAATGATCATCGGTTCATCCAGCCTGCCACCCATCCAGTAACACTTATTGAACAGGAACTTATTTACCAGGAGTACAATTCTGTGCTAGACTTGAGAATGAATGTAATGATGAAGACCTAGTCCATGCCCTTGAGGTCTTTACAGCATACTGGAGCCTAAAATATAGTCATAGAATGGGCTATATTTCGAGGTAAAATGCAGTAAGTATCTTGAGAGAGTTGTGAGAAGGGCACAACTAATTGCCATTGAGGTATGGAGAAAGGAAAATTACTTCTAACTGAGACTCAAGCTGAGGAAAGCAGAAGGCTAATGGAGAAGACAGTTAATTCTGAGAAATAAACTGGATAAACATTCAGAGATAGGACAAATAATGAAGATTGAGGAATTAATTTTATTGAAGGATTTCATGCATGAAGAACGTAATGAGAGGTAAAGGTAGCCAAGTAGCATGGGAACTGATCTTGAAGAGCACTGAATAATAAATACAGAGTTTGGTTATGAAGTAGTGGGGAGTCATTGACTGTTCCATGCATAAAATCTTGGGGAGGAAAATGAGTCAATGAAAACTACTTTCTGAGGGGGGAGTGTTATATGAGCTGAGTATGGAAGTTGAAACAAATGTTGGGAAATGAAGAGTTTGATAAGGTTGGTGTAATGATGCATACATACATGCATACACAAACATTGGAGTGACTAGAATGGGTTGTTTGAGATACAGTTAATTAGAATCATCATGGTGGAAGCCAGGTTAAAGTAAGATGTAAAACAGTGACTAAATGGGCTGGTAATAGTAAATGAAAAAAAACTTGGTAAGTGTTTTAATAAATGTGCTAGTATTTCCCTGTTAGCATCTGCCATGGTGACTACCACATAGTAAGGATTCAATTAGTATTTGTGGAATGAATAAGATAAAGATAGATAAACTTGGTAAGCTACATGTTTTCTCATTGTGGAATTAGCTATAGCTACACTTAACCACATACATAAAACCAGCCATCTGGTTCACTAAGGAAGAAGAAAAACCAAATCTACATGCTTGACAATTTCAAAATGTATATCTAAATTTGGAAATATTTATAGAAATTATGGAAAATTAATATATTGAAGATAAAAAATAAGATTACCTGAGTTTTAATATTTGCTCTTCCTTAGGCAAGTTCTCTAATCTCTCTGTGCCTCGGTTTCCTCCATTCTGTAGAATGGAGATAATAAACTAGGTAGCTTATAGTGATCAATGAGAATTAGGAATTAATACATGAAAAGTGCTTGGAATAGGCTTTGACACATGGTTCACACTATATTAATGTTTGGTCATTATTATTTTCATTACTCAAGAACCTGTTTTGTAGGACTGTGTAATCTGTTTAAATTTGCATTTCATCTTAAAATTTACAAACCATGTTGACACATAATATATTGATTTATTCCTACATCTCTCGTATTCCTTCCATGTTGTCAATAAGGATAATAAAACTGAATATCAAACTCAGATCTTCTGGCAAATAGCCATTTATTTCCAAATGGTCACAGGGTAGCAAACATTGTTTAAGAACTTTGTAAAAATAATCTCATTTAATTGCTATTAAGCAAGAGTAGGAAACAGAGGATCAGAGAGGTTAAATGTCTTACCTAAAGCCACCCAGCTAGCAAGACATTGGAGAAAGAATTTGAAGTCAAGTCTTATGTCTTCAAAGCCTATGCACTTAGTCATCAGACAGAAGTGTCCTAATTTGAAGTGGGAGGAAGAGAGCAGTCACTTGGTAAAGTGAGAAGAAAGGCATCTGTAAGTGTGCTCAGTGAACCAGTGAACCAAGCCTTTTCAGCCTCCCCAGGATCTCAATTAGGAATCCCTGCTGCGGGCTGATGCCTTTCCAAGTTCTAACATGTGAGAGCTAAATTCTTCCCTGTCTTAAATTCTGAAGCCCATCTCTTTGACTCCACTGGCCCTGCTCTGCCTTGGGTCTCAGTAAACAACCATAGCAATAAACCTTTTGTGAAGGTGTAGAGAAGAGCTGCTTTTCATCAGATCACTGTAGGCAGCCTGGGCTGCCAACTTCCCATCAAAGCCTCATAAACCCTTTTATGAGTCCCATAAAATGCTGCCTACTCCAGTTAAAGAAGAGGACAGCCATCAGACCCAACTCATGCTGGCTTCAATTGCTTCATTTCCATATATGAGAGTTTTTGGAAAACCAAAAGCAAGACATAGCTTAATGGTAAATTGGTCTTGGTGTTTCTCTAGTGTTCCTTTACTAGGTCTCCCACACCCCATACCCCATGCTACACAGTGGTGTTTGATGACTCTGGAAAACAATTCTGGGTGGCAGAGTCAGCAGCAAGAACTGCTGGGAACTATGGCTTCCATTCATAGGTGGAAAAATATTAGCTGCAAAGTGGATTCTCTTTTTTCCTCATGTACATTGAAAAAGAAGGAAAGTTCCCTGCAAGTTCTCACAGCTTCTTCACTGTAGCTGGACATAGAATCTCTCCTATTCGCATCCATGTTCCTGGTATGGATTGTGGTTGCCAAAAGGAATGATAACCCCTTTGTTGATTAGTTTCATGGAACATTCCAGTCTCCAAGGTTCTCTCATCAAACTGATTCACATATTCATTAATTTTCTCTACTTTGTTGTAACGAACCAGACAATTTTAGAGTTCAAGGGATGGGAATAAAATTGGAAGACAATTTGCAGGTAATTTAATTCTCCAGTTAGTATTTTTTATCTCACTACGGCATAAACTGCTTTAGGGACAGCATTACTTCTATTTCTTTATCTGCAAGTATTTACTGTTAAGCCCGTTATATATAGAAAGTACAAAACTGTTCAATAAATAATTACGATTACATGCATCAGTCACTATATGCTAAGTTATGCTCTGGTAACAAACAGTACTGGAGGATTACTTCTCATTCTTGCTGCAAGTGGATCTCAGATTGGTTGTTCCATAACATATTTACTCAGAGATCAAGACGTATAAAGCACTCTTTTTCTGTAACATCTCCAGTCTCTTGGCAGAAGGAAAGGAGGACAGTGATGTAAACCGCATGCTGGTTTGAAAGTTTTTGCTTGAAAGTGAGATACCTCATGTACACTCTCATTTCATTTGCCAATTAACATGAAGACTAGGTCTGACTTCAAGGGGATGAGGAATTATAATTCCCTCCTACAATACCACTTTATTAATCTCTTTTATGTTTTGTTAGAATTTAATATTTATTTGAACTAGATATCCCAGGGATGGAATTTAGTGAACACAATTTCATTGTAATTTCGAACAGGTATAATTAATCTGAAACAGGTATATTTTGGGGATTTGAAGTGAAGCCAGTAACAAGACAACAACCAATGTTTATAATTTGGAATAAAAAAGCTTCAATGAGGTTATGTTTTGTGTTTAACATCCCAATACAAGACATCTACAGACTTGTATGAGAAGATTCAACTCTCAGAACAGTGATGCCTATAATATTGGGAAAATCTGTAATCATTAAAATCAGACTCTTATTGTCAACAGCTTGCAGTTACTAAGACAATGCAAGGACTTGATATATTTTAGAAATATTTTCAACAAAAAGTAATTGAAACAAACAAACATAAAGTTAACTAAAATTACAAAAACTTGTTGATGGATATACAATATAAAAGATGTAGATTGTGACATCAGTAACATAAAGTGTGGGAGAGGAGAGGTAAAATGTAGGGATTTGTGTTTAACTGAAGTTAAATTATTCTCAACTTAAAAAATATGCATAAGGTGTTTTATGTAAGCCCCATGGTAACCACGAAGAAAAAGCCTCTAGTAGATACACAAAAGGTAAAGAGAAAGAAATCAAAGCATATTGAGAGGTGAAGCCAGCTGGATTTCCTGGGTTGAGTGGGGACTTGGAGAACTTTTCTGTCTAGCTAAAGGATTGTAAATGCACTAATCAGCACTCTGTAAAAACGCACCAATCAGCGCTCTTGCTTTTGCTCACTCTTTGGGTCTGCACCACCTTTAAGAGCTGTAACACTCACTGCCAAGTTCCGCGGCTTCATTCTTGAAGTCAGCGAGACCACGAACTCACCGGAAGGAAGAAACTCTGGAAACATCTGAAGGAACAAACTCTGGACACACTATCTTTAAGAGCTGTAACACTCACCGCTAAGGTCTGTGGCTTCATTCTTGAAGTCAGCGAGACCAAGAACCCACTGGAAGGAACAAATTCTGGACACATTTTGGTGACCCAGATGGGACGCAATATCACTACACAAATTTAACAACTTACAAAGGAAGACAACAAGATTGGAAAAAAGGAACAAGGGAACAACTAAACAGTCAGTAAGCAATTAATAAAATATCAATAGTAAGCCCTCTTTATTAATAATTACTTTAAATGTAAATGGAATAAATTCTCAACTCAAAAAAAGCAGAATGACTGAATGGATTTTAAAAAATAGATCCAGCAATATGCTGCTGCTATGATTTGAATAATGGTATCCCCTCCAAAATTTATGTTGAAACTTCATCCCCAATGTAACAGTTGTAAAAGATGTGGCCTTTGGGAGGTAATTAAGTCATGAGGACTGTACTCACATTAATGGGGTTATCACCCTTATAAAAGGGCTCGAGATTGAAAGTTGAAGGAAGCTCTCTCTTGTTTTCTACCTCCTTCTACCAAGTGAGGACACTGCATTCTTCCTCTCCAGAAAATGCACCAATAAGTTGCCATCTTGGAAGTAAAGAGCAATGCTCATCAGGCACCAATCCTACCTACACCTTGATCTTGAATTTTTCCAGATTCCAGAATCATCAGAAATAATTTTCTATTGTTTTGAATAAATTACCCAGTATCTGGTATTCTGTTATAGTGGCACAAATGGACTCAATGCCTACTCATTTTAGCCTTAAGGACACACAAAGACTGAGAATAAAGGGATGAAAAAAAGTATTTCATGCAAATGGTAACTGAAACAGACTAGGAGTGGTTATACTTATATTAGAGAAAATAGACATTCAGTCAAAATCTGTCATGAGTAAAAGAAAGTCACTGTATCATGCTATATGGATCAATCAATCAAGGGGATATAATAATTGAAAATCTATATGCATCCAACATTGGATAACCAAAATATATAAAGCAAACATTAATAGAACTAAAGGGAGAAATAGCAACACAAAAATAGTAGGAAACTTCAACACCACATATTCAACAATGTACAAGTTATCTAGACAAAAAAATCAAAATGAAAATATTTGACTTGAACTACACTTTAGACCAAAAGACCTGACAAACATTTACAGAACATTCCATTTAACATTACCAGAATAACATTCTTCCCAATTGCACAGGGAGCATTATCCATAATAGAGTATGTGTTGGATCAAACAAGTCTTAATAAATTTAAAAACATTGAAATCTTTTCTGACAGCAATTGTATAGAAATCAATAATGTACAGAATTTTTAAATGTATATGAATGTGTAGAAATCAAACAGCACATTCCTGAACAGCTAATGGGTCAAAGAAGAAATCAAAAGAGAAAACAAAAAGTATCCTGAGAGAAACAAAATGGAAACTCAACATACCCAAACTTATGAAATGCTGCAAAAGCAGTGCTAAGAAGAAAGTTTTTAACTATAAATGCCTACATTAAGAGAACAGAAACATCCCAAATAAGCAATCTAATATTATACCTTTAAAAAACTAGAGGCCAGTCACGGTGGCTCACACCTGTAATCCCAGCACTTTGGTAGGCTGAGGCAGGTGGATCACCTGAGGTCAGGAGTTCGAGACCAGCCTGGCCAACCAACATGGTGAAACCCGTCTCTACTAAAAATACAAAAAGTTAGCCGGGTGTGGTGGCACACATCTGTAATCCCAGCTACTCTGGAGGCTGGGGCAGGAGAATCGCTCGAACCTGGGAGGGAGAGGTTGCAGTGAGCCGAGATCGCGCCACTGCACTCCAGCCTGGGTGACAGAGTGAGACTCCATCTCAAAACAAACGAACAAACAAAAAACTAGAAAAAGAGTAGCCTAAGCCCAAAGTCAGCAGATGGAAGGAAATAATAATGATCAGAATAAAAATAGATGAAATACAAACTAGTAAAACAATAGAAAAACCAACAAAGCTAAGAGGTTTTTTGTTTGTTTTTTTTTTAAAAAAAGATCAATAAAATTGACGAAGCTTTAGCAAGACTAAGCAAGAAAAAAGAGAGCACTTGAATAAAATTACAAGTGAAAGGGGAGACATTTCAACTGATACTACAGAAATACAAAGAATCATGAACAATATGCCAAGCAATTGGATAACTTAGAAGAAATAAATTTCTAGAAACATACAATCACCCAAACTGAATCATAAAAATTAGAAAATCTCCTGACCAACATGGAGAAACCCCGTCTCTACTAAAAATACAAAATTAGCGGTTGTGGTGGCGCATGCCTGTAATCCCAGCTACTCAGGAGGCTGAGGTAGGATAATAGCTTGAACCTGGGAGGCGGAGGTTGCAGTGAGCCGAGATTGTGCCATTGCACTCCAGCCTGGGCAACAAGAGTGAAACTCTGTCTCAAAAAAAAAAAAAAAAAAAAAAAAAAAAGTAGAAACTCTTAAACAGCCCAACAATGAACGAGAAGATTGAATGAGTAATCAGGCACCTCTGTATGACAACAACCAAAACCCAGGACCAAGTGGCTTCATGAGTCATTTCTATTTAACATCTAAAGAATTAATAATGTCAGTTTTTCTCAATCTCTTTCAAAAAATTGAAGATGATAGAACACTTCCAAATTCATTTTCTGAGGCCAGAATTACCCTCATACCAAAGCCAGATAACGATGCTACAAGAAAAGAAAATGGAGTCCAATAACTCTGATGAGCATAAATGCAAAAATATCATCAACAAAATACTAGTAAAACTGAATTCAACAGCATATCAAAAAGATAATATAGCATGACAAAGTGGGATTTAAAGAATCTTTTAAAAGTATTCTTCCACAAATTATATTTTTAGGAATTTTTTTTTGTCCATCCAGAAGACATTATTCAGAAATAATAAATAACTTTATTTTTGATCAATGAAAGCCTCTGGTCAACATGATAATCTGGATGACTGTGGTCTGTGGACTAAGTCAGTAAACCTACTTTACTGAGTGAGAGGAAGACCTTTTGGAAGCACAGTAATATGGCTAAGTTATTTTTCCTTCATGATATTTATTGAGCATTCATTATGTGTTTTTTTGTAGACAGGATTTTAAGCCTTCCCCTCACTCCTCTTTCGCTGCTGCCAAAGATGGCCTGTCCTAGTTCCTGGAACCTGTAAATACACTGAGATGTTACTCCTGTGATAATATGCTTTAGGGCACAAATGACTTTAAAGTAGGGAGTTTATTCCGACTTATCCATGTAGGTTCAATGTTTTTACATGAGCTCTTAATGTTTTTACAGAGTTTTCTCTGGCTAGTGGTAAGTGAAGAAGTCAGAGAGATATAAAATGTGAGGGGGATGTAATGTTTCATTGCTAGGTCAAAAACAAAATCTCCCGTCCATAGGAGCTGAGATAGGACTCAGCTATAAGCCTACAAGAAAGAAATCTCAGTCCTTCAACTGTAAGGACATGAAATCTGCTGATAGTAAGGTTGAGAGTATAATCTCAGGAGTGAATTCTTTCTCCCAGTCCCCAGAGAAGAACCTCGTTCAGCCAATACCTTGATGTCAGTCTTGTGATACCCTTAGCATAGATTTGGGTGTCTTATGATTTAGGGAACTAAGAGCTAATAAATTGGTATTGTTATAAGCCAGAAATTTGTGCCTATTTGTTATTCAGCAATAGAAAACTATGGGAACCCAATTTCTACATTTATGGAGTTTATATGATAAAGAAGGATACTCAATATGTAGTAGTTGCTTCATGAATATTTTTAAGTGAATGAATAAATTATCTGTTTACTTCACTGTTACTAACAATGGCTAACTCATAATTTTTTCTGTGTGCAGGCATTGTTATAAATGCTTTATATGCATTTAACCATTTAATCATCAAAACCCCATGTAGTAGGTAACTATTATTATTTCTGTTTTAAAGACAAAGACACAGGCATAGGGAGGTTGACAACTTGTTAAACGTTGCAAAGGTAATGAATTCAGAGCTGAGATTTAAGCCTAGATGTCTGGCTTTAGATTCTGAAATATTACCAACTGCTCTAAGTTGCTTAGGAACTATAATAAGTGATAAAAAAGAGAAATAGTGGGTGTCATGTGAGAAGAGATGACCCACGGGCACAGGAAAGGCTTTTGTAAAGATATGAAATTTAGGCAAAGTTTTAAGGGGTGGATTAACTAGAAAAAAAGGCTGCAAAAATATTTCAATAAGAAGAACATGGGGAAACTCTAGTGAAAAGTATGGAAGACTGACATTTCTGTTAGTCAGTGCATACTAGATAAATATATTGTCTTCATCAAACTTTAATATTGAGAAAAGTTTAAGAAAATTCAAAGATCTGGTTATCCCAGATTAGCAACTGCTGAATGATGAACAACAGATACTCTACTGCTTTCTTAACCACATGGAAAAGGAAAAAACAAAATAAAACAAATCAAAACACCTTTTTATTCTCTTAGAACTGGATTTGGAAAAACTACAGCCAATGGGCCAAAACTGGCTGACTCAATGTTTTTGTAAACAAAGTTTTATTGGAACACAGCAACACTCATTTATTTACCTATAGTCTGTGGCTGCTTACACACTAGAAAAGCAGAGTTAAGTAGTTATGGCAGAGAGCATATGACATGCAAAGCCTAAATATTTACTATCTGGATATTTTCAGAAAGCATATGCCAAACTCTGTGTATTAGTTCATTCTCACACTGCTAATAAATACATACCCGAGTCTGGGTAATTTATAAAGAAAAGAGGTTTAATTGACTCACAGTTCCTCGTGGCTGGGGAGGCCTCAGGAAACTTGTAATCGTGGCAGAAGGGAAAGCAAACACATCTTTCTTCACATGGTGGCAGCAAAAAGAAGTGCTGAGCAGAAGGGGGAAAACCCTTTGTAAAACCATCAGATCTTGTGAGAACTAATTCACTATCACAAGAAAAGCGTGAAGATAACCACCCCCATGATTCAAAGACCCCACCAGGTCTTTCCCACAACACATGGGGATTATGGGAACTACAATTCAAGATGAGATTTGGGTGGGGACACAGTCAAACTGTGTCTGGAATTGGTTCCTTCTGGTGGGTTCTTAGTCTTGCTGACTTCAAGAATGAAGCTGCAGACCCTCGTGGTGAGTGTTACAGTTCTTAAAGATGGTGTGTCCAGAGTTTTTCATTCAGATGTTCGAACGTGTCTGGAGTTTCTTCCTTCTGGTGGGTTCGTGGTCTCACTGGCCTCAGGAGTGAAGCTGCAGACCTTTGCAATGAGTGTTACAGCTCTTAATGGTGGCACGTCCAGAGTTGTTCATTCCTCCCGGTGGGTTCGTGGTCTCGCTGGCTTCAGGAGTGAAGCTGCAGACCTTCGCGGTGAGTGTTACAGCTCATAAAGGTAGTGCGGACCCAAAGAGTGAGAAGCAGCAAGATTTATTGTGAAGAGCGAAAGAACAAAGCTTCCACAGCGTGGAAGGGGACCGAAGTGGGTTGCCGCTGCTGGCATGGGTGGCCACCTTTTATTCCCTTATTTGTCCCTGCCCATGTCCTGCTGATTGGTCCATTTTACAGAGTGCTGATAAGTCCATTTTACAGCGTGCTGATTCGTGCATTTACAAACCTTTAGCTAGATATAGAGAGCTGATTGGTGCATTTTTACAGAGTGCTGATTGGTGCGTTTACAATCCTTTAGCTAGACAGAAGAGTTCTCCAAGTCCTCACTGGACCCAAAGGCCCAGCTAGCTTCACCTGTCAAAACCATATCACTCTCATAGAGCAAAGGTGCTAATATTTAAAAAATATTATTTTTTGTTTAATTACATGCCACAATATTAATTTTTAGTTCCAGGAGTAACATCCATACCTATTTTGTTGACTTTGGAAAATCTGAAGGAGCTGGCAGTTAAATTCCTGTTGGCATAGAGATTATCTGGATGAGTGTGGTCTGTGGTCTGATAAGTCAGTGCACCTGCTTTACTGAGTAAGAGGAAGGCCCTGTGGAAGCCCAGTATTATGGCTAATATATTTTTATTCAAAAATGAAAATGCTTAAAAATTGTAGGAGGTTCAATTTCTGCTGGACAGAAATTCCTGTGACAAATAAACTATTTGTGACAAACTATATTCCTGTGACAAATAAACTAACATATTTATAAAACAGCATGAAAACCAACCTAAAATATATATATCATTAATTTTTACACCACTATATATGGATTTCAGCATAAATTAGAAGATATACATCAAGGCAATCAGAGTTCATTGCTAATGTTTATCTCTAAAACACTTTTTTTAATTCATAAGTGTTTAGATAATTTTAAAAACATTTCACATTTTTAGATCCTCTTAAGGAATCAAGGACTGAGAACTTTGAATTCTTTAAAATATAAATATCATAACTTTGCCACATGGCTTTTTCTGTAGTATTGAAAACAGAAAACTAATAAATGTAGAGTCTTTTTTAAAAACTTTGTATGAAAGTAAGACCTGTGCACAGAAAAATGTACATGTCATGTACTCAGCTCAATGTATTCTCACAGATTAAATACGTATGTCAAAAAGCAGAAACTCACCACCCTTAGAAGGCCCCAGATTTTTCTTTTGAGTAAAAACTCATCCACAAGTCTGACCCCATCCTCATTTCAAACCCCACACGTTAGCTTTGCCTGATTGTAATATTTACTCTTTTGTGTCTTTTGGTAAACTTGATGCTTGTGAAATTCATTCATGCTGTTATGTATAGTGGTGTTTTGTTATTATCATGGGTATAAGGCATTTCATTGTGTAAACATATAATTTTTGCTTATTCTACTGTTGAGGGGTCTTGGATCATTTCCAGATAGAGGCTACTATGAATAGCATGATAGTGAATATTTGATTATATGGCTGTTGTTGAATATACATACATATATATTTATGTGTATATATATAGATATGCACATACATGTGTATGTATATATAGATATATGCATACATACATATGTGTATATGCGTATATATATGCATACATAGATGTAAATGTATATATCATAGATATATATGAATGCATATGTATATACACACATACACATATATGTATGTATATTCACTATATATATTCAACAACACACATATATATCTCTCTTTTTAAATGTAATATTTTATAAATATAATCTCTATTTGTTGAACCTCTGTAAAATGACTTATCTGCCTTTAATGTATTATTTCTTGCCCATAATATAAGAAATTAATTTACTTGAAATTATTCTCAATAATCTAAAAAATTCATTGTCACATCATCACTAAATATTATATTTGGGAGAATTTTGGAGTTTATCTCCAGGAATAATTTGATGTATGTGTCACTTCTCTAATATTATCAACCAAGTAATAAACCAGCTTCAGTTTAATTATCTCTAGGTAAAAGAAATGTATTTCCTGAAAAGGAAGCTACTTTGATTTTTACAAAGTTGTAATTTTAAAAAATACTATCATTTATATATGAAGCTGAAATATAGCTACCACAACCTTACCTCTTTGATACTAGTTTTCTTTTAAAAAAGATATGGATTTGAACTTAATTCTTCTTCTGCATGGTGATCTTTTAGGTATTGCAACAAAAAAAGTCATTGTGCCTCTAATAAAAGCCACTTTTCCCATTTTTAGTATTAGTAATTGTTTCTCAATTCTTTACCATCATGTAAACATTATATTAATATAGTCTCATCTGTTACGATTCCTTTGAAATGTTGATACTTATTAAATTTTAGAAGAAGACTGGAAAATAGAAACAAAAATAATCAACAAATGTTATTTCTGGATACTAGGGAATTCAATATTTGAAATAATTTTTTTCAGGATTTCATAAAGAAACTTAGCACTGTTTGTAAAAACAAACAAAAAAAGTCATTAAAAAGCATGGTGTCCAAAACTGAGGAAAACCCCCTGGAGAATCGCTAATTCAGTACAGAATGGAGCACAGCTATTTCCTCATATACTGAACATAATTTTTCTATGAATAATATTTAATTATTTTAGTTATGTTTTGCAACCACATTTGATTATTATTTCATACGTGTGATATGGTCAATCAAAATCTTACAGTAGCTTTCACTTATTCATTCGAATAATTATTTAGTAAACATCTATTGTCCAATACATATGAGTGCTTTAGTCCCTGCTGTCAATGACCATTCAGCTGGTGAAGGAGATAGATTTGTAAACTCCAGTTACAAAATGTATGATAACAGCTGCAAAACAGGTAACCAAAGCATGGCACTTAAAACAAGCATCTTAACCCATTTTGGAGACTTGTTTCGTGGGATACCAAGCCCTGGAATGAAGATGGACAAGGCTTCTAAAGAAGGGAACCAAAACAGGGAAGAGTGTGAGTGTAATGTGGTTCTAGAAGAGAGCTAGTGACTTGGAGATGAGTATAGAGAGGAGGCTGAATAGTAGACCAAAGGCCGGGTTCTTAAAGGCTGACTGAAAACTGTCCTGCATTCAACAGGGCATTGGCAGGACATTAGGTAGGAGAGTAACACGATCAGATTGGGTGTATCTAAAACCTCATTATAGATGCATGTTGCTCCATCATTCAGTCATTTTCACAGGACTGGATATTTATCCTTAACAGTTTCAATTTAAATGAAAGTTTTATCACTGAATAAATAGCACCTCTGTAGTCAACATATAGTTTATCTTTAATGGTCAGGGACAAAATTACTAAAAAGATATTTCTTAAACCAAAATTTTGAAATTTTCATTTTTCCTGGCTCCTTTATAGATGTTAACTTCAGACTTCAAATATTTACTTAATTTTACTGGTGTTGGTGGATTTACTATCTTTGAAAACCAAGTGTGACATAATATTTCATATTAATAATACTGTCTGAGCTTGGTTTCTCTGACTTTTGGATACTCGTTGGAATATAAAGACTATCTTCTGGAAGTGAGACAAGACCTTCACAGCTGTGCTTGCGTTAAGTGGCTTCAGTCCAAAAATAATCATGTTCTTGTATTACCATGGAATACAAGGAAAGGGCACTGGGCTTTCCTTTGTGTTCAACATCAATTTTGGGATCTACAAAATTTAGTATGCCAAGTTTGTCATCAAATCCTTGAAACTCAGGAGAGAGAATGCAGTTTGAGGTTATTTTTGCAGAAATAGAACTTTTTATTAATGTTGGAAAATAGCCACATTAGTTCAAGAAAGAGTGGGAAAGCAGCACAGTGTCTCTTTCAGTTTGAAACAACATGCAATCTCTTCCTAAGTGCTTTATTTCAAAGAGCTAAAACTGTACAGTGTTAAGCAGCCTGAAAAAATCAGCTTCAGAGTGAGGACAAATAATTGAATGATGTCTTTCTTCTAAAAGACGTCAGGCTTTTTGCCCGCTGCTCTTTGACATTTATCAAATCCTGCTCTTTAATGTCTGTCAAATTGTCCAGGTGATAAGCACAGAACTTGTTCTGGCCAATGGCCCTGTGCCTGCATTTTCAAATTTGGTATGGTTGGCTTGGGTTTCTTAGTTCAGCTCAGCAGGCTGCCACTGGAGTGAGTAAAGAGAGACTGTGCCCTCACAGAACCTTGCATTAAAAATTACCTTCAGCTTTCAAACCAGATCAGCCAACCTATACATGAGGCTGTTGGTGCATGAAATAAGAGAACCTTGAATTACCAAGCCCATCCAAAAATCTTGTCTGGTTGACACCTGTCTTTTATTGCTGCAGTTACTGTGTGTTAAGAGTTGAATTGTGTGCCTCCCTAATCCCCACTTCCTGGATGTTGAAGTCAAATTTCACTATCTCAGAATAACACCTTATCTGGAAATAGGTTTGTTACAGATGTAATTAGTTAAGATGAAGACATACTGGAGTAGGATGAACTCTTTATCCCAATATAACTGTGTCCTTCTAAAATGGAGAAATGTCAACACTGAGACACGCACCCAGGAAGAGAACTCCATGAAAAATCTTCTTTAATGCTATCAGAGGGAGTTCAGTCCCGCTAATACCTTGATCTTGGACGTCTAGCCTCCAGAACTGTGAGAAAATACATTTCTGTAATTGAAGCCACCCACTTTGTTGTACTTGGTTACATCAGTCCTAAACTAATATACTCTGCTTACTGTACTATCTCCTGGGTTTTAAAAAAAAATTTGGTTTTAGCTTTGTTTTATGAGCATGCCCATTGAAATAAAAGTAAACTTGACATCTTGGTACCTTGGCCTGAAAAGCAGTCTGGATTTCCTCTCCAGGTGGTTCTGCCTTGAGCTGTTCTACTACTACTACTACTATTATTATTATTGATTATTTTTTTTGAGGTGGATTCTTGCTCTGTCACCCAGGCTGGAGTACAGTGGTGCAATCTCAGCTCACTGCAACCTCCGCCTCCTGGGTTCAAGCGATTCTTCTGTCTCAGCCTCCCAAGTAGCTGGGATTACAGCCATGCTCAACCATGCCCAGCTAATTTTTATATTTTTAGTGGAGATGGGGTTTTGCCATGGAGCTGTTCTATTATAATTGCTATTATAATTGCCAAAGAGCTGTTCTTTGTAATAGGGCTGTTCTATTATAATTGCTTCTTTTAATATAATCCATGACTGGCACCCAGACTCAGTATCAACCAGCTTAGTGGCACACTTGCCATTTGTTCTAGAAGTTCTGTGGAAGTGATTATATACTCTCCAAAGTCCAGCAATATGCCACAGCAGCAGACCTTTCCTCATTCCAGGCTAGAAAGGCCATGTTAAAAAGTACTTTTGGCATAGCCCTGAAGTTACTTATAGCTGCCAAACTAGTGTCATAATTCATTTTTAGTACATTGGCTCATATACTATCTTTAACTCCGAAAATAAAATTTACCAAGTGAAATGTTAGAAGTATGTTAGAAGTGGCATTAGAACCATCAAGGTAATTTAAGATGAGCTTAGCCTTATCTTAATTTGAAGGAAATCAGGTTACCAGCTTACAATCTTTCAAAACTCTTTATGTTGTACATTCAACAGACATGTTGAACGTTAACCATGTGCAGCATGCTCTGTAGAATATATAAAAGTGAATTTTTAAACAGTGAGCGTCTCTCAATGTCCAACTTAATAAATATTTATTAAGTGAGAATAAGTTAGGAATATTAACTCATTCAATAATTGATTATTTGAAACTCACTATGTGCCTGGCCCTATGCTGTGTCTTATAGATACAGTCATTCTGCTATCAAAAACATTTCATTGTGGGGAAAGACCTTTTTTAGGTTCTCAAGGAACATGTACTCTAAAAGAGAGATAAGATAAATGGAAAAATAACTATATTAAAATCAAATGTGAATAAAAAGGCCTGAATGCTAGAGAATTAGTCAAGATTCACCAATAAGATATATATACATAGAGAACATACCTAGGATATATCTATATATAATATAGGGGATATATATAATACATATAGAATGCACACACACATATACATACACACCTACACATAGAGCCAGAGAGAGAAAGAGAGTTTGATACACAAAGTGAGAGAGAGAGAGAGATTGATTTATCCTGAGGAATTGGCTAATGCAATTACAGAGGCTGAGAAGTCCCAGGATCTGTAGCCCAAAGGCCCAAGAACCAAGAGAGATAATGGTGTAGGTTTCAGTCTAGGTCCAAAAACAGAAAAAGGCTGATATCTCAGCTCAAGACCATTAGGCAGAGAAAGTGAATTATCTCTTACTTAGCTTTTTACTCTACTCAGGCCTTCAACAGATTGGACCAGGCCCACAAACATTGGGGAGTGCCAACTCCTCAACTAAGTCTATCTATGCAAATGTTAATCTCATCTAGAAACATCCATACAGGCACACCAAAAATAATGTTATTCTAAATATCTGGGCACCTCATGACCCAGTTAAGTTGACACATAAAGTAAACAATCATAACTTCACCCCTTGTCAAATTTGCATTCATCTACATCTTCATTCATTCATATACATCTATATTTATATTTATTCATTCATATACATCTATACTTTATTCATATACATCTATACTTAATCTACAAATAAAGGTAATTACAAAATCATAATTTCACTTTACATGATATGACTATCCTAGTACAACCAAAAATGCACTAGCTCCTTCTAGAAGAAAAAAAGAAATAAAATCTTTGAGTGGTATTTACTCTTCCACTTGGTATTCTGTAACTAAATACTATTATGTATAACAATACTGAAACTATGATGTGATGTTAATATTGTATGCTATATGAGAAATGAATAACAGTGGGAAGAAAACAGATATTTGCTGTATATATATATACATATAATGATGTAAGGAAAAACACTCATGACAATTATAGTTCTTAATTCTGTAACTATTCATGTGGTCATAGCTGGTAATTATAATTACCTTTTTCTACCACCCACCCTGAATTTCCTTTGCCTTTAGCAAGCACCGTAGCTGGTTGGTCTTTAACCTGTTGGAAATTCATTAGCAGGATGATTACTCCTCATTAATCCTGGCTAAATTGGGTTGTTGTAGCTCTTTATTGACCTTCATCTCAGAACATGATAATACTAAGAAATCTCCTGTATTCTAGACATACTCTTCCTTACCTCCATTATGAAGTGACATTCCAATTTCCCTTTGGTAGTCAGTCAGTCACCCCAGCCAGCACAATAACTCTCTTTTTTGCTGTTGATTCAGATGCATAATGAGCCTGATGGCTGGGTGGCAATCTTAATTTCTAGTTCAATGAAATCATTGTGTGTCTCCTGGTGGAAGCATTCGTCCTTCTAGAACTAACACTTCTAGGCCAGCCAGCATTACATATAATTGTGGGAAGAGTAAACAAAAATTTTGCTAGTGGGTCACTAGAAATAATAGTGAGTGATGTCAGTCCCATTTCCATCCCTTGATTCCTAGACCCATGAATCCTGGCTATTGGAGAAACAGTACCAGATATTGGATACTGATTCAGAGCAAATACAGCCTTCTGGATAACTGTCTTCGTTCATTTTTATTGTTATAACAGAATATCTAAGACTAAGTAATTTATAAAGAACCAAATTTATTTCTTACAGTTCCAGAGGCTGCGAGGTCTGAGATCAAGGATCTGACACCTGGTGAGGGCCTTTTTGCTGCATCATTTCACATAGAGACAAAAAGGTAAGAGAAAGACAGCGTGAAAGAGGGGGTGAATTCATTCCCATGAAAACAGAATTAGTTCATTTATGAGGCTACAAACCTTCAGAGCTAAACACCTCTTAAATGTCCCACCTCCCAATAGCCTCACAATGGCAATGAAATTTCCACATGAGTTTTGGAGGAGACAAACTTTCAAGCCAGGGTATTCTAACTTACAAACTTTCAAACCAGGGTATTCTAACCTTGGTCCCTCAAAAGTCATGTCCTTCTTATGTACAACGTATGTTTATTCCATCCCAAAGCCTCAAAAATCTTATCATATTCTAACATTGACTCAAAATTCCAAAATCCAAAGTCTTATCTAAATGACATGGATAAAATTCAAGGTACAATTCATCCTGAAGCAAATTTCTCTGCAGCTCTGAGCCTGTGAAATCAAAACATGTTATCTATTTCCAAAATGCAATGGTGAAGTAGGCATAGAATAAACATTCCAATTTAAAAGGCAGAAATAGCAGGCAAGAAGAAAGAGATAACTGGCCCCAAGTAAGTCCAAACTCCAACAGAACAAACAACATTAAATCATAAGACTCTAAAATAATCTTTCTTGGTTCCATGTCTACCCTCCCAGACACACTGGGGTGGGATTGGATCCCTAAGGCCCCAAGGCAGCCCAGCTCCTGTGACTTTAATGGGAACAGCCTACACAGCAGCTTTTGTGGTAGACAGCTGTGTGTCTCATACCTGCAGCTCTCCTAGGCTAGAGTTACATGTTGGTGTATCTCTATTTCTATATCATGTCATGGATTATCAGGGCTTTCTTTACTACTAATAGTAGAGTCATTACTATCTTTAAATCTAGTCAGATTAGAGACCCAATTTCAGAAAATCTGGAACCAATTTAGGAAACTTATTCCTAATATTCTGTTCCACTAGAACCACTCCTGGTACAAAGAGGATATATATATCCTATTAGTTTATTGAGGAATAAAGCATTGCAGTGGGAATACTCATATCATAGTAAACCATGTGCATATTCAGGAATGTAAAGGGAGACAAAGGTTTTTAAAGTAAAAACAAAGAGGTTTATATGATTGTCTTGAAATGATTATCCTTGGCTACAAATATCAATAACAAGGATATATTTATCCTATTGTTCTGGAGAATCCTGAATAACACAGGTTTTGGTACCAAGAGTGGTTCTAGAGGAACAGAATATTTAAAATAACAGTATATATTATATTAAGATAGTATATATAATAGTAATATAGTGTAAATAATATTAATAAAATATATAATATTAATTAAATATATTAATATATTAAGGATACACATACACACACACACACACACACACACACATGAATTTATATTATGAGGAATTAGCTCACATGCTAATGGAGGCTGAGAAGTCCCATGTTCTGCCATCTGCAAGCTGGAGACCCAGGAAACAGGAAAGCCAATGTTGTAATTCTGGTCCATGTCAAAAAGCATGAGGATCAGGGAAGATAACAGTGTAGATACCAGTCCAAGGGCAAGAGAAATGATATTTCAGCTCAAGTAGGCATACTGGAAGAAAAAGGGGCAGATTTCTGCTCTTCAACCTTTTTGTTCTATTCAGGCCCACGGTGGACCAATGATACCTACCTACATAGCAGAGGACAATCTACTTTAATGAATCCATTGATTCAAATGCTAATCTCATGAACACGCGGAGAAATTGTATTTAATCTGGGTACCCCATGGTACAGTCAAGTTGAAATATAAAATTAACCATTACAATGTATATATGACAATTTCTTATAATCATTGTGTGTCTACGTATATATACATATATATACACTGTCTGTGTAAATATATGTCCTGCATACATATATATATTCTCTCTGTATATATATCTATATATGTATACAGAATATATACACATATATATACACATATTCTGAGAATATATATGTATAAAGAGAATATAGATATTGTGTAGATATATGTACAGAGAGAATAGGTATATAGAATATATAGGTATATATGTGGACATTGAGTGTATATATATATACATATATGCTTATATATAGTCATGAGTCACTTAATAATGTTCCAATAAATGTGTCATTAGGCAATGTAGTCATTGTGTGAACATCATAGAGTGTTCTTCCACAAACTTATGAATATGGTATAGCCTATTGCTCCTAGGCTACAAATCTGTACAGCACATTACTATATTAAATACTTAGGCAATTGTAAGATAATAGTGAGCATCTGCATATATAAACATAGAAAGGGTACAATAAATATAAAAGATAAAAAATGGTGCATCTGTATTGGGCACATGCTATGAATGGAGTTTGTAGAACTAGAAGTCATTCTGATGAGTCAATGTGTGAGTGATAAGTGAATGAAGGCCTAGGACATTGCTATACACTTGCAGCTACACTTAGGCTACATTAGATTAAAAATAATTTTCTTTATCCAATAATAAATTTACCTTAGCTTATTTAACTTTTTTTACCTTATAAGCTTTTTACCTATTTTAACACTTAACTATTTTAACATTTAACTATTTTAACATTTTAACTCTTTTGTAATAACATTTAACTATTTTTAACTACGTTAACATTTTAACTCTTGTAATAACAGGTTAAAATGCAAATACATTATACAGCTTTAGAAAATATTTTCTTTCTTTATATCCTTATTCTATGAGCTTTTTTTCTATTTTTCTATTTTCTCTATTTTTTACTTTTTAAACTTTTTTATTAAAAAAAAGACACAAACACACACATTATCCTAGGCCTACACAGGGTCAGGATCACTGAGATGTCACTAGGTGATTGAGGTTTTTCAGCTCCGTTATAATCTTGTGGGAACACTGTCACATATCTGGTCCATTGTTGACCAAAATATCAATATAGTGTATGACTATGTGCACACACACATACACACACACAAAGTATATAATTATATATGTGTGTATGCATATAAACACACACAGATAATATATGTATATATAGAGAGCACATAAGCATATACACACAGAGTATATAGCATATATATACACATACATATATATACATACACTATATATACATACGCACACACAGACACACACACACACACACACATAGACTGATTTGTTATAGGGAATTGGTCTATCCTCACTAGGGAGAACAATATGCTTTACTTAGTCTACTAAGTCAAATGTTAATATTATCCAGAAACATCCTCACAGACACATCCAGAATAATGTTTAACCAAATATCTGGGCACCTTATGGTCCAGGCAAGCTGACACATAAAATTAACCATCACACAGAGTTAGCCTGGAAAAATATCTAAAATGAAAAATACTTATTTTTTTCAAGATTCACATTTCTCTTTATGTTGAGGAAGATAATTGCCGGTAATGATTTATCTAACAAGCAATAGCATACAAAGGTAGGAACTGAATCGGCAGCATGAAGTCCTGAGTTCTAGTTTTTGCTGTGCTGCCAACATTCTGTGTATTTATGGATAAACATGCTCTCTGTCTCTCAGCATTATTTTTATCATCTTTGGAATCTGGTTAATTGGCCTGGATGATCATTAACTTTCCATTATTTTTGAGATATCTTACAAAATTAGCTCAATTGGAGCAAGAGGCCAATGATGTACACATTTCAGATTTTCTCCGACTGGATGCTGGCCTGCTGCTATTGTCTGTACAAGGCTCAAACATCTCCAATAACATGAATTATTGATGAAATAGCTAGTAATAATAGAGAACTTTCATATCAGATGCAATGTTATGAATCTTACTATTTCTATCATGTGATTTTTTTCACTACAAATCCAGGACATAGGTGCTTACGCTATCCCCTACATTTTATAGATGAGAAAAAGGGCTCTGGGTCATCAGTTGGTAACTGAACACCAGATTTTCACCAAGGAGTACCCGACTCCAAAGCCTGAGATCTTGAACTCTAGGTTTATCTGGTGGGTTGAACGATGGTCCCCAAAAAATATGTTCTAACCTTTCCAATGTGTGAACGTGAACTTATTTGAAAAAGGTTGTTCATGGACATAACTAAGTTAAGGATCTCAAGAAGAAATCATACTAGGTTAGGAACAGTTGCTAAGTCTAGTATCACCTGGTTTTATAACAGACAAAGAGGAGGACACACAAGAGAGAAAACCAGGTAAAGACAGAAGCAGATACTGGACTCATACAGCCTCAAGGCAAGAAACATCTGGAGACACTAGAAGATTGAAGTGGCAATAAAAGATTCTCACCTATTGCCTTTGGAGATGTTGTGGCCCTGAGGACATCTTAATTTTAGGTTTCTGTTCTGTAGAATTATGAGAGAATAAATTTCTGTTGTTTTAAGCCAGTAGGTTTGAGTTAAATTTTTATGTGAACCTGGAATACTGACACAGCTTGAATCTGGTAGTTCTTCAAAATCATATGAAGCTGTTCTTCAGTGATGACAGGAGGGCTTGAGTTCACAAAAATTGAGTAACGATGATATTTGTACTCCAGGTCATTTAGTTACCACCAGCCAGTAGAAAACTGTACTTGGCAATGACCAACCCACCCTACACCTCCATAGCCCTCAGCTGTGTTAGGGTGACTGCAATCACCCACATGCATGGCAACTGCCTCCGCAAGAGATCCACCGTTCTGTACTGTGAGCTCACTGAACCTTCCTTATGCTTATCATGGCTCAGAAATTACTGACAAAATATTGCAATGGCTCTGATTTTTTAATTTGAACTGTAAAATACAATATTAACAAAATCCAAAAAGTTTAAAAATTAAAGAGTTAGTCATCGTGTTTGTGAAGCAGTTCCTTTCTCGGATCATCTGAAAAGTAGATTATAATTATTCAGTGGAATAGTAGGAAAGTTAAGGCTACAATGCATGTCACCTCTCTAATCTGAAATCTCAGAGTTTTGATGTGTTATTTGGTTTTGTCACAGATATTTGGTTCAATGGGAAATAATCCTTCCTAGAAATTTATTCTTGGCTAAAAAGTTGCTTTGCTCCTTCTTTGTAATATTAGAAGTCACCAGATTTTGTCAAGTCCCTAGGTGAAGAGGGCTTTAATTCTGAGAAATCCCATAAAAGCTTAGTATAAGTACAGTGAGAACATAAATCTACATAAATCTTAGTAAATAAAATAATCTCAAAGGTACAATTTCCTAGTCTGTAAAAAGAATATGGAAACGACACCTACCTTGTAGGAATCTTTGCAAGATAACTTTGAAAATTAGGTGATACCTAATACAGTTCTTGGAACAGAGACGTATAGCCCATATTGCTTTTATTTTTGCTAGTGGCTTTAAATAAACTTGAAATAGATTTTCTTTTTCAATCTCATCTGGTTTATATGTTTTCTTAAGTACATGTTTCTTATAAATAGTTTTTTAGAAAAACATTATTGTAGGGTATTCTATATGTATTAAACACTTATAAGAATTTTTGTTAGGTGTTTATTTAGAAAAGATGTCCAATCATTGTTTAATAAGCTGATCATAAAGTCAATACTCTCAATAAGGAAAGATAATGTACTATGGTTAAGTAATAGCTTTAAATCCATGCATGCTTGGTTAAATCAAGAATATTTTTATTTGGCTCTATACAGGAAACAAATGGACCTTGTTCCTTTTAAATCCCAAGGAGTACATGCAATTGAAGATTATCCGTGATTTTCTCATTTTGCTGAGCTTTTCAGCAGAGTCTATTTTATTCAGGTTTGGGAAAAGGATTGTTCACAAGGGAAGAAGGATTTCTTTGATTTACTATTTTGCTATGATTTAATGATGAAAATAACATATTTAGTTAATTAAGTTTTTGAAAGATCGGCTTTTCCCCTTCTTCTTTCTTTAGCTTCTTTTTCTAAGAAGTACCCACTGAAGACGCTTTTGATAATTCTGTAGAGTCTTTACATCACATTTACCTAGCAAACCTTTTTTTGGTAAACTATAAAATTTTCTCTTTTCATTAGTAAACAATGAGTAAAAATGAGTAATTAAGAAATTATATCAGTAAAGTGTCATGGGAAAGCTGTCTTAGCTCTATAACCATAGGCTTTCTATTGGTGCAAACTGGTTTAACAGGTAACTGGAATCCCTTTATAATCTTTATAATAAGAATAATTAACATTTACTAAATGCATTCTGTTGTCTGAGAATTTTAATAAAACTTTCTATATATTAACTCATGTAATTCTCATCCTATAGCCATTTAAAAAGTGAGGAAACTGGAGCTCAGAGGATTTACATAATTTGTCTAAGGTCACACAGTACCAGTTAATGAAGAAAACTCAGTTGTTATTACATCTACTAACAAAAATATAGTGATGATATCTAACTTATTAGTAGAGGATGATGTCTATTAAGCAAAATGACTCAGACAATGCATTTTTTATATTGTCACTATGTGCTTTTTCAAGTAATATTTCTCACTAAATTGCATGGAAGTTTCCAAATGCATGTGTTGGTTCAGCTTAATGTTTTGGTTAAGCTTCACTGACACAGAGCAACATCAACATAATCAATAAGAGCACAACATTTAGAATAAGTTGAGAACTCGCAGAGGAAGCTGGCAACCCCTTGTTGTCTATTTCTGCATAAAAATTACAACAAAGTTGGAACTTAAAATAATATTCATTTATTTACTCATAGTATTTGTAGGTTAGGAGTCTGCACAACTCTCCTGGGTCCTCTGCGTCAGAGTCTCTCATGGGGCACCATTCAAAATGTCAGCAAGGGCTAGGGTTTCATTTGCAGGCTCAAATGGAGAATTTGCTTCCAAACTCATTTGCATGGTTGTATGCATAATTACATTTCACTGGGGCTGTTGGACTGAGAGCCAGAGTTTCTAGCTGACTGTTGTCAGGAGGTCATCCTCAGTTTCTTGCTCCATGGGTCTTCTCAACATGTCAACTTGCTTCATTAAATACTCAAGGAAGAGAGTCAGCTACCAAGGTGGAAATGAGACTCTTTTCTAGTGTAATCATGGAAGTGACATCTCCTAACTTTGAAGAGAAAGAATTATGAAAGGTTGTAGATATGAGGTTACAATAATTATTGACGGCTATCTTAGAAGCAATTTGTTACAATTCCTTTCCTCTTCTTTTGCCATTTTGCTGTGTTCCAGGAATAATGTGCAGTATTCCTGATGCCTTGCTGGGAATAAAGAGGGGACAACATTCTTCATTTGGGTTCCCTGTCACTGAAATCTCCTTTCTGGTGCCTGTGATATATTTTTTCTGGCTCTCTATCCTATCCTTTTGGATTGTACAACTTTATACGGATTCACTAGCTATCAACTGTCCATTCTGTTGTCACACTGAGATGAGTCTATTTTTTTTAAAAAGACTAGTTTTTGGAGCAGTTTTATGTTCACAACAAAGTTGAGCAGAAAATATGAAGACTTTTCATATACCCTCTAACCCCACACACGTACAGTCTCTCCCACTATCAATATGCCTCAGCAGAATGGTACATTTGTTACAATTAATGAATATAAGTGATATGTCATCATCACCCAAAGTCCATAATTTACACTAAGGTTCATTCATGGTATTGTACATTCTATGGGTTTTGACAAATGTATAATGACATGTATCCAAATTATATTACCATACAGAATGAATTCACTACCCTAAGAATTATCCATATTCTTCCTATTCATCCCTTCTTCCCTCTCAGCCCCTGGCAACCACTGATCTTTTTACCGTCTCCATAGTTTATTTTTCTAGAATGTCACACGGTTGGAATAATACAGTATGTAGACTGTTCAGATTGGCTTCTTTCACTTGCTAATATGCAGTTAAGCTTCTTCCATGTCTTTTCATAGCTTGAGAGCTCATTTATTTTTAGTGTGGAATAATATTTTATTGTTTGAATATGCCCATCCACCTACCGAAGGACATATTGGTGGCTTCCAAGTTCTGGATAATAATGAATAAAGCTGCTTTAATCATCTGTGTGTAGGTTTTTATACAGACATATTTTTCAACCAGTTTGGGTAAATACCAAGAAGTATGATTGATGGATTGTAAGATAAAGGTATGTTTAGTTATGCAAGAAACTGCCCAACTGCCATTCAAAGTGGTGGTACCATTTTGCATTCTCATCAGCAATGAATGAGAGTTGTTGCATATCCTCACCAGCATTTGGTGTTGTCGGTGTTTAGGTTTTATGCCATCCTATTAGGTGTGTGGTAATTTAATTGTTTTAATTTTAAATTTCCTAATAATATATGATGTGGAACATCTTTTCATATGCTTATTTGCCATCTCTATATTTTTTGATGAGGTGCCTGTTGAAATCTTTGTTCCATTTTTAAATCAGTTCGTACATTTTCTTACTGTTGAGTTTTAAAGCTCTTTGTTTATTTTGGATAACTTTTTTGATATCAGTTTTTAGATATCATGTCATATCATTTTTTGGATAACAGTTTTTTGGTGTCTTCTGCAAATATTTTTTCCAAGTCTGTGGCTTGTCTTCTCACTCTCTCGATAATGTCTTTCTTTTGAGGAGCATAAGTTTTTTTTTGTTTTGTTTTGTTTTCTTGAGACAGGGTCTCACTCCATTCGATTTCGGCTCACTGCAACCTCTGCCTCCCAGGTTCAAGTGATTCTCCTACCTCAGCCTCCCAAGTAGCTGGGATCAAAGGTGCACGCCATCAATCTCAGCTAATTTTTTTTTTTTTTGTATTTTTTGATAGAGACAGTGTTTCACCATGTTGGCCAGGCTGGTCTCGAACTCCTAACATCAAATGATCCACCCACCACTGCCTCCCAAAGTGCTGGGATTACAGATATAAGTCACCACGCCCAGCCAGAAGTTTTTAATTTTAATGAAGCCAGCTTAAAAATTATTTTTTTCATGTATCATGACTGGTTTTGTAACTAAAGTTGCCACCATTCCCAAGGACATTTATATTTTCTGCTATGTTATCTTCAAGTAGCTTTACAGTTTTTCATTTTATATTTAAGCCAGTGATCCATTTGAGTTAATTTTTTTGTGAAGAGCATAAAGTCTGCGCCTCGATTATCATTTTTTGCATGTAAATGTCCAGTTTCTTCAGCACCGTTTCTTGAAAAAATATTTGTTCTTTATTATATTGTCTTTTCTCTTCTGTCAAATATCAGTTGACTATATTCATATAGGTCTACTTATTGGCTATCTATTCTTTTCCATTAATCAATTTGTACATTTTTTTCACTAATACCATACTGCTTTGATGACTGTAGCTTTATAGTATGTCTTGAAGTCAGATAGTGTCAGTCCTCTGACTTTGTTCTTCAAAACTGTGTTTGTTATTCTGGTCGTTTTTCTCTCCATATAAACTTTGTATCAGTTTGCTGATATCCACAAAATAACTTTTGGGATTTTGGTTGAAATTATGTTAAATCTATAGATCAAGTTAGAATTTTGAGTCTTTTTTTCTATAAATATAAAGTATCTCTCCATTTTTTAGTTTTGATTTGATTTGATTACTTTTTTGTTACTAATATGATTGATATTATTATAATTAAAATTGTCTGGAAGCTGGCAACATAGACCCACATCTAATACTTTCCCAAGCAAAAGAGGGGGACACAGATGTGAGCATTTGAAGTTTCTATCCCAAATTTTGAAAAGTGTTTAAGAGTTTACTAGTGGGATAAAGTAGACATGAATAAGAAGCACAAATTTTAAAAAATATAAGAGGTTTTTGAAAAACTGTGAGAAGTGCAGGTGACAGATGTGTTGGATACAGCTTGAAAACAGTCTGTAAAGAGTCATATAAATCATGTTAGAAATTTTGTACTTTCTATTATAAATGACTCTACGTCAATAGGTGTTTCAACATGAGTGCATAAGCATATCTATTTCACATAAGCAACTCTAATAAGACTTTGCAAGATAGACTGGAGAGAGGAAAGCCTTGTGGCAAAAGAATATAATGTATAGGAAGCTGTTGCACTTCCCTAGAAGAGGGGCTTTAGATTCATTAAGGGAATTGCATTGAAGATGAAGAAGACAAGATAAATTATGCAGATAACTTCTTGGAAAACTCAAGATCTGATAGGAGTTGGTTGTGTAAAATAGGAAGAGAGAAATGATTTTAAAGCTTCTAGGTTTTGAACTAGAGAGGATGGTGGCATCATTTATCAAATATTCTTTTGGAAGTGGAGTGGATTTGGGGGTAGAATAATTAGTTTGTATTTTTTCACATTGAGTTTAATATGATTGTTGGAGGTATCTGGCCAGAGTTTTAAAGAGAATGAACTACTACCTAGAAAGAACGCAATACATGTACTTAATTCGAAACCTTGGTAATAGATGCAGTCACTCATGGATAACTAAAGTAATTAGAAAAAAATGTAGAAGGAAACAGGACCAAGGGAAAAATGCTGGGGAATGCTGAGAGTTCAGTGATAGGTAGAGAAATAAAACACTGTGATGTTGCTTTAGTGATTATAAGTTCAAGTTTCACAGAGGAGTGTGTTGTCCAGGAGGAAAAAAAAAATCCCTTCCATCAAAAATGGTATCTAAGAATTTTCCTTCCTTGGGTAGCACAGACATTTTTTTGTCAATATCAAATAGAAAAATAAAACCTATCACTATTAAAAGAGTAAATCTCTGTGACTATTACTTCAAACACGTTTCAGAACTTGTTGCTTGACTAATAGAAAGCATTTATGTTGAAAACATGGCTGCTGATACCACTTTTCTACATACAATCAACATTTTGTAAACATCCCCTTTTATTGCAAAAATAAGGGAAAGCATTTTCAGTACTGGCAATACATGTTATGTCTAATTGACAGCATGGTAAGCCCGAGTGCTCGAGCTTTGACCGCTGATGCTGGCATGCTGACTCTGTGGGAAGATGGAAATGATTGTCACATTGTTATTTACTTAGAAGAAGAAATATGAAATGAGTTCCATGACAAATACATATCCAAGAGATGTTTCTGTGTAAGGGAAAAGAAACAGCTGCTAAGGGGATCCTGATTTGTAGCATAATCAAAACTTGACAATTTCCATATTTATTTGTGAACATTTCCTTCATTGACTTTTAAATGGACATTTATAGAAAGTTTAGTATTTGGGGTAGGAAAAAGTATAAAGTACATGTTGCCAGCTTGGAATGTGAATAAGGAAACAAAAAACACATTAGTCTATCTATTTCTTACTTTGTTTAAAGAAAGAGAAGGACATTGAGCATTAGCTATATTATTGAATTAGGGCTCCCTATGGATCTGTGCATTATCCAACCAGACATATGTGCTCTGCGTACCTCTTTGCTCTAAACATGACTGTTTTTCTTTTGCTGACTCCATTGCTTCTGGACAAAGTGAATCACTTGTATTCCAAAAAGATTTACAATGGTATGGAATAAGGGAAAATTATGGAGGAAATTTTATCTCTGCTTTCTGTACAACACAGCTAAACTTATTAAAAATGTGCTATAGTCACAGATCATTTCACTGCTCTCTGGCGTAGACACTTCCCTACCTCTGCTTTCCACTGAAACAGCTCTAGCAAGGCTTCTAGTCGTCTCTCCAAGCAGTGGACTTGGTACAAGATGTTTCGTGCATTCATCAGTTGACATCTTTCTTATCTTTCCCCTTTGGCTTCTATAAAACCATTTATTCTAGTTCCTTCCTTACTCCATGACCACTCCCAATCTCTCTGTTGCAGCTCTTCTTAGGACAATTGTATTAGTTCGTTCTCATGCTGCTTTAATAAAGACATACCTGAGACGGGGTAATTTATAAAGGAAAGAGGTTTGATTCTCAGTGCCACAAGGCTGGGGAGGCCTCACAATCATGGCAGAAGGCGAAGGAGGAGCACATCTTACATGATGGCAGGCGAAAGGGTATGTGCAGGGGAACTCTCCTTTATAAAACCATCAGATCTCCTGGGACTTACTCACTATCACAGGAACAGCATGGGAAAAACCTGCCTCCATGATTCAATTACCTTCCAATTGGTCCCTCTCACAACATGTGGGGATTATTACAATTCAAGTGTAGGGACATAGAGCCAAACCATATCAACATTCAAATGTGATTTGTCTTCAGACTCCCATCTTTAAGGTGTTTCTCTCCTGACCCTGCACCACACATTCCTAATGTTCTATGTCCAGGTTCATGACACACATATAAAATTAGAAATTTGGGGATGAACACCATATTCAAGGGAATTAAAAGACTAAAATAAAATTTTAAAATCCTGAGCAGTTTTTACAGAGTTAGAATAATGGTATTTCATGATATAGAAAAATCCATAGTCATTGCCCTACTTGAATGAGCACCCTCAATGCAGTTTAGGTAAGAATGTTGTTTCAATTGTACACTCTAATTGATTACCAGATAAATTTCTAACACATTTTCAGTAATCCCCCCAGTCATTCTTTGGCACTAGACTGACATTATAATAGACCTGTACTTCTTATGGTAAAAATCATCCTGCAAAAAAAAAAATCACCATCCTAAAAAAAATTACATAGTACTCCTAGTTCAGTGTTCTGCCTCTTAGAATATTCTGCAGCCAAATAGGTTTTAAACAGATATGCAAGTGCAGCAAACCTGTGAAAGTGGTTTTGTGGTTCACATATCTACTAGGACCCCCACCTACTTTTCCATGCTTCTGCTAGTCACAGTCTCAGCAGTCTTCAAGGGCTTACACCTCGTCTTAAGTGCCAATGACTCCCAAAGAGTATTTCCATTTGCCTAGTTAGCATCTCTAAATAGCAGTTTTGCATTCACATCAGGCAAATTTTAGGTCTGTATTACTTATGACTTGCTCATCACACACACCCACATGTATCCATGGGGTCAGTTTGTAGAACCATCATTCAGCTAAGTGTACATTGAGAAATTGGGTCATCATTTTAATCTCTTTTATCCTTTAATATCCTGTTATGCTTTTTACTTCCCTCTCCTTATCCTACTCACATTCTGCCTAATCACATACCAGTTAATATATCTTATCAATTATACCCATAAATAGTTCTTAAGTTGGAGCTCTGGTTTCTATTTTCATCGTATATCTTACAGTTAATGGACAAAACTGATAACATTTTATGACATAGATTAAAAAACTCATATCTTGGAGCTTCTTTATATTTCCCAGACTCACTTGTGGTTAGTGTAGAGGTACTGAACAATACTGGCCAATGGACTTTTAATAGAATTAGTGTGTGTCTCTCCTAGCCTGAGAAATTTAAAAGTAGAAGTGCTTCCTCCACAATTATTTTCTTCCTGCCCCATCAGTCTTTCAGGTTGAATGTGTTCCAGATGCTACAGCTTCAAAAAGGGAGAGGAAATGTCTTCTATAAGTCAGAGATGATGGGAACAACTTCTGAAATGTCAGGGTTTATTTGTTACCACAGCATAGCCTAGCCTATTCTGACTAATATACTTTGTAACTAATCTTCTGGTTGTCATATTTTTTCTTTTTAATATGCTCTCTGCACCATTACCAGCTATCTTTCTAAATGTGCCTCACTGCACTCTTTTTCTTATATGCCTTAATGGTCCATCATATCTATAAAATGAAGAAGAAATACATAACAGTGCAGTGGGGCAGGACTGCAGGTGAGAAATGTAGAGAAAATCTTCCCCTTAAAAGTTGATATTTGTGCTGCATCTTGAAATACAAATGTGTATTCCACAGAATAAGGAAAGGAGCTCTGATAGCACCACTTGTATGCTGTTCCATGGTGAGCAGGTCTATGCAAACCTACTTTAGAAGTCCAATGAAGCTGAGAGGCCAAAGAAAGAGGCTGGCATATCCAGTTTCTCAAGAAGAAACATTTAATAGGAACTAGTAACAGAGCCCATGTCTGTGTCTCAGGCAAGCAACAAAACAAGATGGTGGATCCCCATGCCACTACCCTACAGACTCACAGTATATACACCTTAGGTAAAGGATGATTCTGCAGGGGTGAGTAGAACAATTGAAGTACAATAACATCAATGTTGTTTTGGCATGTGCTACAAGAAACAACCAATAAAATAGAAATCTTAGAGGTTTTTCCATAATTGGAGTTAATCAGAAGTCATCATGGTGGATTAGTATCCAAGATGGAGTTGCTTTGGTCTTAACAAGGCCCCTCAGGATCTGGCCCGTTATTACTTGAGTCTTGTCTCCTGCAAGCTCTTTGTGTGCTTCTCCAGTCACATTAAACAAAACACTGGAGTTTATGCTATTTTTTGAGCATATACTATTTCCTTTATTTTTATACATGTAATAGACAAATACATTCTCATTTTAACAAGTAAACAATATAGAGGCACACAGGGAAAAATGTAAATGTTCCCCATTTCTATCCTTTTTAATCATACACTTTCCATCAGAATTAGAAACTGGTTGGTCTATCAACATTTTGTGGTACATTCTTTCGGTTTGCTTTTCATGCACTTACTTCTGTGAATGTACCTATTCACATGTATCCTTTTCTAAAAATAAATGTTATTATATTTATACGTAATTCTGCACTTATATACCTTTTGTGCTGGTTCTATTTTGTATTATATTCCCTCTACTTAGAAGCTCCTTTCCTTATTCTGTGGAATACACATTTGTATTTTAAGATGCAGCCCAAATATCAACTTTTAGGGGAAGGTTTTCTCTAGATTTCTCACCTGCAGTCCTGCCCCACTGCACTCTTATATATTTCTTCTTCAGAGATCTTATTTAACTTAATATAATTATGGCTGTTTAAACCCCTCAGTAGACTGTGACTTCATTAACTCATTTAGTAGTTTTTCATGCACATAGTGGACACTTACCAAACAGTTATATGAATTAAATCCATCATATGTTCAACATACTTCAAAATCTTTTCCTTTACTTATCACTTTGTCTAGTGTTAGAAAGAATATGAGTTCTATATTTCTTCTTCAGAGATCTTATTTAACTTAATATAATTATGGCTGTTTAAACCCCTCAGTAGACTGTGACTTCATTAACTCATTTAGTAGTTTTTCATGCACATAGTGGACACTTACCAAACAGTTATATGAATTAAATCCATCATATGTTCAACATACTTCAAAATCTTTTCCTTTACTTATCACTTTGTCTAGTGTTAGAAAGAATATGAGTTCTCTGGCAAGAGGAATTTATTAATAAAATCAAAGTTAAAATAAACACATTTGTGCTATTTAAATTCGGGGGTTGGGGGTCTGAATACAGTAGTTGGTAAAACCGTTTTCTTCTTTTTTTTTTTTTTTTTTGCTTTTTCTTTTTATCCTATTCAGTCTATTTTCCAGTTGTAGCTATAACAATTTCATTTCTCCCAAAGTTGAAACTAATCATATATGTATCTCCTGCTTATTATTCTTCATTGAATCCTATGCTTTCAAGTAGACTTCAAACTTCTTTATATGGGCTATAAGGTCTTTTATGACCTAAACTACTTATGCATTTATCTCTTGCTGCATCTCTTACACAGTCTGTAATACCTTATCAATGAACATATTGACTGAAGATTCTATTTACCTGACAGTGTCATGCACTAGAATATGAATACCACAGGACAATCTTTTATTCATTATTATAGACCCAGGGCATAGTAAGTACATTATAAATGTATACAAATAGCTATTTTCATGAATTAATATATATTTCTATTATACACTGTTAAGTAGTTACCACTTCTTATTTGTTTTGTGCCATATAAAGAACTAAGTGGGAGTGACATTAGCCGAGTGACTGAGTAGGAAGTCCCAGCCCTCATTACACACAAGAAAACAAATTTAATAATATATGCAGTAAAATACCTTTATGAGATTTTTCAAAAGTCAGTTAAGAAGTTGCAATACTCCAGATGAGCACAGAACTGAGAATAGCTGCATTGAAAAGGATAATAAGATAAATTTTACTTTACCCGCATTCACCCCTTGCCCAAGCTGGCACATCTAGTGCCAAGAAAGATCATTTCAGCCTGTAATTTCTCCCTTGAGGAAAAGAGGGAATGGAACAAGCATCCAATATTGCAAGGCTTTCAATGCACTGTTCTAGGGATCAGTTTCAGTCTCACCTGGCACAGGGCTGAAATGCCTTGAGGCATTTAAGAACAAAGAAAAGGAATGTAAGTTTTATTGCTGCTGGCATGGCTCTGAGGGATTGGGAAATGCAACATAGCCCTAAAACTTCTCCATCAAGAGGTAGTAAGACAGTGGAATGTGTATCTAACATCTCAGCCTTTCCGAATATGGCCATAGGGAAAAAGGGGCAGGCAGTTTAGAGAAACCAGCATGACTCTGTAAAAATGAGAGAGGTCCCGCAACCTTGAGACTTGTTCCTCAGGATGGAGGAAGATAATTGGAGCATACATATCCATGGAAAGGTTTTGAAAGGCTCCCAGATTATTTAGCTGGGCTAATTTGGCAAAGGGCTTTCCTGTCAAAATCAGTCAGTAAAGTACAGGGAATGCAGCTGTTTCTTGAAATATACAGACACCAGTGCAAATCTAGAAGGAACAAACATTGGGGAAATATGACAAACCAAAGGAAAAAGAAAACTCTTGTAACTGACCCTAAAGAAACGGAGACCTATGAATTGCCAGACAAATAATTCAAAATAATTATCTTAAAGGAGATAGGTGATTTACAAGACAATACAGATAAACAACTACACAAAATCAGAAAAATGATATATGAATAGAGAATATCAACAGACAGAAATCATAAAAAATAACCAAACATATATGTTGGAGCTGAAGAATGCAATAACTAAAGTGAAAATTAAATAGATAGCTTAACAGCACACTTGATCAAGCAGAAGAAACAATTGGCAAATGCATAAACACGTCACTTAAAATTATTCAGTCAGAAGAATAAAAAGAAAAAATAATTAAAAAGCTTAAAGAAAACCTATGGGAATTGTGGGGCGCCAACAAGCACGCCAACATACACATTACAGATATTTCAGAGGAAAAGACAGAGAGAAGGAGAAAGAAAGGTTATTTTAAAATATAATGGCCAGTGTATTGATTATACCTCAATAAGGTGTTTAAAAGATAAAGCATAAGATTTATTTACTAAAACAAGACAAACACAATTCCATTCAATTTTCTTACCAATCCTGTAATAAAGACCCTATGCCCATTTATAGATGGGGAAATTTAGGCTTAGTGATGTTAAATAAGCTGGTCAGCATCACTAGCTGATAAGTAGCAAAGCCAGGCTCACCTGAACTCCAACTGGAATTTTACTACCCCTGCACTCTATTCGATGTTTGCAGATAATTTGTTTCACTCTCTTTTCTAATTTGAGAAGTTCTCTTAAAATGGATCATCATAGCTTTAGTGCTCTGTAGAAGCTTCAAAGTTTTCTTCATTTCTTTCCCCAATTTCTCCATCCTTCCCTTCTTCTCTTTCTTCTGTCTTCCTTTCATTCTTTCATCCATCTGATCTTCCTCATTCATTGAAACTTTAAGGACAACAATAGGGAATGTGCATAACAGTGACTCCAAATAAGTCTCAAACTTTATTCAAAAGATCTAAAAATTTAGTGGGAGATAATCCATGATCATTTTAGGGTTTTCCTCCAAGGTCCCTGAGAAGTTACCAAAAGTGAGCATCTCCATGTATCTTACTTTCTTCTGTACGAAGCATCCCAGAATCTCACTGTGTTCTCTTCTCTCTTGGACTCTGCCACCACTCACTGTATTCTTTAGGTTTCTTCTTCCTCAACTCTTCATGTGTAGAGAAGATATGTTTCTCTAAATGCTGCTCTGTCTTGCCATCTTTGAAGACAAACTACGTAATACCATTTTCTAAAATCCCTTTTAGATTTCAAAACACTTTTTTTTCCAGTTCTCCTGAAATTAGTCCAAAAATTCAGGATTTTTTTTAGTGCCCCAATATTTGCATTTCTGTATTAAGAAGTAAGGATAGAAAAGATTGTTAAGTGACTGGAGGAAACCTAGAATCAGTGTTGCTGGTGCTACTGTTCTAGAACTCTTCACCTGAGACTGTGATCTCCAAGCCTAGAAGTAAGTAAAAGCTACGAGATTCCTATGCATGTATACACAACACTTTGCTTCCAAGTTGGTAGCAAAAATCTAAGTGCAGTGTACCGTAAGATACCCACTCAGCTGGGAGAGAGTATGTGGGAATGTTCATGTGGTAGGCAGTAAATGCTGTTGATTATCTACTTCTGGGAGCAAGTTGGGAAATATTATTCTTCATTCTTCATACCCACTATTCATTTATTTCTTCATTCATAAAGTATTTACTCAGCATATAGCACAGGAGAAAAAATGGCACATACAACAGGTTCACAATTTATGGAATACTTCCCCTAGCCCCAGATTGCACCTTTTATCCCAATTGGTAATTACTAATAGTCACTCATGGAGAAACTAGCCTGAACTGATCAACTGGTGATACCAATTCACACACAACCATTTCTGATGTTGAGTTGACCTAACTTATGAGCTCATCAGCTGTTGGAGGTACAGCAGTGTTTTTTTGGTAATGGTGTCACTCCTTGCTTAGAGAACATCAAAGAACATAAGAATCCAGTTTATCTTCAGGATCCACTGTAAGCTCTGTGTCATGGTACAAGAGACACCATAATAACCAAGCTCTGACTAATCTATACTCATGTGTCACCACTCTTTGGTTTGTGCTTTGCCCATTAATGGAATCTGACTGCTGGAATTTCCTCACATATTAACAGGTTTTTCATTTCCTTGCCTTTCTCTGCCTGCAATCCTTCCCTGCTTCCATGAGATACTCCCACTCCCATCTCTCTTTGGTGCAGCACCTTGTACCTACTAATTCCTAATTATCTTTAAAGATTCAAATTTGTCATGAACACTATAGAAAACTGTCCCTGACACCAAGAATGTTGGATTTACTCCTCTTCTATCCTTCCTAAGTGTCTTCTGATTATTGCCATTATTATACCCAACTGCCATTCTGCAAGTGTAACAGCCCATTTCTGTGGCTGACTTCTCACTACACTGTGATCTTAAAGGCAAGAACTCTGCTTTACCTATATTTACATACACAGGTTCTTGCAAAGTATTTGACACACATAAGAATGAATAAAGAAGAAATAAATACAAGAAGGATAAAATTTAACGTCGTATCAGTTTGGAACTGCAGTTGGCATTGGGTAACAGATCCTGTTACCTAGAAAATAGTGGTTCTCACATAACATGATGTAATAGGTGGTCCCACGCTGGTACACATGTACCATGTCTGTCTTCAATGACTCAAGCTCCTCTTTGTTTTTGTTCTTCTTCCTTAAAAAGTGACATCCTGGCCAGGCACGGTGGCTCACAGCTGTAATCCCAGCACTTTGGGAGGCCAAGGCGGGCAGATCATCTGAGGTTAGGAGTTCGAGACCAGCCTAAGCAAAATGGTGAAACCCCGTCTCTACTAAAAAATTAGCTGGGTGTAATGGTGCACGCCTATATTCCCAGCTTCTCGGAAGGCTGAGACAGGAGAATCTCCTGAATCTGGGAGGCAGAGGTTGCAGTGAGCCAAGATTGTGCCATTGCACTCCAGCCTGGGCAACAAGAGCGAAATTCTATCTCAAAAAAAAAAAAGTGACATCCTTCAGATCTTCTTACGGTCACAAAGTGACTGCATAGTTCCAGTCATCATTTTGGCATCCTAGGTAGGAAGAGGTAGCAAGTGGGGGGATGAATATGGTTATATGGCAATTAAGTGAAGTAATTTTCTTGTACTTTCCTTAAAGGTTTACCAACAACTTCTGCTTATATTTTATTAGCTGAAATTTAATCACATGGCCACTTCCAACTGCAAAGGAACTTGGAAAATGTTGATTTTTAAATTTTTATTATTTTTATTTATTTTTTTTCGTTGATACATTCAAATTCAACAAATCAAGGTTCTGTTAGGCTGAAAAAAGAGGAGACAGGTGTCTGTCTGAACATTCAGACTTCTGTCTGAAAAGAACATATGTGTATCTAATGAGATAAGTTGATTTAAATGAAGCCTATGATTCCCATTTGGATTAAGATTTTCTAAATTATTTGTGTGGCTATTATGAATTAAGATCTCCTAAAGTTCAAACAGATACTATGATTCAATCTGACAGAATTAATACAGTGGCTTCAGAAAAGATAAAAGACTAAATAAGGGATTAAGAGGTAACCCAAGACTTATTAATAGTAGTGAGTACAACCACCCTTCAGTATTAGTATTAGTGAAATGTCAGAAGATGCATTACCAAAGTAAGGAGCCAAAAGTTCAATTGGAAGCTTGGACATCAAGACTGGGTGGGAGTTTCCTGGAAGAGCATAGTACCGTAGAGGAGATGTAGCTGCAACCAGACACAAGAGAGACAGTGAAAAATAGTCTAGACTCTCCTTCTCTCCTGCCTTCAGTCTCCCATCAATGCCTCCCACATCCTGTACGTAGTCAAAAGCCTGCTGTCAAGGCAGTTTGGGGAAAATATGTAGGATCAGCCCGCTGGGATCAGATAATGCATCTGAGAGAAAATGAGCAAATGTCTGGCACAAGCACCATGGTAGTGGGGCAAAGGAGAACAAACTCTAAGTAAATGTAACTTTTCATATATCAATTGAAAAAGAAGTACACTGTAGTTGGATATGCACTACATTTTATTCAGAAGTGGATTTATGAATTAGCTCTTCCAGTTACCAGATGTAGAACTTTTAGCAAGCTACATAAACTTCCTGTGCCTGTTTCTTAGTTAACAAAACAAAGATGTTAAAATCTCATTTATTTTTCTCAAAGGGTGTCTGTGAATGATGAAGTAAATTATGTACAGAAAAATATCTGTGTGCATACGTTGTAAAGGGTCTGTTTGAGGATGACTTATTAGGCACCTACCATACACCAGGAACTCTCTGTGTGCTTCATATATATATATATATATATATATATATATATATTATATATATATATATATATATATATATATATATGGAATACTACTCAGTCATAAAGAGGAATGAATTAACTGCATTTTCAATGACCTGGATGAGGTTAGAGACTATTATTTTAAGTGAAGTAACTGAGGAATGGAAAACCAAGCATCGTATGTTCACACTGATATGTGGGAGCCAAGCTATGAGGACACAAAGGCATAAGAATGATACAATGGACTTTGGGGACTTGGGAGGAAGAGTGGGAGGGGTGTGAGGGATAAAAGACGAAGGCATCATGGAACCAACCCAAATGCCAATTAATCAATGAGTGAATAAAGAAAATCATATTTTCTTTATTCACTCATTGATTAATTGGCATTTGGGTTGGTTCCATGATTTTACTATTGTGAATTGTGCTTCTATAAACATGCATGTGCAAGTATCTACACTGCTGGTGGGAATGTAAACTAGTACAGCCATTATGGAAAATAGTGTGGAGATTCCTTAAAGAATTAAAAGTAGATTCCTTAAAGAATTAGAGAATTAAAAGTAGAACTACCATTTGATCCAGCAATCCCAATAGGTAGTTTTCAAACCCACCCCTTCTTCCTCCACCCTCTAGTAGTCCACAGTGTCTATTGTTACTATATTTATGTCCATGTGTGCTCAATGCTTAGCTTTCACTTATACGTGAGAATATGTGGTATTTGGTTTCTGCTCCTGCATTAATTTGCTTAAGTTAATGGCCTCCTGCTCTATTCGTGTTGCTGCAAAGAATGTGATTTCATTTTTTTAATGACTGCATAGTATTCCATGGTGTATATGTACCACATTTTCATTATCCAGTCTACCCCTGATGGGCACCAGGGTTAATTCCATGTCTTTGCTATTGTGACTAGTGTTGCAATAATATATGAGTGTATGTGCCTTTTTGGTAGAATAATTTACTTTCTTTTGGATGTATACACAATGATGGGATTGCTGGGTTAAATGGTAGCTCTGTTTTAAGTTATTTTAGGAGCGCCCTATATGTAAAGTAAAACTTCAATTAAAAACCTGCCTCTTGGTAATGCAACCAATTATATAGTTTCATAATATTTTTGTTGAGGTTAAAGTTTACAAATAACTGTCAAATATAGTACCAATCCATGTATAGGTAGTACATTTTATAACTGAGAAAATTAAGATTTAGAAAAATTCAATCTTTTTAAAGTTATATGCCAATAGTTCTGGGCTGAGAGATCTGAATTTAACAACTTTTCTTTGCTACATATTATAATTTTAATATAGTTTGAAAATTTTCCTGTTTACCTTTATTCATTAACAGTTTTCCACATAAATTTAGAATTTGTTTGATCCTCCATGTGAAACATTTGTTTTGTAAATATTTTTTATTAAAAATATGTTCAGAGATGAAAACATTTATACTTGAATTTGAAGAATGTGGTAAGAATTAAAGCTAGAGAGGTTGATAGGTACTAAATTTTGAAAAGCCTGTAGATATTGTTAAAGATAATTTTTCTTTAATCTTGTGAGGAGCTTTTGAAGTCTTTTAGATGAGACATAATGACATCTAAGTTTTAGAAAGATCAACCTGGGTGGCAGGATGGAAAGTTGATTAGGAGTGAAAGAAAGTGGTAGAATGAAGACAACAGGATCAGCAATACAAGATTTGCTTAATTGTTTTTGGCATACACTTTAATCCTGCACTTCAAATTATTTATTTTTTATCATAAGAGAAAAAAACATGCAGTATACAGCTTTTGAAACAGATGTTTCATTGAGATGATTTGTCGAACCTTGATCAGGATTAAGGTCAGAATTTCCTGAGAATTTCTATTGATTAGTTTTTGCAGGTTAAACTATAATACCTTCATGCCACTGAGGGTATGAATTTGGCTTAGCGTTATGTCCATTCTGCTCAGCACACAGTTTGTCCATGATAAGAATCAGTGTGGGACATGATGCATGTCTGCCTGTTTCTGAGATTCTGTTTGTGTAGTTTACGTTTTTGTTCATTGTTCCCCGCACCTGTTTCAGGCTGTCTCATATTTTTGCATTCCCAGAAAGAGTTGCGGAGGGGAAGAGAAAAAACTCCTGTCTCTGGAAAACCCCAAATCTTTAGAGATGTCAAACATTGATCTTTTCAGAATCATTCGAGCAAACAGAGCTAAATATTTTTATTATTTTATTTGGAAATGTTTATTGATTGAAGCTACTGCGCAGTCTGTCACATTGGGAATAAATCATGTGCTGAATTGTGTGATGATCCTCGGCACCAAGTTCTGTGCTGTGTGCTTGCTCTTCTTGTGTCTGTGTGCTCTTACTGAGTTTCACTAGCTGCCAGACGTTCATGAAAAAAAAGTCCCAGCTTTTCTTACTACATGTTTGTGGTTTGCTTGCTTGAAAATTGGATGGTAGAAAGGAGCAGATGCCATGATACTTTTGTCAGTGGCAGGTAGCACCTGGGATTCAGCAGATGCGAGGTTCAGCATTATCAGTGGCTTCGAAGAACATTTTGGAAGTCACCTGCCTCAATTCTGCAGTCAGCAGTGACCATTTGACAGTGGTTTTATGGAGTTTCTGATTGGGTGGAAATTTCCCGAATATCTGCGGGCTGGTGAGATAAACCTGAGAGCTAGTGTCGGCCTTTCCTGATCTTGGTTCCCTCAGCCCTTCCAATAGTTATATAGGGACCAAATTCTGGGTACTAAATTTATTCCTGCTTGAAATACCAAGGGCATTTTTTTAAAATTTCCCAAACCTGACTAATACATCACATGGGTCACAGTACCTACCATATTACTTAGAAATATAAAGAAAATTTTTTTATTGTTTATTGCTCATATCAGGACTTATGGAAGACTGATAGGTAATCTTGGTCACAGTGAGATGAACACACTTGGATATTTCTCCTACCAACGTGGCTTCACATTCCTTGAACCAAACCTTTGAAAATTTATGATTTCTTGAGTTTCGTTTTCCATATTCTAAAGGCTTTCTCTGTTCCTTATAGAAAACCGCTTTTTGCAGGCCTTGCCTGTGCCCTCTCCAGACCAACTCGTGTTCCAAGGTGAACACATTAGGATATCACCTGAGAATGCTGTTATCCATGTGTGAACAGTATATTAAATAAGCACAACTCACAGTTTAAACAAAACAGACTTGTATTTTTGTCTTCCTCCATGTTTTTGCTCAGTCTTAGGCAATACACAGTCTGATAGCCATTTTAAGAAACACAAACTTCCTCAGAAATTTGAATGTCCAGTGTAAATTAATATACAAAACTTTGACCATGGTTGAATGCATTCTTCTCTTCTCAACCTCTAACCTGCATTAGAGTGTAAATCTGCAATTGGTTGGCTTCTATGGTATTTCTCTGTTTCTGCTCCTCCTTCATTCCCATTTGCTTGCTTTCCAGGTTCTAAGAACTTCAAGTTTAGAGGAAGGGAGGAGGGTATGGTGACATATGAAAAGAGATTTAATTCATTTGGTTCTCACATAACTGACTTTATGCTTTCTGGTCCTGCCTTATGCATAAACTTAGATCTCTCTCTTTGAAATCACAGGGTCACTTTTGTGGCTTTTCTGGAAGGTTCCTGTTGGGCTCCTCCAACTGCAGTTCCCTTGACCTGTGTGCAGCTGCATCCCTATTCCAGTTTCTTGATTCAGACACTTCCTGAAGTTCCTAACAAACTGGCTTTCAAATAACATCCAGTTTCTTGATGCTGCATTTTCTGTCCCCAAAGGCTTATCTATTACAAAAATACCATGATGATTACAAGTCAGCTCTGTGTTTCCTGATTAGCCCACATCAGATCCATGGGAAATAATCATGAATCTTTTCCACTAGCAAACTCAGGGAATGCACCTGCCCCTCCTCCCTCCAATATCTCCTGACATGTGTGGTCTTCCCTACCCTGTAGCTCTTTTTCCATGAACATCTGTGGTGGTCTTTTTCTTGTTCCTTGATTTGAGCCTCATTATTTTGGTGCTTTTTTTAAAAATTTTATTCAATCAAGTATCATTTTCTACTCTCATGGAGGTATTCTCTCTCTTTTCTTTTTTAAACATCTTGTAACTTTGTTCTATTTATTTTTAGAACCTCTTCTCTATAATCTCCCATAATGGAATTGTTAGGTTTTGATTTCTGAAGCCAATTTACCTCTTTGAAATTACTGAGTTTCACTAGCTGCGTAACTTTGGGCTAGTTTAACTTCCTGGTGCCTTATTTTCCTCATCTGCAAAATAGGAATGAGTACAGTATCCAAGACATAAATTTATTATAAAAAAATAAATTATATGATCCACATGAAGCCCTTAGCACACTGCCTTGTGTTCAATAATTGCTGGGTATTTTGCTATTATTATCTGTATCTAATTATACTTTTACTTTCCAGGATGATATCTATAAAGAGTTACCTTTCCAAGATAAAAATTGGAGTGATTCAAGGGAAGGAACCTAAACGCTTTCTAATATTAGGGAAATGAAGAACATGCTAACATCACTTGCATGGAGGAAGGATATGAATACATCTTTAATATATCAATAGAAAAAGGAACACAGAAGACCAAAAACAAGCCTTGAATACAGTAAAGGAGAAGGAACGATCAGAACAAACAAATAAGCAAACAGTCATTAATGCCAGTAAGAAATAGGAATACCTAGTATTCAAATTATGAATTGAGAGGTGTGTCCAAAAGAAGGAAGGTCAGCATTATCCACTACAGTAGACAGGTTAAGAAAATCAACTTCTACTTCAATAAGAACTTCAAGTACTTTTCAGTGGTGAAGTGCCTGCTATGCACCAAGCAGTACTCCAGGCAATGGCTCCAGGGTAAACCTAGCAGACCCAGACTGCATCTTCAGATCTATGATTCAGAAAATTATACTTGACTGTATAAAAAAGAAAACCAGGCTGGGCACGGTGGTACATGCCTGTGATCCCAGCACTTTGGGAGGCTGAGGTGGGAGGATCACGAGGTCAGGAGATCGAGACCATCCTGGCTAACACGGTGAAACCCCGTCTCTACTAAAAATACAAAAAATTATCTGTGCATGGTGGCAGGCGCCTGTAGTCCCAGCTACTTGAGAAGCTGAGGCAGGAGAATGGGGTGAACCCGGGAGGTGGAGTTTGCAGTGAGCAGAAATCAGGCCACTGCACTCCAGCCTGGGTGACAGAGAGAGACTCCGTCTCAAAAAAAAAAAAAAAAGAAAAAAAAAGAAAAGAAAACCTTTTGTGTTTTGCTTGAGCAAAAGTTTATAACCTGGGGATCTAAAACAAAAAAAATCTATGCCTCGGTTTTACCACTCAAAAATTCTGATTTAATTTGTCTGAATGAATAGGCATTTTTTTAAAAATCCCAAGTTGATTCTAACATTCAGTCAAGATTGAGAATGAAGTACTAGAGAGAGATTCTCAAAGTATGGCCAGGACCATTGGAATCAGCATCACCTGTTACATTGATCAGAAATCTGAATTCTTGGGCCATTTCCTACACATACTGAATCAGAAACAAGCATGGTTGGACATAGCCTTTCATCAAACTTTCCAGATGATTCAAATGCACACTAAAATTTATTATTAGTGGCATAGTGGGGGGAAAAAGCTAGATTGTAAACCTGTGTATAGAAGATACATGATAAGAAAATGAAGATGGGGATGCATATCTTAATAGTCTGGCAACAGAGGTTAATAGAGCTGCTTCTCTTGTTACTGCTTCTGTTTTATCTTTGTATCTTTTGGTTTTTGTGGCTTTGTTGTATTTATTCAAGTATTAGCATTGTATTTATTTGCATTATTCATTGTATTACTATAATAATTATAATAATTCATTGTATTATTTTAATAACACTGTCTTATTCAAGTATTAACATTGTATAAAACATTAGGTAAGCTGAGATGCCATACTCACCTTGTTCCTGGTTGGAAAATGCTGTGAAATTTGACATAGAGGCTAGGTGAATTGAAAAGGGTGGATGAGCACATCAGGACCCAGCAAGGTTAAATAGTTTGCCCACTGCTTCTCAGCTGGTAGATAGCAAACCTGGCATTAGAATCCAGGACTGTTTCTCTTTGATTTTATGCTTCTAGTCTTTGATTCAAAACTCCAGTTTGCTTCAAATATATTGTTAAACCAAAGTTGGAGAGAAAATTAATTACCAATGACTTTCTGTAAGTCAGCAAAATAGATCTCTCAGCGCTTCGTGTATTCTTCAACAACAGTACTTCATGAGGTTGGCATCATTAGAAAGAAAATTCAGATTATCTGTCTTCCTATGTATTTTTAAATGCACTTTAACTAAATAGAGTCTGATGCTACAACTGGTTCTGATTATGCACTAATTACTTGCTAAATTTGATTCCGAAGAACAAAGAAGTCTTGAGTTATTCAAGGACAAAAAAGTCTCCAATCTTCAAAAATATACATTTTTTACATTCCTACTACTCAAAAATAGCTAGCACATATTTCTTCCTATTTGAGGGGAAAATCTCTCTGGCTAAGAAATTTGTTCCAAGTTGTGGCAAGGAAAGAATGTATGCTTTAATATGGTGTCTTGAAATAGAAGAAGGTTGGACTAAGGCTAACTCCTTCTCCTTAGTTCTAAAATGCCTTTACTGAATGGTATTTTTTGTAGCATAACTTTTTTGAAAAAAATATTCCACTTTTATTTTAGATCCAGGGGTTTGTGCACAGATGTGTTACAAGTGTATTGAGTGGTTCTGAGGTTTGGGCTTCTCTTGATCTCGTCACTCAGATAGTGAACCTATTACCCAATAAGAAGTGTTTCAGCCCTTGCCCCTACCTCTCCCTCCCTCCTTTTGGAGTTCCCAGGGTCTATTGTTCCCATCTTTATGTTCGTTCATACCCAGTGTTTACCCCCACTCGTAAGTGAGAACATGTGGTATTTGGTTTCTATTTCTGCATTAGTTTGCTCAGGATAATGGCCTCCAACTGCATCCATGTTGCTGCAAAGAACATGACTTCACTCTTTTTTATGGCTGTGTAGTATTCCATGTCAGTACAGCACATTTTCTTTATCCGGTCTACCATTGATGGGCACCTAGGTTGATTTCATGTCTGCTATTGTGAGTAGTGCTGCAATGAACATATGAGTGTATGTGTCTTTTTGGTAGAACAATTTATTTTCCTTTGGATATATATCCCAAAGGAAATATATACCAATTTATTTTCCTTTGGGTATCTATAAAGTAATGGGATTGCCAGATTGAATGGTAATTCTATTTTCAGTTCTTTGATAAATCTCAAAACTGCTTTCCACAGTGGCTGAACTGATTTGCATTCTAACAGTGTACATGTTCCCTTCTCTCCACAGCCTTGCCAATATCATTTTGGCTTTTTGATAATAGCCATTCTGACTCGTGTGAGATGGTATCTCATTGTGGTTTTGACTTGCATTTCTCTAATGATTAGCAATGTCAAACATTTTTCATATGTTTGTTAGCTGCTTGTATGTCTTCTTTTGAGAGGGTCTTTTCGTGTCCTTTGCCCACTTTTTAATGGTTTTTTTTTCTTGTTGATTTATTTAGGTTCTTTATAGATTCTGGATACCAGTCCTTTGTCACATGCATAGATTGTAAATATTTTCTCTCATTCTTGTAGGTTATCTGTTTGCAATGTTGTTAGTTTCTTTTGCTGTACAGAAACTCTTTACTTTAAACCACATTTGTCTTTTATTTTGTTAAACTTGCCTTTGGGGATTTCATCATACATTCTTTGCCTAGGCCAATGTCTAGAAGAGTATTCCCTAGTTGTTTTTCTAGGGTTTTTAGAGATTTAGGCCTTAAATTTAAGTTGTTAATGAATCTTAGGTTGATTTGTTTTTATGTGGTTAAAGAAAGCGTTCTAGTTTCAATCTTCTGCATATGAGTAGCCAGTTATCCCAACACCATTTATTGAATAGATTTTTTCCCCATTGATTATTATTGTTGACTTTGTTGAAGAGTAGGTGGTTGCAGGTGTGTGGCTTTATTTCTGAAATTTTCAACTTGTTTCATTGGTCTATGTGTCTGTTTTTGTATCAGTACCATTCTATTTTGGTTACTGTAGCCTTGTGGTATACTTTGAAGTCAGGCAGGGTGATACCTCTGGCTTTGTTCTTTTTGCCTAGGACTGCTTTGGCTATTGGGCTCATTTTGGGCTCCATGTGATTTTAGAATGGCTTTTTCTAATTCCCAGAAAAATGATATTGGTAGTTTAATAAGAATAGCATTGAATCTGTAGATTGCTTTGGACAGTAATAACCATTTTAATGATATTGATTCTTCTTATGCATGAGCATGGAATGCTTTTTGATTTGTTTGTGTCATCTACCATTTCTTTCAGCAGTGTTTTGTAGTTCACCTCACAGAGATCTTCATCATGTTGATTAGGTGTATTTCTAGGTATTTTATTTATTATTTATTTATTTATTTATTGTGGCTATTGTTAAGTGGGATTGCATTCTTGATTTGGTTCCCAGCTTGAATATTATTGGTGTACAGAAATGCTAGTCATTTTTGTACACTGATTTTTTTTTAAGCCAGAGACTTTGCTGAAGTCCTTTATCAGGTGTAGTAATCTTTCAGCAGAATCTTTAGGGCTTTCTTGGTATAGAATCATATCATTTGATAAGAGAGATAAGTTGATTTCCTCTTTTCATATCTGGATGACTTGTATTTATTTCTCTTGCCTGATTTCTCTGGATAGGACTTCCAGTACTATGTCGAATTGGAGTGGTGAGAGTGGGCATCCTAGTCTTGGTCCATTTCTTAGGGGGAATGCTTCCAGCTTTTGCCCATGCATTGCAACGTTGGCTGTGGGTTTGTCATAGATCGCTCTTATTATTTTGAGGTCTGTTTTTCCAATTTAGCATGACTTTGACTTTCCAAAGTATGTGACCCATGATGATGTATAAACATTGATTTTTTTAAGCAAATACTTCTGAAAAATTTTGCATGCTATGCACTTTTTTTGAGATTTGCCATATTAGCAGTATATTAAAAGCTCTGGCAAGCCTTCCTATACAGACAGACTTCTCACTCTTTGAGTGTTTCATAAGCAACTTTCTTCATAAATTTGTTTAGCCACTTCTGTTTTTGTATATTTTTCCCATAAATTCCTTCTGTAAAAACACACTGCTTATTTCTTTGCCAGCTTTACCCATTTCTCTCAAAGTGGCCCTGGAACCCTTTCTTTCACCAATCCCATCTACGTGAGCTTCATGACCTCATATATCCCAAGGGTCTCACTTCTTAATACTATCACATTGGAGTTAGAATTTGAACATATAAATTTTAGGTGGACAAAAATACTCAGCCCACAATAGTAAGGTAATAAGAAATTATTTTTATCAATAAAAAATCAATTAATTTATATACAACCTTTATAAACCTGCTTTACTAAAAGTAAATTGGTATCGGCACACCCATCTGGCTATAACACCAATGTGATTCTAACACATTTGAATTCCTGTGATTTATATTGTTTACTATTCCCTCATTACCTAGCACAGTGCTATGCTAGACATTGAATACATATTTCTTTTAAACTTGACTAAAGAAGAAAACAAAGGGAACAGAACATGTAAAAATTCTGCCTTGCTTGTTTACATATAATATGTGATGTCTCTCAAGTTGCTTTGTATGTTTCTGTTGATGTTTGACTTGTATAAATAAGGCTATAATAAACACACTCTGAGGCAGCAATATAAAATTGGGGAAAACATATTTATTGACAATGATGCAGTCGTCAGGGTCTCAGGGACCTCGTTCTGAATGAGAAATGCTTTTATAAGTTAACTCCACTCTAGTTTCATATCTGTGTACCTTTTCTGCTGGATTGTAAATTCTTAAGGGCAACACCTTTGTCTGTCCCTTTTACACCTTTATCCTCACTGTCTAGCACAGTGACTAGCAAAGTCACTCAGTGGATGTTTTCTTAATACAGGACTGAACTTGCTTATTTTCATAGGGAAAGCTCTATTCCTAGTTCTAACTCATCTAATTAATGCACATACATAGTTAAGTTCTGTGTTTTAGAAACTATAGAAGCCGTGTCATAACCTCAGCTCATAATCCAGCAGGGAATTTTTCATACTTACAATTTGCATCATCAATATAATTTGCAATAAAATATTTCAGTACACATCGGTGTCCTACATTAAAGAACAATTAATTTCCCAGTGTCTGTTGCTTGCCCTGTCTGCCAAAAGTTTCAAAATTTTATTTACGATTGCAGTGTTAGCATATTTTAACCACCTGCAGCTTCTATCATTTATCTTATCCACAAATCATTGTACATTTTTTTGTCTTCCAAAATCAACTGTAGCAATCAATACATTTGTGTACAAGAGGAAAGAATCAACTCAGGTAGGTTTGTTGCAGTCTTATTGAAGAAGACACTACTCATATTTTGAAGCTGTTGGTTTTCTTGAAAATGTGTGACTTCTTTATAAATGGGAGCCAAACTCATCAACTAGAGTAATCTTCAAATCAACTAAAGACATATATAAAAGACAACAGAAATTTATTTCTCACAGTTCTGAAGCTTGGGAGTCTGAGATCAGGGTCCCAGCATAGACAGAGACTAGTGAGGTGCCTCTTCAGGGTTGTAGGCTGCCAACTACTAGATGTATCCTCAGATAATGGAAAACTGGGATAGAGAGTTTTCTGGGATCTCTTTTGTAAGGGCACTGGATTAGTCAGAATTCTCCAGACAAACAGAACCAATATGAAATATATATGAAATACATATGTTTGTGTGTGTGTGTATATATATATGTATATAATTCATATATATGTATAAAATGGGAATTAGCTCATATATAATGGGGGCCTAGATGTCTCACCATCTGGAGTCTATAAGTTGGAGAAAAACTGGTGATGTAATTTGGTTGGAGTTCAGGTGGGGGTCTGAAGGCCTGAATATGAGGCTGGGGGTCCTGGAGTCCAAGAATCAGGAGCTATGATATCTGAGGGCAAGAGAAGATGGATGTCCCTGCTCAAGAAAAGATAATTCATCTCCCTTTTGTTCTTTCTCTCCCTTTTTGTTCTCTTTGGATCCTCAGTAGAATGGATGATATCCACCTACATTGGCAAGAGGAATTTTCATTACTCAGTCTACTAATTTAAATGCCAATATCTTCTGGAATCTCCCTCATAAACACACTCAGAAATAATGTTTTGATAGCTATTGTCCATCTCCTAGCTCAGTCAAGGTGACACATAAAATTAACCATCACAAGCACTAATCCCATTTGTGAGGGTTTTATAACCTAATTATATCCCAAGACCCCACTTTCTAATACTATTACATTGGGAGTTAGAATTTCAACATATAAATTTTGGGTAGACAAAAATATTGAGTCCATAACAGTAAGATAATAAGAAATTATTTTTACTATAACTGACAGCAATATTGTTAATCCAAAATTGATTATATATACCCTTTATAAACCTGTTTTACTAAATGTAAGTTGGTATGGACACACCAACTGGCTAATGATTAATGACTAAACTCATACTCTGTTAACACTTTTTGAACTTGTATTTAGTGGGGTAAAGTGATTCTGTGTTTAAAAATATAAACTGAATGGAAGCCAAGATGGACAACTAGATGCAGCTAGGAAGAGCTTGTCCCACTAAGAGAGACCAGAACACGAAGTAGACCAGGACACTTCAAGCAGATCTTTGGAAGGAAGGCATTGAGAATGGACAAAAGGAGGACACAGACCGTGGGGCTAAAAGCTGGGAACCGTGGATGGGGTGTAGAGCACCAAGACTTGTTCCTAGCCCTGAGAGGGTCCTATGGAAGGGATAGGTAAAATAGGTGTAGAGCAGCCCACTCTCACCATGGACCTCTGGGATTCTAGTTGTAGGAGTCCTCATGACCTCCATGGGGGGTCCTGACATTTGGGTTGACTCCCTGAAGAGTTGGCAGAGACAGAACTCCAGTCTGTGTGGAGCCCAGAAGGTTTGGCACAGGAACAGCTGCAGTGGAGCGTGGTCATAAGTGCCTATCTCCTAAGACCCACCATACTCCTCTAGGTGGCTTTAGCATTTATTAGCTGCCAGAAGTGGAGAGAACAGGGCTGTCTTTTCTGTCAGATGGGATGAGTCTGATCTGAATACTCCCCTGTATACAGTCCCTCTTACTGTCCCTGCCTGGCCACATCTGCTTGCAGCAGAGCCTTAGTTGTCCTGCTGAAATACTTTCCAGCGAGCACCACTGCAGATTTTTCACCAGAAGCCCTCGCCTTTCCATTTGAACTCTTTTTCAGATGGCACCTCGCTGGCATATACCTGCCCTCAGCCTTCCCCGACCAGTGTGCATTCTCCTGCAGCTTCTACCTGCCACCTTGCCAGTGCACATATGTGTGCACATGTGCCTGTATCATTCCACAGCCCTGTTGGTGTGCACTCACCTGCAGCCCTCTCCCACTGCCCTACCATGCACATTTGCCTGTGACCCCCTCGCTGTGGCACACTGTCTTGTGGCCCACGACTTGCCATGCCATAGCACTTTTATCAACAGCTCCCATCACAACACCTGCAGACTGGGAACACTTCAACCCCTCCAGTGCAGCAGGTGCTTGACCTCGTGTGACCAGAAGACAAAGCTGTGGAACTTGGTCCAGCCCCTCAAGGTTAGTGCATGACACCCAGGAGACCTGAGATGGCCCCCTGAAGGCATCCAGAAATGAAGCCAATTGACTAAATCCAACTTATACTAGAGTGAAACCCTCAAGAATATCAAATAAAAGGAAAGCAAAAGGCCCCATCCAAAGAACAGCAACTTCAAAGATTAAAGGAACATTAGCTTATACCGATGAGAAAGAATCAGTGCAAGAATTCTAAGAACTCTAAAATCCAGAGTGTCTTCTTACCTCTAAAAAAAAACCACAGTAGCTTACCAGCAATGATTCTTAGCCAGATTAAAATGACTGAAATGACAATTATAGAATTCAGAATCCGGCCAGCAAGGGAGCTCAACAAGATACAGGAGAAGGTTGAAACCCAATTCAGGGAAAACAGTAACATGATCCAAGAGTTGAAAGATGACATAGCCATTTTAAGAGAGAACCAAACTGAAATTCTGGAAATAAAAAAAATTGACTACAAAAATGTCCTAATATAACTGGAAGCATTAACAACAGAATAGACCAAGCTGACGAAAGAATAACATAGCTTGAAGACTACTCTTTTGAATCAATGCAGGCAGACAAACATAAAGAAAAAAGAAGAGAAAATAATGAACAAAACCTCTGAGAAATATGGGCTTATGTAAATAGATCAAACATATGACTCATTGGGAGTCTTAAAGGAGATGAGAGAGAAAGCAACTTGGAAAAATTATTGAGGACATTGTCAATGAAAATTTCCCCAACTTATCTAGAGAGATCAACATACACATTTAGGAAATTCAGAGACCCTCTGTGAGATACTATACAAGATGGCCATCCCAAGACACATACTCATCACATTTTTCAAGGTCAATACAAAATTTAAAAAATCTTAAAGTCAGCTAGAGAAAAGGAGCAGGTCATATAATCAGTCTAACAGTAGACCTTTCAGTAGAAATCTTACAAGCCGGAAGAGATTGGAGGCCTATATTCATTTTCAGTAAAGGAAAGAAATTTCAACTAAGAATTTCATATCCAGTCATATTAAGCTTTATAAGAAAAGGAGAAATAAAGCCCTTTTTATACAAGAAAATGCTAAGGGAAGTTTTTACTACAAGACCTGCCTTAGAAGAGGTCCTTAAGGGAATGCTAAACATGGAAATGAAAGATCAATACTTGCCACCACAAAAACATACTTTAGCACACAACTCCCTGACAATATAAAGCAACCATACAATCAAGTCTGCATAACAACCAGCTAATATTATGATGACAAGACCAAATTCTCACATATCAATATTAACCTTGAACAAAAATTAGCCAAATGCCCCATGTAAGAGGCATAGAATAGCAAGTTGGATAAAGAAGCAAGACTCAACTGGATGCTGTCCAAAGATTCATCTCACATGCAAAAGTACCCATAGGCTCAAAGTAAATAAATGGAGAAAAATCTATTAAGCAAATGAAAACAAAAAAGAGCAAGGGTTACTGTTCTTATTTCAGAAAAAAATACAGATATTAGACCAACAATGATAAAAAAGACAAAGAAGGGCATTACATAATAATAAAGTGTTCAATTAAACAAGATTTAACAATTCTAAAAATATATGCACCCAACATTGGAGCACCCAGATTTATAAAATAAGTTCTTAGAGACCTACAAAAAGACTTAGATAACAACATAGTAACAGTGGGAAGCTTCAACACTCCACTGACAGTGTTAGACAAATCAACAAGACAGAAAACTAACAAAGATATTCGAGACCTAAACTAGACACTTGTCCAAATGGACCCAACGGACATCTACAGAATACTCTACTTAGAGTATATTTTTCTCATCTGCACATGGCACATACTCTAAAATTAACCATGTGTTCAGTCACAAAGTTTTCAACAAATTTTAAAAAAATGAAATGTTACCAACCACACTCTGAGATCACAGTGCCATAAACATAAAGACCAATACCAAGAAGATCTCTCAAAACCATGTGGAAATTAAACAACCTGCTATTGAAAGACTGTTGGGTAAAATTATGGCAGAAATTAAAAAAAAAAACTAATGAAAACAAAGATACACGATACCAGAATCTCTGAAACACAGTTCAAGCAGCAAGAGGAAAGTTTATAGCACTATATGCCTATATCAAGAAGGTAGAAAGATCTCAAATTAAAAAACTAACATCACACCTAGATGTACTAGAAAAAACAGAAGCAAACCAACCCCAACGTTAGCAAAAGAAAAGATATAACTAAAATCAGAGCTGAGCTGAACAACATTGAGACGTGAAAACCCATATAAAAGATAAATGAAGCCAAAAGTTGTTTTCTTAAAAGAATAACAAATATTAATAGACTGCTAGCTAGACTAATAAAGAGAAAAAAAGAGAGGTGATCCAAGTAAACACAATCAGAAATGACAAAGGTAACACTACCACAGACCCCACAGAAGTACAGGAGACTATTATGAACATGTGTATGTGCACAAACTAGAAAACCTAGAAAAAATGAATAAATTCCTGGAAATATACAACTTTTGAAGATTGAACCAAGAAAAAACTGCAATCATAAAGAGACTAATAACAAGTTTTGAAACTGAATCAGTAATACGTACCCTACCACCCAAAAAAAGCCCTGGACCAGATGGATTCACAGCTGAATTCTACCAGATATACAAAGAAGAGCTGGTACCAATCTACTGAAATTATTCCAAAATGTTCAGTGGGAGAGACTCCTTCCCAACACATTCTTGAGCCCAGAATTATTCTGATACTAAATCTTGGCAAAGGCAAAACTATAAAAGAAAACTTCAGGCCAATATCCCTGATGGACATAGACACAAAAATCTTCAGCAAAATACTAGCAAACTGAATTCAGCAGCACATAAAAAGGTGAATCCATCACAATTAAGTAGGCTTCATTCCTTGGATGAAAGCTTGGTTCAACATACACATATTGATAAATGCATTTCATCACAAAACAAAGCTAAAAACAAAAATCATATTATCATCTCACTAGATGCAGAAAAGGCTTTCGATAAAATTCAACATCTCTTCATGTTAAAAACCATAAACAAACCAGGCATTGAAGGGAGATACTTCAAAATAATGAGCCATGTATGACAAACTCACAGCAAATGTCCTGCTGAATGGGCAAAAACTGGAAGCATTATCCTGAGTACCAGAATGAGACAAGGATGCCCTCTCTCACCATTCCTGTTCCACATAGCAGTAGAAGTCCCAGCCAAAGCAATCAGGCAAAAGAAAGAAATAAAAGGGATCCATCCTTGTGTTCATGTGTTCTCATTGTTCAACTCCCACTTATGAGTGAGAACATGTGGTGTTTGGTTTTCTGTTCCTGTGTTAGTTTCATGAGAATGATGGTTTCCAGCTGCATTCATGTACCTGCAAAGGACATAAACTCATCCTTTTTTATGGCTGCATGGCACGTGTATACCTATGTAACAAACCTGCAAGTTCTGCCCATGTATCCCAGAAATTAAAGTATAATAATAAAAAAAACTAAAAAAAAAAAAAAATCTAAAAAAAAAAAGAAATAAAAGGCATCCAAATAGGAAAAAGCTATCTCTCTTTGCTGATGATATTATTCTATACCTAGAAAAACCCCACAGTATCTGTACATGGTCTCCTAGAAATGATAAAGAAGAAAAAAACCTTCACTAAAGTTTTAGAATACAAATTAATGTACAAAAATTAGTAGCATTTCTATATATCAATAATGTCAAAACTGAGAGACAAATTAATAGCTTAATCCCATTTACAATAGCCACACACTCAAAAACAATACCTAGGAATGCAGCTAATGAAGAAAGTGAAAGTTCTGTACATGGGGAATTACAAAATATTGTTGAAAGAAATGGTAGATGATACGGACAAATTGAAAATCATTCCACGCTCATGAGTATGAGGAAACAATATTGTTAAAATGGCCATATTGCCAAAAGCAACCTGCAGATTCAGTGCTATTTCCATCAAACTACCATTGTCATTTTCCCCAGAATTAGAAAAAACTATTATAAAATTCCTATGGGTCAAAAAAGAGCCAAAATAGCCACAGCAATCTTAAGCAAAAAGAACAAAGCCAGAGGTATCACACTGCCTGACTTCAGACTATACTACAAGGCTACAGGATCCAAAACAGAATGGTACTAATACAAAAACAGACACAGAGATGAATGGAACAGTTTAGATAATTCAAAAATAAAGCTGCACACCTACAACCACTTGCTCTTCAACAAAGGCAACAATAACAAGCAATGGGGAAAGAGCTCCCTATTCAGTAAATGGTGCTTGGATAACTGGCTAGCCATATGAGAAGATCTTTCCTTTCACCATATACAAAAATCAATTCCAGATGCATTAACAACTTACATTTAAGTCCTAAAACTCTACAAACACAAGAAGAATAACTTAAGAAATAGCATTCTGGATACAGCTTTGGCAAAGATTTCATGAGAGTCTCTAAAAGAGAATGCAACAAAAACAAAAGTAGACAAGTGAGAGGTAATTAATCTGAAGAGCTTCTACACAGAAAAAGAATCTATCAACATAGCAAACAGACAACCTACAGGAATGGGAGGAAATATTTGCAAACTATGCATCTAACAAAGGTCTAATATACAAAATCTGTAAAGAACTTAAATGAAACAACAAGAGAAAACCTAGCAACCCCATTAAAAAAATGGGCAAAGGACATGAACAGACACTTCTCAAAGGAAGACATACAAGCAGCAAACAAACATATGAAAAAATGTTCCAGATCACTAATCATCAGTGAAATGCAAATCGAAACCACAATGAGACAGCGTTTCATAGCAGTCAGAATGGCTATTATCAAAAGATCAAAAAATAACAGATATTGGCAACGTTGTGGGAGAAGGAAATGCTTATTCACTGCTGGTGGGGATGTAAATTAGTTTAGTTGCTGTGTAAAGCAGTTTGGACATTTCTCGAAAAACTTAAAACAGAACTACCACTAGACCAGCAGTCTCATTATTGGATATATACCCAAAATGACACATAAATTGTTCTACCAAAAGGACGCATGCACTTGTACATTCATTGCAGCACTAGTCACAATAGAAAAGACATGGAATCAAGCTAGATGCCCATCAGTGGTGGACTGATGAAAGATAATGCAGTGCATATACACCATAGAATACTACACAGTCATAAAAGAAAACAAAATTATATCCTTTGCAGCAATATGGATGCACCTGGAGTCCATTGTCCTAAGCAAATGAATGCAAGAACAGAAAACCAAATACCACATGTTCTCACTTATAAGTGGAACTAAACATTGAGTACACTTGTATGCAAAGATCGGAATGATAGACACTGAGGCCTGCTTGATGCGGGAGGATCAGAGAAGGGTGAGAGTACTATGCTCACTACCTGGGCGATGAAATCATTTTTACACCAAACCCCGGTGACATGCAGTTTACCCATGTAACAAACCTGCACATGTATCTCCTGAACCTAAAATAAAAGTTGAAAAAAATTAATAACACATAAACTGTAAAATAGTTAAATATCATTTTAAATTTTAATTTTATTTAAATTTTATAAACTACAATTAAATTTTAATTTTATTTAAATTTTATAAATTACAAATTTAAATTTTATAAACTATATTTATAAAATAAAATCACAGTAAATACACCTTGATAGGCATTAGTTAGCCCCAGAATTTCTGCTAAAGTCAACAACTCATGAAGGTAATAACCATGACAATAATAAACTTTTAGATGAGTCTATACATTATAGAAAATTACTATTCGAAGATATTGTAAGAATGGTTACAACTTTTGCTAATTCATCTTCTTTAAATGCATAAATATCTCATCTAGCATTGTTGAGCTTAATTTTACATTTTGTGTTTATAAAGCCATGACCCTCAAAATGATGTCACTTTTAAAGTACGTTGACCCAATCACATATTAATGTTGAGTCACAGAAGTGAAATAATTAAGGCATTCATGAACTTTGTCTAAGGTTAAGTCTTCAAAAGTCTCCTGTATCTTCTATACTCCTTATTCTTCAGAGTCCTAGGACTTGTTTTCTTTCATCCTTCTTCCACAGCATATTTTTATGAACATCACCCTCATAACCCTATGGCCTGAAAATAGTGGAGCCCATCTCAGGGATCAAGGAGGGAAAATAAGTAATAAGGACAGAGCAAGGGCTGTGGCCCTTTATGAATCATATCAATTTCTCCAATGTTTTGGCTAATGTTTTATTCTGACTACCTGCTACATTACTTATGAACTTGTAAGTTCCTGGAATACCCATTCCAATGACGAAACCCATCAAGAAATGAAATTTTAGTACAGCATCATTGAATATTTAGGCTTTCCTGGTCTCCGAGACCACATATGAAACGTGCCTCTCACAGTAATGCCCAGACTGGTCCTACCAGTGAGTACCAAGGATATAGAGAGAGAAATGAGATGAGGTGATGTAAAAATATTTGCTTCTTTGACCTGCATTAGTGGGAAAAGCATTAACTTTGAAGATGGGCAACTGGTTGGAAAAGAAAATGCCCATGTCTTTCCTTATGTTTAAAACTGGGATAATAATATCTATTCTTTAGGGTTAAAGGGAAAAAGCCTAAGATGGTGCCTCACACTCCTAAGGCATGCTATCTATGTGTTGGGCAACGTAGCCTGTATTTCCCTTATTAAGGTAACCATTTAATGTGTCCCATTCAAAATCCCGTCGAATGTATAATCTTCAATTTCTTCCTCAAAGTATTTTTTCCGCTCTATACTCTAACTGGAATTATAAATTAATTTCTATGTCCGGGACAATTCTGAGGCGAAGACATAAGAACTAAATAAAACAACAACTTTACAAAAAAAAATTATTGGTAAATTTCTTGAGGGATAAAGCTGTCTTATGTTCTGATTTTGTGATCTTGGTGAAAATTGGAGTAATGTGCTAAGTGATTTTGTAATTATGAGGACTATTCTATATCCTTAGTGAACAGGAATATAGACTCTCTTAGGGGGAAAGGGTTATTACCAAAGCACACACATATCTGTCTTTAACATTTGAAGATGGCAACTGATGGAATTTCTCATCTATATATAATAGTTCACGCATCTTAGAACATTATATAAGGTTTTCTTTTCTTTATCATTTGTAAAATGGAGATAATACTGACAATGGAGGTTAAGAGCACAGGCTTTGGGTACTATAATTTGCTTTCATTATCTGAGGATTAAGAAATGCTTAATAACCTAATAGTGAAGACGCTCTTTAAAATTGCAACTCGTCCAAATGAAAGTCACTGTTGGAGTAATATACTGTTGTTCCTTGGTATTTTGAGGATTGGTTCCAGAATGCTTGAGGATACCTAAATACTTGGGTATTCAAGTCTTTTATATAAAATAGCATAGTAATTGCATGTAACTTAAAACATGTCTTCCGATATACTTTAAAACATCTCTAGATTACTTATAATACCTAATACAATGTAAATTCCATTTAAATAATTGTTATATTGTATTGTTTTTATTGGTACTATTTTTACTGTTGTATTGTTATTTTTTTTTTCCTCACATATTTTCCATCAAGAGTTGGTTGAATCTGTGATATGGAAACCATGGATAAGGAGGGTTGACTGTATAAAAGTCAATATCTGTGTGTGTGTGTGTGTGTGTGTGTGTGTGTGTGTGTGTGTGTGTCTCACTCTTGGCTGGCTTCAGGTCTTAGGTTAAACTTCCGAAATACTCAGGTAATAATACTATTAAAAATTGAACCCAAACCATACACCTACCTTTGTACATGTAATAATGCATATGTTATAATGAAGATACAGTATAACTATGAAGAAATAAAAGATTACATAATAAATAATATTGGCACAATCAGTGAGTCTTTTAAACAATGGCAAATTTATTTCCTCGCCTATAGGGAATAGTTATCATTTTTGGCAACTCAACATCTTTTAAATACTCATGTTAAGTTTTTGAGAATTTCCCACATTATAAATTCTACCTCTCAAAGTCAGCATTTGGAACTGTCTCCCAGCCTTTACTTTTGAATTTACCTTCAATTGAAGGTAAATTGAAGCACGTGACCTTGGCTTCACAAATTACACCTACTAGCTCAAGACTCAGGTCCTAAGTTAATAAGTGAATAACTGAGCACTTCTTGGACTTGATTTTTTCCCTGTGGATGATGGCAGGAACATTTGATGTTTTCTGAGTTTCTCATCCGTATCCCTGACTGTTATATTATTCACCCTTTATACGAAAAGGCATTTCAGATGAATTAAAGAATTACATTTTAAAATTTAGATTTTTAAAGCATATGCAAAAAATAAAAGTGATTTGCGATCAAGTCTAGGGAGGAAAAGGCATTTTAATGTTAAAAGAAATGAAAGAAATAACAAAAGAAAAAACAGTGCAATAAAATTAAATTCTTTTCTATGTTTTCTATAAATAACCAACAAAATACAATAAATTAATTGGTTTATTATATAATAAGCTCATGAAGACCTAAGACACACAAAGATTGAATTAGTGTGGTGCTTGAGCTAAATTGCAAAGGGATGAGATAAAATGATTTACAAATATAAATACAAGTGAATAATAACTACTTGAGTAAAATGCACTAACTCTTTGGGTACAAAAATTAAATTACAGCCATGGTGTAATATAATTTCTTGCCTGTCAAATCAGTAACATTATTCTTTTAAATAGTCACACCTGGTACAGTAATAGAAGACTGATATATGCTGCTGGAGGGAGTACAAACTAATACAATGATTTTGGGAAATACTTTGGAAATACATATAAAAATATTAATATTCTATGACCTTGCAGTTCTCCTTCTAGGAATATTTTGTTAAGGAAATAATCTGAAATATCCACAATGATTTATACATAGGATGCTGATTGGAGCACTGAAACCACTTAAATATTCAACTATAAAAAAAGGTTAAGTACATTATAGATGATTCATATAAGTAAATATTATAGAATTGTTAAAATTATACCTCTGAAGAGTTTTCAATAACATGAAAAATACATATAATTGAAATGAGAGTTAAGGTAACAAAATTAACTCTATAACCTGAGCTCAACTGCTTAAAACACAGAGGAAAAAAAAGGTGGGAAGAATGATAGCAATAAAATTTTCAGGGGATAATTTTTTTTTCTGATTTTTAGAAAATGTATTAACACTTTCAAATTAATTTTTTTGTAATTAGAAGAAAAAGTTCTCTAAAATTAATTATCCCCAAAGGAACAACTGGTTGGACAAAATTTGGTTTAAAAATAAAGTATTAAACTAAATAGTCCTTGTCGGGAACAATTTGTTCAATGAAAAAATTTTTCACTTTTCCACTGCCAAGATCACTTACTTTAAACAATGCTTTTACCTTGCTCCCTGCTTAAAAAATCTCATTGGTTCCCTCTTTCTTATGTCATTAAGTATAAATCCTTTTTGACTGCTTTTCAAGGTTTTTCTAATCTTGTTCCATTCAAAATTATTCACCATTACTTTGCCTTCTGCTTGTCTGGATTCCAATGTGTCAGTGTGTATTGTAACCACCCTTGAAACTTCACACTTGCTCATAAAACACACACACACACACACACACACACACACACACCCTTGGACTGCCTGCTCACCAGTCTGACAGAAATCATATTTTTCATTCATTCATTCATTCAACAGATATTTAAATGTCTGCTATAGATCAAGTGCTGCTCTGCCTGTGGGGAGATGTACAGGATCAAAAAGATTAAGGAGCATGTTCCGATAGAACTGTTTTTCTAAAGAAAAAGTAATTTAGCAATAATCCTCTAAAGGCTATGAGGTGGATGGACTACCCCACGTAGTTTAAGGTCTTGCCTTAGAACTTAACTTCAGCGCCAAACCTGCCTGTTGGGCCAAATTGATGCAGTAGCTTTGGGAAAGAAAACCTTCATTGAGTTCTAGAGTTCTATCTTTCCTTAATTCCCTGCTCAATATTTAGAAGAAACAACTACCTAAAATGTACCATTGTATCTGCTGTGAACAAAATGCTGTTGAGTGCATTATTCCTTTATGTTATTCTGTTCCACCTTATAATGTCGGTGTGGAAGCTTTATTTTATAATTTATTACCTGTATTAGTTCGTTCTTGCATTGCTCTAAAGAAATACCTGAGACTGGGTAATTTATAAAGAAAAGTGATTTAATTGTCTTATGGTTGTGCAGGCTGTATAGGAAGCATAATTCTGGCCATCTGTTCAGTTTCTGAGGAGGCCCCAGGAAACTTACAACCATGGCAGAAGGTGAAGGGGGAAGCAGCCATGTCTTACATGGCCAGAGCAGGAGAAAGAGAGATAGCAGGGAGGTGTTTCACACTTTTAAATAACCAGATCTCATGAGAACTCTGCCACTGTACAGTACCAAAAGGGAATGGTGCTAAACCACTCATGAGAAACTACCTCTATGATTCAATCACCTCTCACAGTGGGGATTACAAATCTACATGAGACTTGGGCAGGGTCACACATTCAAACCATGTCATTCAGTCCATGGTCCCTCCCAAATCTCATGTTCCTCTCACATGGCAAAATAAAATACAATTATGCCTTCCCAACAGTCCCCCAATGTCTTACCTCATTCCAGCGTTAACTCAAAAGTCCAAACTCTCATCTGAGACAAGGCTAGTCCCCTCCTCCTATAAGCCTGTAAAATAAAAAAAACAAGTTAGTTACTCCAAAGATACAATGGGGGTACAAGGACTGGGAAGGTATTCCCATTCCAAAAGTGAGAGAAATTGGTCAAAAGAAAGGGGCGGCCCCAAACAAGTCCAAAACGCAGCAAGGCAATCATTACATCTTAAAGCTCCAAAAAATAATCTCCTTTTACTCCTTGTCCCACATACAGGGCATGCTGGTGCAGGGGGAGGGGCTCCTAAAGTCCTGGGCAGCTCTGCGCCTGTGACTTTGCAGGGTTCAGGCCTCATAGTTGCTGTTAAGGGCTGGTGTTGAGTGCCTGCAGCTCTCTAGGTGCACTCATTTTATGGCTAAAGAAGCATAGCAGTGGGCTCATGCTCATGGAATTCACTGGTCTTTCCATGTTTGCCATCATCCTGAAGCAGCTGGATTGATAGGATGGTGGAATGGCCTTTTGAAGTCACAACTACCCAAGTAGGTGACAATACTTTGCAGGCCTGGGCAAAGTTCTCCTGAAGGCCTTGTGTACTCTGAATCAGTGTCCAATGTATGGTACTGTTTCTCCCATAGCCAGGATTCACAGGTCCAAGAATCAAGGGGTGGAAGTGGAAGTGGCATCACTCACCATCACCCCTAGTGATCCACTAGCAAAATGTTTGCTTCCTATCCTTGCAACATTACCTTCTGCTGGCCTAGAGGCCTTAATTCTAGAGGGAGGAACACTGCCACCAGGAGACATGACAATGATTCCATTAAACTGGAAGTTAAGATTGCCACCTGGACACTTTGGGCTTCTCCTACCTTTAAGTCAACAGGCTAAGAAGGGAGTCACAGTGTTGGTTGGGGTGATTGACCCAGACTATCATGATGAAATCAGTGTACTACTCCATAATACAGGTAAGGAAGAATATGTACAGAATACAGGAGATCCCTTGGGGTGTCTCTTAGAATTACCATGCTCTGTGATTAAGGTCAAGGGAAACTACACCAGCTCAATCCAGGCAGGAGTACAAACGGCTCAGACCCTTCAGGAATGAAGGTTTGGGTCAGTCCACCAGGGAAAACAAACAAACAAACAAACAAAAAACATGACCTGCTGAGGTGCTTGCTGAAGACAAAGGGAATACAGAACATGTAGTAGAAGTTAGTCACAATACTAGCTACGACCACGTGACCAGTTGCAGAAACGAGGACTGTAATTGTCAAGAGTATTTCCTCCTTTTGTTAAAACATGTTTGTGCATGTGTACACTTGTACTAAGAAAATATCTTCATTTTATTTCCTTTTTCCTTATCATGTGACATAAGATTTATTGACTTCATATCGGCATTTAAGTGTTGTTAACTTTATTTAATAGCATTTGGATTGGGGATTGGTGCATTTCTGGTTGTACAAAGGATGGTCGTATTATGCTACGTGCAATTATGCCCCTATTATTGTCTTTATTTGAAGATTATGTAGGATCTCAGGAGATGTTTATAGGTTCAGGTTGACAAGGGATGGACCTGTGATGGTTAATACGGAATGTCAGCTTGATTGGATTGAAGGATGCAAAGTATTGATCCTGGATGTGTCGGTGAGGGTATTGCCAGAGGAGACATTTGAGTCAGTGGGCTGGGAAAGGAAGACCCACACTTAATCTGGGTGGGCACAATCTAATCAGCTGCCAGTGTGGCCAGAGTAAAAAGGAGGCAGAAGAACGTGGAAAGAACGTAGACTGGGTTAGCCTCCCAGCCTACATCTTTCTCCTGTGCTGGATTTTTCTGGCCCTCAAACATCAGATGCCAAGTTTCTCAGCTTTGGGACTCAGACTGGCTTCCTTGCTCCTCAGCTTGCAGACAGCCTGTTGTGGAACTTTGTGATCATGTGAGTTAATACTTAATAAACTCATATATATATCCTATTAGTTCTGTCTGCCTAGAGAACCCTGACTAATACACCTTTCCATAGCTTCTGATGATAGCTGGCAAATTCCGGCATTACTTGGCTTATAGCTGCATCACTCCAATATCTGATTTCTCTGCTTATTAGTAGAGGGACACTAGGAAACAGAGACTCACAGGGAGAAAGCCACGTGATGATGGAGGCAGATATCCAGTAATACTGGATCAGAAGCCACTCTAACTCAGTATGACCTCATATTAACTTGATTATATCTTTAATGTTGCCATTTCCAAATAAGAATTTATTCATGGATACTGAGAATTAGGACTGAAACATATCTTTTTGAGGAATGCTATTCAACCCACCACAAAGGTATTCCTTACTCTGTTTAGTCTCCTGGTTCAATAAAACCAATATCACAGATGCTATCATAATACTAATGAGTTGAGAAAAAATTACTTTTAGTTATTGACTGAAATGTGACCCCACACCTAGGAAAGGTTACAACACATTGCATTAAGTACCAAAAAGCCACTGCTTTGGCATTGAGTGTGCCTTCCTCACTTGTTTGATGCTCTTCTAGTCCCTTTTTTTGCCTCACCTTTGCCTAAAGTATGTAGGGTGCAACATTTTGGACAGAATTATGTAATCTCCTCTGACTAATTATGCCACCTGTTTCTTTTTTTTTCTTTCTTTCTTTCTTTTTTTTTTTTTTTTTTGATGGAGTCTCACTCTGTTGCCCAGACTGGAGTGCAGTGGCATTATCTTGGGTCAGTGCAACCTCCACCTCCTGGGTTCAAGCAATTCTCTTGCCTCAGCCTCCTGAGTAGCTGGGATTACAGGCATGCACCACCATGCCCGGCTAATTTTTGTATTTTTAGTAGAGACGGGGTTTCACCATGTTGGCCAGGCTGGTCTCAAACTCCTGACCTCCGGTGATCTGCCCGCCTTGGCCTCCCAAAAGTGCTGGGATTACAGGCCTGAGCCACTGCACCATATGCCACCTGTTTCAAACCTCTTCTTATATGTCTTTCCTCGTATGCAACTTCCATGCCTGTGTATCAATCTTCAGGATTATGTAAAATGTGAGAGTCATTCTGATAGTTCATCATATTATAAATTTTCTAAACTAATTTTAAAAAATAAATTAATCTATGAAGTATTAGTTCAGGGAAGTGTTAATTTTAATAATATTTCTTACGGCATGAAAAACGAGTGCTACATGAACAATAAATTTAGTAAACATGGGTGCTAAAGCTCCTCTTTCAGATTCTCAAGGTTTTTAGACTACTTAGGTTTGTGAGAATTCTCACAAACAAAAGCAAATGAATGAAACATGTTTAGCTTGGTTTAAGTCAGCATTTCTCACAAGTATTTAATCATAAGACACATTGAGAGGAGCCACATTGTGGAGCTTTTTTATAGCCTCTGTTTAGAAAATAAAATAAAATTGTCAGCATTTTGGTTTGTCTCTCCACACAGAAGGATTTTCTAAATTAGTTCTATAATCCAAACAAATTAGAGCCAATAATGATAACCTCAGACAATGGCACTGGTTTCAATGGGACATATCACTTTTTAGGATGTGTTTTACTATATATGGTAAAAATTTGGGTTCCAGTGACACATTTATTATTGATTGATACTACAATTTCAGGTTTAGTATATATTAACTGCAAAATTATAAGAAAAAGTAATGGAAATTTGTGTAGAACATTTAAAAAATAATATTCATTATAAAAAAGAGAAATTAGAAACAAATAAAATAATCAATTTTAAAATTAACTAAAATATAAGCCAAAATTTAGAAATATATGTAACATAATGGCTTCCAGGTCTATTTATGTCATTGCAAAGGACACAATCTCATTCTTTTTTATGGTTGCATAGTATTCCATGGTGTATATGTTCCACATTTTCTTTATCCAGTCAATAATTGATGGACATTTAGGTTGATTCCATGTCTTTGCTATTGTAAATAGTTCTGCAATGAACATATGCATGCATGTGTCTTTATAACCTTAGCAAATTAACACAGGAACAGAAAACCAAATACCACATGCTCTCACTTACAAGTGGGAGCTAAAGGATGAGATCACATGGGCACATAGAGAGGAATCTTTTGGAGGATGGAGAGTGGGATGAGGGAGGGGATCAGGAAAAATAACTAATGGGTACAAGGCTCAGTACATGGGCAATGAAATAATCTGTATAATAAACCCCCATGACACAAGTTTATCTGTGTAACAAACCTGCATGTGTACCCCCGAACTTAAAATAGAAGTTAAAATATATATATAGGTAACATTATTAAAGAAGAAAACCTGAGAGAAAAAAAAAGTAATAAATCCAATCTATCAGTGCCAACCTGTTTTTGCTTCTAAGAGAAAATCAAAGATTATCTATTTTGATATGTCATAAAAAAAGAATACAGGGCGGTGAGTTAAAGCATTTCTAAATTACTCAAGATCAGCATGCATTCCTTTCCTTTCAATGGTCTTTTCTAATACTATGCTCCTTTTAAGTTTCTTTTCTTTCTTTAAAAAAGCAAAACAAATTTTTCCCTTTGCAATGAATTTTAAATTCATTCATGTAGATACAAATCACAGTAGAAAATTATGAAATTTGGCAACTGTAAAATGTACTGTATTTATATGTAATTCTTATTCTAAATGATGCCACAAAGGCTAAATCAGAAGTTTCAAGTGTGCATGAAATTTCCTATATTTTTAATGTGTACGATGAATTTAATTCTTTTTGAATACTGAAGTCTGACAATTGCTATGAAAAAAAATATGGGTTCCAGAATCACACTGCCTGAGTTTGAATTACTTCTGCAGAATTACAAGTTATGTCTGTTTGGCCAAATCACTTATCTCTCTGACTCAGTTTCCTCATTTATAAAATGATTATAATAACAATAATACCTCCTTATGACATCGTTAAAGAGATGGGTTAATCTATGTAAAATGCCTAGCAGAGTGTTCAGCACACCAGCACACACTTCAGTCTAAACCTGAAGACTATTTATCTCAGTCTTTCTCGTTACACACACACACACACACACACACACACACCATTATTATGTTTAAAATCATATTGAATGGTGGACATTTCCATCACTGTTCCATCTTAGAGTTGGAGCTTTTTCTTTGGTTTTGAAAAGTACACTATGTTGGGAGTTAGGCTATTGGAGCTCTGGATCCAATTCTGGGACTACTCCTCTGGGGAGCCTAATGCAAATCAATTCTCTTTTCAGGCTTCTATTTGCTTTACCTGTAAAATGCACACAAGATGTAAAAGGTCTCTGCCAGTCCTCAAATTTAAAAATCTACTTAAAAAATTCAACTAGTTTCAGTGTAATTGGTATCTTGTCATGAATACACACTTTTTATTTTCACACACCGCATACAACTTTTCCACATTGCAGTAGTTTTTACTTTCTGTTAGTTGTTGCCACAGCAGTCCACAACATGAATCGCATTAAGATGATCTTATAGGATGCCTAAAAGACTTCAAGGAAAGCATTGAAATGTTTAAAATACACTTACTACACATTCTGTACTCATTTCACTAGGGATTTAGAGATCAGGCAGCCTAATATAGGGTAAGAAATGGACCTGGACTCACCAGACCCAAACAGAGATCTTGGTTCTACCACTTTTCATTTGCTCAAGTTCTTTCAGCCTCAGGTTTTTATCTGTATGATGGAGTTCGTATATTCATAGAATTATTATAATATGTATAACAAATTTATAAAACAATGTCTATTCTATAGTAGATGCCGAACACATGTGTGTTGTTATTATTGTCAGGGAATCCAATGTTTTTGCAGATGAGAAAACTGAGATAACAGAAGTAATTAACGATAAAGCTGTGAATGAATTGAGGTTTTGAGCTGGATTATTCTTCCCTTTTTGTAACAATTGTATTCCAGAAAGGATGCCTGTAAAATCAATCTTAGTTGCTTTAGTCATCCAGTTTGATTAATCCCTCAAAAGCCCTAAATCACTTGGGGTTAGTTTTCAAAATGAATTAATATTTTGAATCAAAATCTTCAGATTCAGTGATTTTTCTAGTAGGTAAGACATTAGAGAAGATTTCTATCAAGATGAAATACTAAAAACAATTTAAGTTAGTTTAATTCCAAAGATATTTATTAATTATGTATACTATAAATGACAAAAATGTAGAAATATTTATTTTAGAACTTGTTAGGGGAAAATCTGTCATCTACTCAACTTTATTTTTCTATAAGGAGATTCTTTGCTGGATCTCAGCATGGGTGCATTTATTCATAAAATAATATTTACTTAAAACCTACTATATTTCAGGCACTACTCTAGATGAAGAGAAGAGATTGGTGAAATCTATTTTCATGGATTTGCTATGGAGGACACCAAACTATGGCTTCAGTCCAAATCTGGTCTTCTATCTGTTTTTGAAAATAATGGTTTTTGTTTGTTTTGTTTTGAAACCGAGTTTCGCTCTTGTTGCACAAGCTGGAGTGCAATGGCATGATCTCGGCTCACTGCAACCTCTGCCTCCTGGGTTCAAGTGATTCTCTTGCCTCAGTCTCCCGAGTACCTGGGATTATAGGCATGCACCACCACGCCTAGCTAATTTTGTATTTTTAGTAGAGATGGAGTTTCTCCATGTTGATCAGGCTGGTCTTGAACTCCCAACCTCAGGTGATCTGCCCACCTCGGCCTCCCAGTGTGCTGGAATTACAGGCATGAGCCACCGTGGCAAGCCTAAAAATAAAGTTTTGTCTGAATACAGTCATGCTAATTCACCTCTGATTTTCCTGTGGCTACTTTTACATTATCATGGTGGAGTTGAGAAGTTGGAGCAGAAGTTGAGAAGTTAGGCTATGGACCTCAAAGCCTAAAATAGTTACCATTTATCCCTTTATAGAAAATATTCATCAACTCATGATTTAGTAGGATGAGTCATCCAATAAACAAGTAAACAAACAAATGAGCAGGATAATTTCAGATACTATAAATAGATCAGGATTATATAATAGTGACCAGGGAACTACTTTGTATTTGCAATATTATACACAGTAACAAGAGGACTACTTTGTATTTGTATTGTTATTGAATGTCTTTCTAAGGTGGTGACCTTTGAACTGAGACTAGAATGATAAGAACCTGAGAATCATGATAAAATCAGGTAGCAAATTGTTTCAGGACCAAGTACAAAGGACTGATCAAGAACTACAGTGGCTAGAATTTTGTGAGTGAGGCTAAGAGTGGTGAGAGAGAAGATTGGATATCAGGCTGGGGCTGAGTCATATGGGCTCCTATTTGAAGAAGTGTGGCATTTGACCTGGAAAAGTGGAGAAAACTTGACATGTTACATCATTTCTTATTGGTTCAAAATAAAGTTTAGTGTTCATGTGTGACCTCTTCTCTATTTTTATTTCCTCTCTTTATACCTAACATAAGTGTGTAGAGCAAGGTCACCTTTTTCTTTACGGATAGAAGTTTGCATATTTTTGCTCTTCTTCTAATTCTCCTTTGTCACTGGGTAGACCACTCTGGGTGCTTCTGGGCCACAGTCTTAGGTTCTCAGAGAGACAGAGAAGGCATTGCCCCATTCTCCGGTATTTTATCAGTAATAAAGTTTATCGGTAATAAATCACTGTTTTATTGCTGATTTGGCTTATTGTGTGCTCCTCCGTGACTACAACCAAGAGAGAGAAGGAAAGAGGATAAATTAGTAGCCTCGTAGCCAGATTTATTTCAGTTAAGTGTAATGGTTTTGATATCACCACATAGAGTCCACAGAAAACTTAAATGAACAAAACACAATTTACACACAGAATAAATAAACCAGCTAAGCAATATAGAATCTAATCAGATTCTAAAATGCAAATGAAATCTTGCTGTTTTCTGCATTTTACACTGTAATTGGCTGTGTAAACCATGGGTAAATGAGCAAAGAATTATTAAAATGAAAAGCACTGTATAAGTAACCACGACTATTCTAACTAAAAGGGTCTCTGTTAAGAGAACAGTAAAGGTCATACCTATGAGGTTGGCAAAGTTTCAAGAATCCTCTAAGTATTTCTCCTAATAACCCTTAGAGAATGCTTCACTGACAGTATCCTTGTATTAATTTTGCTTTCTTTAAAAGCACTCTTAAGTTGCTTTACTCATGTAATCATCATGAAATCCCTATTGTTATTCGTTGTTATCACTGGTAGTATTAATATTGATGAATAAATATTATTATTATTATTAATTTATACAATTGAATTTAGTGGCAGAGCTGGGATGTTAAGTCATTCAAATCTAGAGTTTATGCGTTTAAGATGTGGTACTCACAGCACCACTGGAGGTTGTTATGGAGTGGGCTTTGCAGTCATATGGAACTAGATTCAAATCTGAGATCTGTTTCTCACAGGCTGCATGATATGAAATATCTCATTTACTTAGCGATGAAATCTTGTTTCCATATCTTTAAGTTGTGGATCCAATACATAATTCATCATTTGCAGTATTCAGTGAGTTAAAATTGGGAGAATGTCTAATACAGCATCTCTCCCCAGCATAGATACTCTATCAGGAACAATCATTTTCATGATTGCTGCATTTAAATAGCAATAGAGTAAATTCCAGCATTTCTGCATGACACTTCACCTTAAGAAAGTAATATGCTAACAATTGCTTGACTAAATTTGGCTTGGATATCTAAAATGTAACTGACACATTGTAAAATAAAAATGGAAATTCTATTAATTACAGACACAGGAATTAAGAACACATGCAAATTAGTTTATTATAGCTCTAATATTTACATGGATTGGTAGCAGGAGCTTTACATTGTGGTTAGGAGTCACACACATGCTTCTGTGAATGACATACAACCACACATCAAAAGACGTTTAGAGCCTAGACCCAAAGCACAGAGTTATTATACAACCAGGCTGTAAGCAGATTATTTTATCCTGTGGATTCACCTTTTTTATAGTAAATACTTTTGCAGGTTTTATGTAAATCCAAGTTAAAGAAATCCAAAAGCTATATTTAAGAAACTCATACTTGTTGAGCTCATGTATTATTTGTAGTCACTATTCTGTGTCTGGAGTAAGAAGGTCAAATGAACAGCATCCCTTAGAAACCCAGGCCAAGTCAGGGCCTGTTTTTGTTTGAATATTTCACATTTCTTTTAAATTGGAGTACTAGGTAAAATCAGGATAAAAGTTCAGTCTCCCATGATAATTTTTTTATTATAAGAAAGTTTTACACTGGCTATTATTTATTTAGCTAGATAATTCCATGGTTTATGCCAAATAATTTCCTGGTCATTTTAGATTTGTTTTCAATCCTTTCAAAAAGCCTATAGAATATTATTAGGGAACATGATTCAGCAGGACATTAAATAACTTGCAAGGATTATACATCTGGAACTGAAGCAGCCATTTGGAGTTTAGGATCTTTGGTTCCAAAGGCTTACCCTTTTCTCTATGCCATTCTTCCTCACACTTGCAGCTGATGAATAAAAAAGCTTTCAATCTCCCAGCATAAACGTAGTTATCTAGAAGATGTTATTTGAGTCCACTGTGATCTAATCAAAGTTTCTGTTCTTTTTTTTGTATCACATTTTGGGGTTGAATAAAAGGAATTGAATTGGAACATATGCTTCTGATTCTCTGTCCCCCACTTCCCCCAAAAAGCACTCTTGTCCCACACAATGTGAGGAGCTAGCACTAGATAGTTTAATACTTTATATAGTTGTATCTTTTTAAGATCAACATGTCTTGTTCCTTCAATCACAATTTCTGTCAGTTCAATTAAAAAAATTATCTAAGACCACTATTTGTCAGTATTCAACTATTTTTCTCAACCAGATAATTTCAAAACTTTTCACCTCATGTCTAAACAGGTTATTACTTTAAGTTCTCCAAGTCAGGGTGAAGGCCTTGACTTGGAAGAAAGATTATAGCAATATAAGACCAAAACTTATTTTATTACCAAAGTTAATTCTTTTGTCTGATTTTCTGAAGTGGAGAAAAATCTTTGGAGTGCTCACTAGTGAAATGTATTTAACATGATTCTTCATTTGTGATTTGGCATCTCTGGTGTATATATGGAGACTTTTTAAATTTCCATAAAGGGGAAAAAAGGTGAATAATTTGGAAAAGGGGGTAACAGAAAAACCACCTGTACTGTTTAAATTAAAAATGCTAAATTCGATGTCTATTTTTAAAACTATGCAAATGGAAAAACACATGGTCTAATTTTATTCATTCAATATGGAAATTTTAATGAATTGATATTCTGGGCATAAAAACACAATGCAGTTCGCCTGGACTAAGTTGTTGTTTGTACTTGTAAAGAGGATACACCACAGCACCCACCTTGGACCATTTGGTGACTCTGGCTCATGTATAGAGTTGCAATCCACACCCGTGAAGGTTCAGCCTCTAATTCAACACTGTGACGGAGAGAAGAATGCTTTGAAAGTGGTTGTGAAAAGTCTAGTGAACATCTGGGGATTTTTGACTGGCCAAATTTTATGTTTGTTCCTCTGATTTTTCCACTGAAGAACTCACCTTTCCATTCTACAAAGTCCTGGTGGAACTGTCCTCTGATTTTTCCACTGAAGAACTCACCTTTCCATTCTACAAAGTCCTGGTGGAACTGTCAATCAAGATGCCACTTTTTCCCTGGCAAATGGATTACATGAGTTCAACTTCTGGTTAGTTACTATAGCTCCCAGAAAGTGCATTTTGAGTCATGTGACTAAAAAATGCACGCCATAGGCAGCTCTCTTAGGAAAATTCATTATTTCCTGCTACGCCCACCTGAGGACTCCTCTGATAAATGTTTTTCCACCTTTCCTTTGATTCTGTGAGATGCCTCAAATTCTCAATGAACAATATGCAGTCTCTCGATTTTTCTTTCTTTCACTTTGATTAGTCAGATTTATTTTGCTTGCAACCAAAAAACATTAATAAGTGCATAGATTTTTAGAAATTTCACTTAAAAAAAGTACATTAAATAAAAACTACAGCACTACCATTTTATAGATTTGAAATAGTAATAGCATAGTGGTCATATTAATTTCCCTTTTTCATTCCTCACTCCTTAGACAAATTTCAACATATTTTTTTCTCTAACAATTTCAATAAGATAGGCTTGGATGATAGCCATGAACAATGCTGAGTTTTCAGGTTTTGGGAGAGAGGATGGTAAAATACAGGCTGAAGGGTACTAGATGAGAACGTATCTGGCTGCTTTTAAAGTGTAGATTAAGGAAGATAGTTGCATATAAATTTATTTTGCTTTGTTGTAGCTGATACGCACAAACACCTTTGTCCTTTATACCTGGCCTTCTATTTTATTAATACATAAAAAGTTTAATTTTATAATTAAATAAGTTACCACCCTGGTCTGTGATTATTCTCACAGTTTTAGAAAAGACATAGAAAAATACAAATTCCCACATGGAATAATTTCATTCAAGTGGAATATCAGAAGATGTTTCTCTATATATTTCTGGTCTCAAATGCATTTCTTAACCAATTAAATGAAATTTCAAAGCCATATTTATTGACCTTCTTATTGTATATCTCACTGATAGAGATGGGTTCTAGGTGGATGGTGAGGGGATCTTCTGTTCCCTTCATTTCACATCTGGGGTACTTTTGTCTGTTTCTCACTATAAGCAATCAGAGTTCACATGGAGCATGGATTTCCTCTTATCAAGGGGAAAAAGATGTAACAGCCAAAGATAACTGAAGATTGATCCCTCTTCCCACCACACACACACACGAATCCATGATGATATAATGTTAGGCCTTAGTACACCTGTGGGGGCTTTGTGTTTTAGCATACAGAGAGAAGTTTATTTGGGTAGCAAATTCCTAACTTTTGATATTTATAGGACATTTATTTTTGCCAAGCTTCTAATTTTACTCTCACAACAATCTTGTGAATCAGATTCCTATTTAATTTTATTTTAGAAGTAAAGAAACCAAGGCTAATAATTTAAGTGAGATGCACTAAGTTCCCCCAGATAGGAAATGTAGGAACTCAAATGAAAATCTTGGCTGTGTAGCACTAGAACCCACATTCTTTACATTATGCCACACTGCCTTTCCAAATTCCTCTCAGACAAGGCTGGCTCAGACAGCCTCTCAGCAGCACAGATCCCCAGATCTCCTTCTGTTCATCCGTGTCAGGTACCCACTTCATTAGTTTCAATTTATTGTACAGGTGAAAATAAAGCAGACTTTTGTTTTGGAGATTTTTAGCTAAAATTGCTCCACTCCTTTTAAAAATTTAATTTGTTTTAGATGAGAGAATACAAATACACATATACCACACCCCCAGTCTTCAAACTAACAGAAACCAATGTATTAATTCATTTTTACACTACTGATAAAGACATACACATGACTGGGAAGAAAAGGAAGTTTAATTTGACTTACAGTTCCACATGGCTGGGGAGGTCCCATAATCATTGCTGAGGGAAAAAGACACTTCTTACATGGTGGCAGCAAGACAAAATGAGGAAGAAGCAAAAGCAGAAACACCTGATAAACTCATCAGATCTCGTGAGACTTATTCACTATCATAAGAATAGCATGGGAAAGACCGGCCCCCCTGATTCAATTACCTCCCACTGGGTCCTTCCAGCGGGATTTCTGGGAAATATAATTTTGTGGGAATTCTGGGAAATACAATTTAAGTTGAGATTTGGGTGGAGACACAGTCAAACCATATCAGCCATATAGAAGGTGAGAAATTAAAATATCAAATTAAAAATTCAATGAATGATAGATCTCAAGGTTGGAAAGAGTCTTAACAGGCATCAGGCTCAATTCTAATATTTCTGAAGTTAGGCTGTGTAATGAGCTGTTGGCACAAGACCAATGTCATTTCATTAAATCATATGCCACATAATCACCACAAAGATTTATACAGTGTTTCCCATTTGTGCCAGACACCATTCTAAGTGAATTGCTGGTATAGTAATATTATATAGGTATTTTAGTTGATTTTCTGTTGCTATAACTAAACACCTGAGACTGAGTACTTTATAAAGAAAATAAATTTACTTCTTAAAATTCTTGAGGGTGAGATTTCCAAGAGCTTAGAGCTATCATCTGGTGAGGGCCTTCTTGCTGTGTCACAACATGGTAGAGGGCATCACATGGTGAGAGGTCAAGAGCACACATGCCAGCTCTGGCCTCTCTTCTTCTCCTTATAAAACCACCAGTCCCATCATGGGAGCCTCAACCTGATGACTTTATCTAATCCTAATTAACTCCCAAAGGCCCCTCTGCAATCAACATATGATTTGGGGGATTAAGTTTTCAACACTTGAAATTTGGGAGACACATTAAAACCATAGCAATAGTCATAGCCCATAATATTATACCATTATAGAGTCATAACCTATATTTATCCATATACAACCCATATAGTTCTCATAAGATGTTATTACAAAAACTATTTCATTTTAGAAATGAGGAATCTTAGGCATAGGCTTATTTGTGTTACAGTTGTATAGCTAGTAAGTGGCAGTTGGAATCTGAACTCAAAAAACGTGGCTCTGGGACTGTTTCATAACATTTCCTCAAGGGACTGGGGAATAGATCACTCAGCCTCTGCAAGGATCACAACATTACTCAGGCACCTTAAAGATGATGACATTGTGAGTGATGTTCTTTTCATTATCTCTTCTAACTTATTTTTCTGTTATATAGGAAGGCTATGGATTTTTATATATTTTGCTATTGGGTAACTTACTGACCTCCATTATTAATTATAATAGCTTTTCAATGATACCTTCTATGTTTTCTGGAAGCATGATAATCATGTCTACACACTTTTTTTCACTTTTTTTTTCAGTTTAATTGTTATACCCTGTATCAGCTTCCTGCTTTATCAGATTGGGTGTAATGTAGGTCTCCTTAAAAATTAATTGGAATGATGGAAATATTGTGGAATTTTTGATATGTTATAAGCAGGTAAGAAGCTTTTCAGGAATAATGTAATAATGGTTTGGGTTCAGATGATGGCATGAGAAATTCAATATCTATTAGAGAGAGATTTTATATTAAAAATTGACTGAACTTGGAGATACGGGATGAGAAAAAGTAAAAGGTTTTGAATCTGAAGTATGCAAGTCCAATTGATAATGATCAGGAAATTGACTGTGTTTTAACAGCTGTTGAATTCCACTGATCTATTCATCTGAAACAAAATTACTGAAAGGAAATAATTAAAGTTTTCAGCTTATAAACAGGTTTAGGAATGCTCCTTCTTTAAAGGAAATTCAAATACATTTTTATTTTTATAGCCTCTCCATGGTCTGATATTTAATATAACTACTTATAAAATACATATATAAAGTTAATATAATATTTATCTAATATAAAGTAACCTGAAAAGCATTATATGGATGAATATAAACTTTTAAAACTCTGAGATGGATAACAACCTGTTTTTCAAATTTAGTTTACTTCAAAATCATTAGAGTAGCTCTTAAAGCCCCAATCTTAGAGAGTCTTGATTCCATTAGTCTGGAGGGGAGCTTGGGAATCTACATTTTCAGCTATTAGTCCAGGTAATTTTGAAAAACTGGTCCACAGACTATGCTTTTAGATACCCTGGTCTAGGTCTTTACAGTCTACACCAGCACGTTGCATTTGTGTGCTGTATTTGATACACTTATCCTTGTCATTCACACACTGAATTTCAATACCGTCTAATGTTTCTTTGAGCATTACATGTTGTTAAATTTTTCCATATCCCTGTCCATATGGTTCTGACTTCTTAGAATGTTCTGATTTGCCTACCAGATTAACAAGCAGGCTATCCTTCTAAACTCTCTCCAGACTCAGGAGAGCCTTGGTTTCCACCCCCAGTTGGAGTCTCTGCATGCCACTCCAACATGCAGGGTGCAGCACAGTCCCCTCTCAGCTCTGGTGGAATAAAACAGAAGGACCATGGGTGTGGTAGCTTTCTTGTACACATATGGAAACCTCCATGACAGTCCCCAACCCGTGGAAAGATACTGTTCTTTGCAGAGCTTGCCATCACAACCAAAGGAAGATTCAACAAAAGTAAAAACCAAATTGAAAAAAAGAAAGTACTTCTGTTACTCCTACTTATTTTTCTTAGACCAAGGAGGAGACAGAACAATATTTAGTATGGCCTACTTCCTAAAAATAAAAAAAAGAGTACTGTATATATCTTAGCATAAGGAAAGACAAATCTGCCTGTACAAAGCTTGTATATACTTCAAATAATTACTGATAAAGAGTAAGGGAACATGATTAAAAATACACTACCACTAAAATTGAGGAATGATGACCAACCTGCTTCTGGATTCTAGGGTCGATTTAACTAACTGCAAGAGCAATAGAAATAGATTAAAAAACAAGTATATAAAATTACAGCTAGATATTAGGTTGGTGCAAAAGTAATTGTGGCTTTTGTCACTATAATGGCAAAAACAGCAATTACTTTTGCACCAACCTAATAGAATTAATTATTGTGTCTTATGGCACTGTAAGATGAGTGTAGTTAAGAATGTATTATATAGTTTCAAATAGCTAGAAAGAGGATATTGTATGTTTGAAAGACAAAGAAATAAATATTTGAGATGATGGATATGCTAATCACTTTAATCTGATTACTATATGTGTATCACAACATCACTATGTATCCCATAAATATGAATAATTATTAAATGTCAATTAAAAAGTTAAAGTTATATTTTTAATGATAAAAATATGGTGTGGCAACAACCAAAAAAAGGCACACACAATGCTGAACCAGAAATACCATGCTACCACACACCTTGGGCCTATTTACTTGACAGTACATAGACATATTCTACTCACTTCATATCCCTTCCAGCTGGCATATGACTTGGAAGACTGATTAGGCAGCTCTCTCAGAGACACTTGGAAAGCCAGGGAAACCTGGTGTTGAGTCATGGGAGCTGCACATCCCACAAATAAACTCTTGAGTTGGGACTGAAACACAAGGTGCCCTAGTAGCAGCAGTCATTGATGAAGTCAGCCTTGACCTTCTCTCTCTGATTCTATGAGTATCAGAGAGTCGTGTACTGGCTCTAGGAGTGCCTATTTCTGGGCCATATGCTAAGAATTTAACCGTGGGCTCTGCATACCACATCATGGTAACAGCCAGTTTTAAGAATAAACAAAATAAATGCACCCTATCCATTCAAACAAACCAAAACACTGCAGAGCAAGAGAAAAATAAATGTGATCCTTAAGACCATCCTCAAAGAAAATATTCCAAGCCATGTCAATCACTGGCAGTATCTATGGGGTAAAGTGATACTTCCAGGACCTGATTAAAAGGAGGCAGCACTAATTTGATGGAGATTTTCAAAAATCTATGCTTAGAAGCAGTCTCAGCATAACACCATTTATATAATTTGGAAGAAATTTCTCCAATGTGTCTTTATGTGTTTTTCTGGTGAAAGAAATAGGGAAATCTCTTCTTACCTCTCCTGGGTGGTCCAGTTGTTTCTTCATAGTAGCAGAAAGGGCACAATTTTTTTTTTTCAAAGATGCTAAGTGGAGGTTATTGCTCTGTCTTTTTGTCTATTGCATTCTTAGCACTGCCTCACTCCTACTTGTTTATGTAAGAGCCCAATAGGGGACTTCCATTATCTTCTTTTTTTTCTAAGTGTCACCTTCCTTGCTTTTTTCCTTGTTTCCTTTCTGCATGCAGGCATCTTCATTTTCATTTTGCTTCTTTGAAGGGAAAAGTAGTATACTCATTTAAAAGTATATCTCATTCAAAACATAAGAGAATAATAAATTGAAAGGGAGGACATGAATTGAGAAAATTACAACGCCAAAAACTACAACTGTAGGAGAGAAAAGACAAAAAGAACAGTAGATAGTGTGAAACAATCTAGGGTGGAACACTACAAAACTCTATTCAGAAATGCAACAAATTGGATATTCCCTTTAGTCTGTCAGTCTTCTAGTCTCAATTCTTATATACCATCTTTCTTTTTTTCCTGATGTTCAGTCTGAAGTATTTTCTCTCATGAAAAGAATGGAGTTTTTCAAATGCAAGAGCCTAATTAGGAAGAAGGTTTTCTATCCTTTCACTATTGCATTGTAAGTTTAAATTCTCTTTTTCTGCACTATTTACAATGGAGGCATTTGTAATAAAGGGTATCACAGTGGGACACTGCTGTCATTGGTAGTATCAAGATGAGAACTGTAGAGAGAAAATAGACATAAGTTCAAGTACTGTGGTGTCCATTCTTTGTAAGTGTTTTTGTCTAATGCAATAACAAGCAGGCACATACCATATTGGAACTACACTAAGTGGGTTGTGAAACATCTCGACAATTTAATGAGCCTCAAATTTAGTTTTGGAAAAAAAGTGCTCACTTCCAAATTTTGACACTACTCTTACAGGGTACTTTTGTTTAGCTTTCAGGCAGGAGCAAAGTAGAAATTGAGATGTTGGGGAGAAAAGGAAGCATTTTCATGGGAGGGATGTATAGAATATTAGTTTTAATCACATACAACAATGCTTCTCATGCACTTCTTTGACTCTTTAGTATGCATAGGAATCGCAGGGAGAGCAATATTCCCAAACTTTGCCACCAGCAGTTCTGTAAAAGAACCCAATAATTTTCACTTCCAATAAACTTCCTGGTGATGCCCATATTTCCAGTACATACATGGGCCTCACTTTGAGTAGCAAGGACAGAACGGACAATATTTCTGAAGAGAAAGAATCCAAATAAGAGATGCCTGAAATTATGATGTCATCCTTGACTCCTTCTTTCCCTTGAATCCTAACCCTCTATGCTCTCTCACCTTCTGCCACAATATCTAATCACTGAGTTTTGCAGAAATATCTCTCTAGTTCACCCCCTTCTTTTCACTCCCACTGTAGTTCAAACCCTACTTATTTCTTGCCTCGATCTTCAGTAGTATCTTGAGTGATTCTCCAGTCTCTGGTTTTGTCTTAATGTAATCTAGACTCCATGAAACTTTCTAAAATCAAATCTAATCAAACTATTCTTCTGATTAAAATCCAACAAAGGGCTCCAATTCTCTACAGAATAAAGCCCACACTTCTTAGCATTGAATGTTAGGCCTTCTTGATCTCCCCTGATCCATCTGTCCAGTCTTCCTTGTAGTAATAGCTCACTCTACTCACTGAAAGCAATGCTTTATTTATCTGACAGCCAAGTTGAGCTGCTTGTGGATTCCCAAACAGGCAAAGCCCAAGTCTCTCCCTTGCAATATCTTTACCTTTCAATCAGAAAACATTTTCATTCATTCTTCAAAAATATGACTTGAACATAAATCATCTGTCAAAATTTCCATGACTCTCAGGTGCATAGAACCCTCCCTCTTCTGTGGCCATTTGTGAACATGTAGTAATTATTTGCTTATTTTCTTCCCTTCTAAAACAGTGTGATTTCCTCAAAAGCAGAATGAAAAATGCAACTCATGCAGGATCTAGCACAAGGTTTACTCAATTAAATTGATTTTAAGAGAGATGAAACACTATTTAGGATTTTCATTTTTCAGCTGCAGAGAGAAGGGAGGAAAGATAAAGGAATTGTGCCAAAGCCACTAAAATAAGGACTACATAGTGATGTGATGTCTTTGCTAAAATGAGGTAGTTCAGTCAAACAGGATTTCTGTCTTGTTAGAAGGCTTACGTGGATCACTGTAAGGACCAAAAAACACTTGGGAACCAATGAGTGTGTCTGTATATCTTTGTGTTTCAATCCGTTTGCCTTAAGTGAATTGTTTAAATACTCAGTACAAATATCACCAATTGTATATAGAGCATGCAAATTGCTAACACTTAGGCTATTTTATTCCAGCTGTGCTGTGCTTAGAAAAACTGTTGAATATCCCTTACCTCATTAAACATGAAGCTTACAGCAAGTCTGAAGATTTACAAAGCACCTATTTTCCTATTAGCCAAGAGGAAAAAAGAAACTTCATAAAGTTTCTTTATAAATAACATAACAAGACACTTGCTCCCTTCCTCCTCTACCATTTCTGTTTGTATATACCAACCAGTGCCGCAAACATGGGTCACCATAAAATTACAGCACATTCTTAGATATCTCTAGTAGAGCTGGGGGAAACCCTTAAAGATTTCAACTTTAAGAGGGAATACAAGTTTAAAAAAACAAACAAACCTGTGCCCAAACAGGATATGAATAGGAAAGACAGTCATTAGATTGTGTAACATAAACTTATGCTGGCAGAAGTAGGAAAGCAGTAGACTCAGACAGAGCCACAAGGCAGGTGGTGATCTGATAAATGCAAGTTTTTAAATTGTGTGACTATGAGTTTTGGTTCTCCATATGGCTTCAAGGCAATCTAAGGGATTCTCCTAGAACATATGCCATCTTGTGTGTTTTTCATAGCCCACATTCTCACAGAAGTGTGACCCGTTTAACTTTTCTTGCTGTTTGCAGTCTATTAAAGCACTTTGCTTTCAACATGGGCTCTAGTCTGAAAAGAATGGAATAGAAGAGGAGGTTATTGCGATGATTCGGAGCTCTGATTTGATAATGAAGCTCACACATATGCCACTCATGATGCCACTCACAGAGCAGTGGGGCGAGCATCCCATTTCGTTTGGTTCATTTGACCCTAGAGCGTCCTCTTAAGCCTCCCTCTCCTACCTCTTATTATCATACAGGTAAAAAACAAATTCACACCTCTTGCAACGGCATTTTTGACCCATAAGAGTCCTTAAAGTAGCTCTACCCTTCCCATTGGAGAATACAATTTTTCCCTCTAGGAGCATACTGAGCTCACTGTTGCCAAGGAAATTGAGAGAACAGAGCACAATCATTTCCATTTTATTGTCTATTGTCCAGATGAATAAGATAAAATATAGCTTATGGATCATTTGTGTGCTAGTGTTATTCTCTTTTTTCAGATTCTCACCTGTAAGCTTGAATTATGTCTACATCATGCTTGGGAAATGTCCATATATTCTAAGCTTGAAACTGCAGTGATGAGGACGTCACCACTTCCAGAGAGAACACTTTACTACCAGGTAAGGCTCTGACTTTTAACTCTTAAAAATATACATACCACTTTCAAACTAAAAATTATGTAGTATTGGGAAACATCACCAATTCCTTCCTAGTTCCTTTTTGATATTATTTCTCTTCTCTTTAAACTCTTGGTTATTCTCCTCTGAATAATTCCCATTTTAAGTTTTACTCCATTTAATGTAATTTATGTAAAATAGTATATACTAATTTAATTTTTAATGATTAGGTATTTTCTAGTGTTTTTACTTTTGAAATACATGTAATTTCACAAGATGTTAAAAATAATTAAAGTTAACCCTTAACACCAAATACAATAAGGCTTTAAATTTTCAGTATATATGTGTGTGTACATATATACATGTAAATAGACATATAAATTGTTGTGCTCTGAATGGAGGAAAGATGGGTTTTAAGAGTCACATAGCAAGATTATCACTTCTAACATTTTCACTTTTTGTCCTTCCATTAATGCAGTATAAGACTACCAGAATGTTAAGTTGAAGTTTATAACATATCATTACATATTAGGTTTACCATGAAAAGGAATATCCCAAGGTTTTTTTCTTTAAAAAAATACATACCTTAAACTCATACTGTGTGTTTTTGACCCTAATAAATGAACTTACAAGAACTCTATCCATTGCTTTAGTATCATTTTGAGTCTGGCTACTTATTATTAACATACTTATTATTAACACCTTGCCTTCTATTGCTTTGTTTCACTGATTTAAATATTGAACAGAATATTCTGCCCTATGGTAAATCTTTCCAGGTTGAAATGTTTAATTTGTAAAAAATGCAGATTTAATATCTCATGACCAAGTACAACTAATCCTGGGAATGTGATTTTTTTCAGCATATGACATTTAATTAGGATAATTCATTATATCAACAATTTAGAGAAAAATCACTTGATCCTCTCAGAATATACAAAAGAAAATGAAATTAACAAAATTCAACATCCATTCATGATAAAAATTCTCAGCAAAAGAGGAACAGAAGAGAACTTTCTTAACCTGATAAAGAACATCTGCACAAAAAGATAGCTAACTTATTAATGATAGAAAACTAAACACTTGCCAAAAAGATAGAAAACAAGACAATTATGTACACTCTTACCACTCCTATAAATGTCACACTCGATATTTCAGACAGTTTACTGAGGCAAGAAAAAAAAAAAGAAAATCTATACCAACAGGAATAAAAGATCTAAAACTGTCTCTATTATTAGGCAATACAATTATCTATTTAGAAAATACCAAATAATCTACAAAAAAAAACTATTAGAACTAATAAATAAGTTTAGAAAGTTTGCAGGGTGCAAAGTCAATATACAAAAAATCATTATACTTCTCTATAATGAAAATCAACTATTTTGGAAGATGGCAAAATAAGAATTCTCTGGGTCCAGTCTTCTTCACAAAAATCCAGCTAGTAACTATCCACATGCAAGAATACCCCTGTGAATATTCCAGAACATGAAAGTGGGGCTGAGACAACTTCTTGGATTGCAGAACTGAGAACAGCTGTACACAAAGAGTAAGAGGAGTTGTTTCACTTTGATTATGTTATTTCTCTCCCAGCTGGCCCAATGCCACACACAGAGGATTCCTAGGAATCATCATTTTTACAGAGGGAAAAGAGAATTGGAGACAAACATTCATCATCTCCATCATTCTAAGACTTCTTGCAGGAGACACTCTCTTGTGTAGCCCCATAAGAAACATTGGGGGTATTGGTAGGGCTAGACCACCGGGTTTCAGTTAGAAACAAAAAGCAAGAATGGCGCTCACAGAGGCCACTGTAGGGATGGTTGGTTGGTTTACATTTTTTCTGCAAATAGCACTGCTCTGAAGAAAACATGGTTAATTGGTCTCCCAGGCTTGAATTCTTGGCTGGTTTTCACCTCCAGCCTCAGTGCTATCCTTGAAACTTCTCAAGGCCAGGAGATTGGGTCAGGCGGATAACTATCTGAAAAGGGAGAATCTGACCTCGCATGGCCCTTGCTGTCAACCTTCAAACCACTCAAGCTCTGGTGCACTCTTTAACCCTTCTCTGGGCAAAAAGGCAAGGGCTGGAGGGTGATTATCCACAAAAGGAGCATCTGTTCCCCCAGGTGCTAATTGGCTAATGTACCAAGCCTTGGTGCTTTACTTAAGACTACCATAGGATGGGAAGCAAACATGGTTGAGTAGTGATTCCAGGGACCCCATGTATGGGTAGAATCGATATTGTAAAAATTACCATATTGTCAAAAGCAATCTACAAATTTAATGCAATTCCTATCAAAATATTATCATCACTCTTCACAAAAGTAGGAAAAACCATACTAAAATTCATATGAAACCAAAAAAGAGCCTGCATAGCCAATGCAAGACTAAGCAAAAAGAACAAATCTGGAGGCATCATATTACCTGATTTCAAACTATACTACAAGGTTATAGTTACAAAACAGAGCAGTACTTGTATAAAAATAGGCACATAGACCAATAGAATAGAATAGAATAGAGAACCTAGAAATAAAACCAAATACTTATAGCCAACTGATCTTTGACGAAGCAAACAAAACTAAAGTGGAGAAAGAACACCCTATTCAACAAATGGTGCTGGGATAATTTTCAAACCACATGCAGAAGTATGAAACTGCATCCTCATCTCTCACCTTATAAAGAAAATCAACTCAAGATGGATAAAATACTTGAATCTAAGACCTGAAACCATAAGACTTCTAGAAGATAACATTGGAAAAACTCTTCTAGACATTGGCTTAGGCAAAGAGTTCATGACCAAGCACCCAAAAACAAAAATAAATAGATGGGACCTAATTATACTGAAATGCTTTTGCCCAGCCAAAGAAATAATCAGCAGAGTAAACAGACAATCCACAGAGTGGGAGATAAATCTTTGCAAACTATGCATCTGACAAAGGACTAATATCCAGAATCTACAAGAAACTTAAATCAGCAAGAAAAAAACTAATATTCCCATCAAAAAGTAGGCAAAGGACATGAATAGACAATTCTCAAAAGAAATTATACAAATGGCCTACAAACATAAAAAAAATGCTCAACGTAACTAAATATCAGGGAAATGTAAATTAAAACCACAATGAGATACCACCTAATTTCTGCAAGAATGGCCATAATTTAAAATTCAAAAAAAAAATACACGTTGGTGTGGATGTTGTGAAAGGTAACACTTTTACACTTCTGGTTGGAATGTAAACTAGTACAACCACTGTGGAAAACAATATGGAGATTTCTTAAATAACTAAAAGTAGAATTACCATTTGAACCAAAAATCTCACTACCGGGTATCTACCCAAAGGGAAAGAAGTCATTATATGAAAAAGACACTTACACATGCATGTTTATAGCAGCACAATTTGCAATTGCAAAAATATGGAACCAGCCTAAATGCCCATCAACCAATGAGTGGATAAAGAAAGTCTGGTATATGTACACCATGGAATACTACTCAGCCATAAAAAGGAATGAAATAATGGCATTTGCAGCAACCTGGATGGAGTTGGAGACCATTATTATTCTAAGTGAAGTAACTCAGGCATTAAAAACCAAATATTGTATGTTTTTACTTATAAGTAGGAGCTAAGCAATGAGGACACAAATGCATAAGGATTATATAATAAACTTTGCGGACTTTGAGGGGAGGGAGAGAGAGGGATGAGGGATAAAAGTCTACACATTGGGTTCAGTCTACACTGCTCGGGTGATGGGTGCATCCAAATCTCAGAAATCACTACTAAAGAACTTATCCATGTAACCAAAAATCACGTGTTCCCCCAAAACTATTTAAATAAAAATTTTAAAAATCCCATTTACAATAGCAAAAAAAGAGAGAAATACTTAGTTGTAAATTTACAGGGTGAAAGACTCCCTACTTAAAAAAATTATAAAACACTGATAAAAAGAAATTGAAGAAAACAAAGTAAATGGAAAGATACCTCATGTTCATGAATTGCAAAAATTAGTAATCTTAAAATTTTATATTTTCCAAAGCAATGTACAGATCACTTTCTATCAAATTCCAATGTCATTTTTTCACACAAATAGAAAAATATTTCCTATATTTTTATGAAACAACAAACAACTAGAAACAGCCAAACAATCTTGGACTAAAAGAACAAAACTGTAGACATCACACTACCTGACTTCAAAGTATGTTACAAAGCAATTATGATCAAAATAGCATGGTACTGGCATAAAAAGAGATTTTTCAAGGAAAGGAACAAGATGAAGAGCCCAGATAAATCCACATATTTATTTTCAGTGTTATTTTTTGACAAAGGTGCCAAGAACACACAATGGGAAAAGGATAGTCTCTTCAATGAATGGTGCAGTGAAAACTGGTTAGCCACATGCAGAAGAAGGAAATTAGACATTTTTCTTAATTCAAGCACAAAAATCAACTTCAAATGCATTAAACATATAACATAACACCTGAAACTATAAAACTAGTAGAATAAAACATAGGAAAAAACTACATGACATTGGTCTGGGAGAGGATTTTTTGGATATGACCCTGACAGCTTAGGAAAAAAGCAACAATAGACATATATGATTGCATCAAACTGAAAAGCTTCTGCACAGCAATAGAAACAATTAATGAAGTGAAAAGACAACCCAGAAAGTGGGAAAAAATACATGCACAACATACATCTGATAAGGCTTAATATCCAAAATATATAAGAAACTTGCACATCTCAATAGCAAGAAAACAAATAACCAGATTTTAAAATTGAGCAAAAAAATCTAAATAGGCACTTCTCAAAAGAAGATAAACAAATGGCAAAGCAGTTCATTTTAAAATGCTCATTATCCTTAATCATTAGGAAAATGAAAATTAAAACCACAGTGAGATCTCACCTCACACTGGTTAGAGTGGATTTTATCAGAAAGATGAAAGATAACAACTGTTGGTGAGGATGTAGAGAATAGGTAGCGCTTGTACAATGTTGGTGATGGTGCAAAGTTTTACAACCATTATGAAAATAGTGTGGAGTTTCCTCAAAAAAAGTAAATAAATAAAAATAGAACTACCATATTGTATTAGTCAGGGTTCTCTAAAGGAACAGAATAGGCTATATGTATGTATATATACATATAAAGGGGACTTTATTAAGGAGAATTGACACACAATTACAAGGTGAAATCCCAAGATAGGCCTTCTACAAGCTGAGAAGTAAGGAAGCCAGTCTGAGCCCCTGAACCTCAAAAGTGGGGAAGCCAGCAATGCAACCTTCAGTCTGAGGCCAAAATTCAATTAGAAGTGGTCAATTAAAAATAATATACATTTTTAAAATTAACTATTTTGAAATGAATCATTTACAATAGCATCAAAAACATAATAAATTATGTGTGAATTCTGCACATATTTAAATGAATGGAGATATATCATTTTCATGAATTGGAAGGCTTTTCATGAATTGGAAAAATGTTTATAAGATGCCAATTATTTTCAAACTAACCTTTAGCCTCAACTCAATTTAAATTAAAATTCTAGCAGCAAATCCTTATAAAAAATCATCAATTTGATTTTAAAGTTTATATGGAAAGACAAGAGAATTAGAATACCTTAAACATTTTGAAAAACATGGCATACTGCCACTATCTAAGATTTATTTTATAGCTACACTATTCAAAGCAAGTTGGTACTGTCAGAATTATAGATACATAAACTAAAGGAACAGAATAGAGAGTCCAGAAATAGACACATAGGTATATGATCAATAAAGTTTTAACAAAGGAGTGAAGGTAACTCCTTTGAGTAGAGGTAAAACTAAAGGAGTAAAGGTAATTCCTAGTGTGGAAATTATCATCTTTTCAACAAATAATGCCAGAACAATTGGATATCCATATAAACAAACAAACAAACAAACCCTTGATTCTTGACCTCAAAACAGATCTTGTGCCTAAAAATAAAACCCAAAGGTATAAAATCTTCAAAAGATTATATAGGAACAATCTTTGTGATCTTGAGATAGGAAACGATTGCTTTGGTTAGACTCCAGAAACACAATCAATAATAGAAATCATGATATATTGGATTTCATCAACATTAGGAATTTTAGAGCTTCTGCCTTCTGAAATATCCTCTTAAAAAAGTAAAAACACAAGCAAGCAATGGACTGAAAGAAAACATTTTATTTCGCATATCTAAGAAGGGCGTTGTATCCAGAATAAATAAAGAACACCCAAATCTCAATGATAACAAAACAAATAATCCAATAAATAATTGAAAAAAAATTCAAACTGAAAATTTGCCCAAGAAAGTGTATGGATGGAAAATAAGCACTTATAGGGATGCTAAACCTCATTAGTCATTAGGGAAATACAAATTAAAATTAGGATGAAATACTACTATTGGCATCACAAAAATTTTAATAACTAACAATACAGTGTGTGTATTTGTTTGTTTTCACACTGCTGTAAATGACTATGTGAGACTGGGTAATTTATGAGGAAAAGAGTTTTAATTGACTCAATTGACTCAGTTCTGCAGGCTGTACAGGAGGCATGGCTAGGGAGGCCTCAGAAAACTTACAATCATGGAAAAAGGGCAAAGAGGAAGTAAACACATATTCACAAGCCAGCAGGAGAGAAAAAGAAGGGGGAAGTGCTACACAGTTTTAAACAACTGGGGCTTCTGAGAACTCACTCACTATAATGTGAACAGCAAGGGAGAAATCTGCCCCCATGATCCAATCACCTCCCACCTGATCCCTCTGCCAACATTGTGAATTACAATTCAACATGAGATCTGGGTGGGGACACGGAGCCAAACAATATCAGTGTATTTGTGAGGAGGCGGAGCAACTGGCACTCTTAAACATTTTCTATTGAGAATGCAAAATGTACATTAACTCTGGAAAACAGGTTGGTAATGTCTTACGAAGTTAAATACTCACTTAAGAGCATTTCCATTCCCAGGGATTTATCTAGGAAAAATGAATATGTTGCTTAATGAAAAAAAAATAGGTAAATATTTATAGCAAATATTTATTTATAGTAAACATAAGCTGAAAATAACTGAACTGTCCATTAACAAGTGAATGGCTAAATAAACTATGGCATATCAACTATGGCATACTACCTCACAATAGAAAGAAACAAACTGCTAGCAGACACAACAAAGTGGACAAATTTGAAATATATTATGATATGTGAATGAAGCCAATTCCCAAAAACTATTAACTGTGATTCTATGAAAATAGCATTCTGGAAAATACCAAACTATAGACACGGAAATGGATCAGTTTTTGTCAGAAGTTGGGGTATGTGGGAAGAATTATTACAAAGGAAAATGGGGAAATTTGAGGGGTTAACAAAGCTTTTTTATTTTGGTGTTTGTTACATGACTGCACGCATTTGCAAAACTCAGCAAATTTTACTAGAAAAAGCATGAATTTTACTCTATAATGTATACCTTAGTAAAAATAAGTGATATAAAAAGATGACAAAAGAAACAGTTCAAGTCACATAAGATTAAGTTTCCAGCCCAGATCATGTACATTAGAAATATATGATTTTAGAAAGGAAGCAAATCATCATAAACTAGGTCAGAAAGTGCTGAGAGAAGAAGATATAGCATTTTTTTTCAGATATGAAAAAAAGAGCATTGGCGAAGGACAGATAATCTTAGTTCTTTTCTGTTGCATTGGGTGATGAAAGGGATGAGCATGCTGTCTCAGGCCTCTTTCTCTTTTTACAAAGCCATCTGTTCCACTCCCATGATAACCCATTAATTAATTAACACATTAATCCATCAATCCATGAATGGATTAATTCCGTCATGAGGGCTCTACCCTCATGAGGATAGAGCCCTCATGACCCAATCACTTCTTAAAGGTCCCACCTCTCATTACTGCTACACAGGGAATTAAGTTTCAACATGAGCTTTTAAGAGGACAACATTCAACCCATAGCAGAGAGGAAAAGGGCAAGTTCAGAAACTTGGTTAGGAAAACTGTTTGGTCAAAGTTGTGGTCACTATGTGTCATAATGATTTATTTTTCATTTTGTCTAAAGACCTAAAGAAACCAACCAAGTAAATTTTAAAAAGGAATTTTACATCTTTCCTTCATCAACCACCTATCCAATATTGGAGAAGTTACTCAAAATATTGAATATTTCAACATCCTTATCAGATAAATATCAATTTCTGTCTTGAGATTCAATATTAACCAACTTTAATTTAGACCCTAAATAATTTCAGACTTGTCTCTGAAAATTTCCAGCTGAGGGACCAGTTGTAAGTTACTTAACCTATCTGAACCTCTTTTCTGTAAATAGGATGGGGCTGTTGAGAGGATGGAATAAGACAGGGGACACCCAGCTTGTTTGTATTTATTTTAGATCAAATTTAAAATGAAATGCCACAGTACTGGCAGAGAGAATGCATTAGTCAAAGCCAAGAAAGGAATAGAAAATCTGGTGCATTGAGGAAACAGAAAATAATTAAATATGGTTGATACTGAAGGTTAAAGGGGAAAGAGTGGTGAGAGAAGAGATAGGTAGGAACTAAATCATGAAAAACTATATGTGCTTTGGCCAGAACTCTTTATTTTACTCCTAACTGTAAAAATATCAATGAGAAAGTGTTGACTGATTTGAGCAATATTTGGCTGGCAGAATTTATAGAGTTCAGTGACAAATTAGATGAGGAATGATGGAAAAGAAGGAATCTATGACCACAGTGTTCATAATGTCAGTCTTTACATAGGAAATGAAGGACTAAAAAGAGGTGAGAAGAGAGCCAAAGACATAACTCTAGGAAATAAAAATAATTATTTCATCTGGCATAAAGGGTTACATTCAAGATAGAGACAGGATGAAAGACTAGATGATCCTGACAATAAAAATGATAAAGGAGACTTAGCATTTGTTAAGTGCTTATGACATAATAGACACTGTGCATATACATGTATTATCTCACTTTACAAGAGGAAAAGAAGACTTAGGGAGAATAAATGATCTTCCCAAGACACACTGCTCTATGCAATTGGTTTCAAACTCAGAAAGTCACACTGCAGAACTTGAATTTTTATAAGGTAAGTCCAACTTGAAGAGTTGTCACAAAAGATGTGAAGAAAGATGTACGCAAGAAGGGAGAGTTTAAGTGTGTTAAAGCTTGGACATTTTCCATTGGATTTAACAATTAGTAAGTGCAGCCATGAGTGATCTTGATGAGAAAAATTCTATGCATATGGCAGGAGGCAAAGGCAGATTTAAAAAAAATTGAGCCGCTAGAGCAAGGATGACAGCAAATATGATCTTGATGATATTGAGCCCACTTTTTCAGTAGCCATAGCCCTTTGGGTATGCAGAATAACTTTAAGAAGACAAAGACCTGACTGGTTTGTACAAATTATAGATTTGTTAACAATCATGTATTTGCCACATGAAAGCTGGTAAGGAAAATAAAACTATTGTGTTAAATAAGTAAGACATCAATAACAACAACAAGAACAATCACATGTATTCCCCACACCCTGCTTTTCATTCAAACTCAATATATACAACTGGTTCTCCCTATCAATCTGAATAAAAAAATTAAGTCAAGGCTCATGAATCTTCTGCTCACTCTTAGATAATGTGGAGTTCTTGATAACTTCCATAAAATAGTCTCAATTCAATCATTAGTATGTCCACTATAGTATAATAATGAAAATCTTAAAACTTAGTTTGAAGGTAAATTTTCCCATTCCACTTGTAGCCAGAGCCTGATTCAAGCTGATTTCTTGCAGGGTTAGGAATGGGGTTTAATAGATTGCATCTCTTTCCACTGCAATCACATTTGTACTTTCTCCCTCACCTTGCTAACAGATTTCTGACCAATGGAGCTTGGTAAGTTTTCAGCACTGGAGAAAAGAGTGGTACAGGGTCAGGAAAATTCTTTCATTCCAAAAAATGTGGTGAAGGAGTTGGTTTGGGTGCTCTCTGGGTCTAGAAGATGTCTAAAGTTGATGAATAAACTCATTGAGAAGTTTCTGGGTTTCTGTGAGAACTTTTCCCATCAATGTGATCTCTCTAATTTTTTAGATGAACAAGTGTGTCAACCTTATTGCCTTATCAATTATAACTTCTACCCAAGCTTGTAAGTACAAGAAAATACAATCCGTATTTTCTTTTCTGAGATTCCTTGCTTGTCCACACATGAGACAATAAATCTCTCTTATTACAGTTTACTCTCTCATGCGTACTCTACAATCAGTTCATAGGAACCAGTCACTTTGGGCCTGTCTTATAGACTAGGCAATTACTTCCCAAACAGCTGTTGCTGTGGTACATTTCAAAAGGCCTCTATAATCAGCCTCACTCTCACCCTTTAGATTTTCCAGGCAAGAGGCAGAGTGAGTCTACTTTGCTTCACAAGTTTCCAGAACAAATAACTCCTAAGTTTCCATCTAAAGCCTAGATTTGAACTCCCATCTATTTCCTCCCAGGGACAGTGTGACTTCTACCACCCACTGGATTTCTCTAAAATTTCTCCTGTATCTCTAACTTCTAAACATCTTATACTTTCTATGTAGGAGAATGGTTAAAAACTGTGAATTGGTTTTGTTATAAAATCCTGGGTAGTCTTGAACCGCAATCTGAAATGCAGCTAGGTTTTTTAGGTCTTTGCTTAAATTGAGTGCAAAACAATCCATTTAAATAACTTGAAATTTAGAAGATTTTTGGTCTGATTTGCAGGAAAATTCTGTCTAAAAAGCACACCAAAGAAAGAAGTTCAGCTTGCTGACCCATGCCTGGAATCTGGTGTATCTTTGAATGAATAAATTCAGATAAATATTAACTAAAATTGCAACACAATGAATTAGCACAACTTCCTTGTGTGACATAATGATCAATAAAGGAAAGACACAGGTGCCTTAGAGAAAATTTAATCTAAGTACAAATCTTTTATTCATAAGTTTCAAATTAAATCTGGTTGACTTTTAAAAGCTCCATTCAAACATTAATAAATGTTTATATATCAAAGGGGGGAAATGTCACACTTCTTTTGTAAACTAAAAGGCATGTGATTTTACATGTTCCCAAATGAAAAGTATGAATCAAGCAACAGAAATAAATGAGGACAAATTAAAATTAGTTTATCATAAGCAGGAGTTCCAGAGTAAGTTATGTCCACAATCACATCCTGTGCTTATGAATAGTACAATCGTCAAGCATTCAAACATGGAGTTTTGTCAAATATAAAGAGTATTCTTGACTGAAGAATTCTGTTTGCAGTAGAATGATAAATTTAATACAGGTGTTTATCACAACTGCTGAACAGGTATGTGTAAGACTTCTGCCACTAAGTCAAGGCTAACATGAGGAAAAGAAAAAAGAATGTTCAGTCACCCTTGTTATGAACAGTAGATGTTCATAGAACTGACTTCAGTTGGCCTAAGGCTTAAGTCTTTCCAAAATATAATTGATAATGAACAGCAGAGAAAATATGCACTTTGCTAAGTACTGCTTAGACTGTTTTTAATTGTGATAAACTTCATATAATGAGAAATTTGCTACCATAAGCATTTTTAAGTGTACAGTTAAGTAATGTTAAGCATATTCACATTGTTGTACAACTCATCTACAGAACCTTTTACATCTTGCAAAACAAATCCAATACTAACTAAAATAGCAACTGTCAATTTCTCCCTCCCTGTAGCCTCTGGTGACCAGCATTCTACTCTCTGTGTTTATGAGATTGAATATTTTATATATGATTCCTCATAAAAGTGGGTCATGCACTATTTGTCCTCCTCTGATTGGTTTATTTCACTTAGCAAAATGTCATGTAGGTTCATCAATCTTGTCACATATGGTGGAATTTCCTTCTTTTTTAAGGTTGAATTATATTCCACTGTATGCAAATATCACATTTTCTTTATCCATTCTTCCAGTCGACTAAAAACTTCTGCACAGCAAGGAAACAATCAACAGAATGAAAAGGCAATATATAGAAAAGAAGAAAGCATATGTAAACCATATATCTGATAAAGATTTACTAGCCAAAAATATAAGGAGCTCTTACAACTCAATTGCAAAAAACCCAAATAACCCAATACAAAAATGGGTCAAGGCCTTGAATAGACATTTCTTCAAAGAAGATATACAAATAATCAAGAGGTATATCATCGGTGACATAGTTTAAATATTTGTCCCTTCAAAATCTCATGTTGAAAGTTGATCCTCAATGTTGGAGGTGGGGCCTGGTGGGAGGTATTTGGATCGCATGAATGGCTTTGGTGCCATTCTCATGGTAAAAGAGACTGGCACCTCCCTTTCATCTCTCTCACTTGTTATATGTTCTCTACACAGCAGCTTCCCTTCATGCTTTGCCATGAAAACTGAAAACTTCCTGAAGCCCTCACATCAAAAGCAGATGCTAATACCATGCTTTTTGTACAACCTGCAGAACTATGACCAAAAAAAAATGTTTTCTTTATAAATTATCCAGCCTCAGTTATTCCTTTAGTGACACAAATGGATTAAGAAATAAAATCAGTTCTGAGGAGGGGATGTAGCTATAAAGATACCTGAAATTGTGGCAGCAGATTTGGAACTGGATAATGGGCAGAGGTTGGAAAATTTGGACGGCTCAGAAGAAGACAGAAAGGTGAGGGAATGTTTGGATTTTATTAAAGGCCACGTAAGTGGCTGTTACCAAAATGCTGATTGTAATATGGATAGTAAAGGCCATGCTGACGAGGTCTCAGATAGAAATGAGAAACTTATTGGGAGCATAGGTCACCCTTGTTATGATGTAGCAAAGGACTTGACTGCATGCATTGTGTCCATGTCCTAGGACTTTGTGGAAGGCTGAACTTAAGAGTGATGATTCAGCGTATCTGGCTGAAAATATTTCTAAGCAGCAAAGCACTCAAGATGTGATGTGGTGGCTTCTAATAACCTATAATTAGATATGGGAGCAAAGAAATGACCTAAAGTTGGAACTTACAATTAAAAGAGAAAGAGAACATTAAAACTTGGAAAATTTGCCACCTGGTCATATGATTGAGAAGAAAAGATAATTTTCAGATGAGGAATACAAGGGAGCTGCAGAGCAACCACTTGTTAGAGAGATTTGCATGACAAAAAAGGATCCAGGTGCTATTAGTCACAACAATGGGGAAAAGGCCCTTGAAGGCATTTCAGAAATCTTTGAGGCTGTCCTTCTATCACAGTCCTGGAGGTCTAGGAGGACAGAGTGGTTTTGGGAACTAGGCCCAGCACACTGCCCTGTGCTGCCTTGGGATGCTGCTCCCAAATCTCCACAGGTTCAGTTTTAACCACAGCTCCAAAGGCCTCAGATATTGCTTGGACTTCTGCTCTTGGACTAAAGGTGAAGGCAAATGAGACTTGCAGGATTTCAAGTGGTGCTAAGCCCATAGGCACACAGAATGCAAGAGTCATGGAGGCTTGGAAACTTCCATCTAGATTTTAGAGGATGTGCCTGAAAGCTTGGGTGCCCAAGGAGACGCTTGCCACAGGGTGGAGCCCCTTGCCACAGGGTGGAGCCCCAGCGAAGAGACTGTTTTAAATCAGTGCCAAGGAAAAAGTCAGTGACCCAGTATGGCTGCTCCCCACTAGGGCACTGCCTACTGGAGCAGTGGGAATGGGGCCACTGCTCTGTAGGTCCCAGCATGGTAGAGCCAGTGGCAACTTGAACCCTCAATCTGGAAAAGCTACAGGCATTTGACTCTAGCTTGTAAAAGCAGCCGTGTGGGATGTAACCAGAAAAGCCATTAAAAGGACTGCCTGAGGTTTTAGGGGCCCACGGCTAGCACCAGTGCACCCAGAATGCAGAACATGGACTCATGGGAGGCAATTTGGAGCTTTAAGTTTTAACGTCTGCCCTGCTAAATTCCACACATATGTAGAGCCTGTTACCCCTTTCTTTTAGCCAATTTCTCTCTTTTGGAATAGGATTGTTTACCCGATGCCTGTACCACCATTGTATTGTGAAAGTAAATAACTTGGTTTTGATTTTACAGATGCATAGCTAGAAGGAACTTGCTTTGAGTTTCAGATGACTTTAGACTTTGGACTTTTGATTTAGTGCTAGAACAAGTTAAGATTTGGGGGGAATATTGAGGAGAAATGATTGTATCTTGCACTGCAAGAAGGACATGAATGAGACTTGGAAGTAAGGAAAAGAATGATATACTTTGTGTCTGTCACTTCTACATCTCTGTTGAAATTTGATCCCCAGTATTGGAGGTGGGGCCTGGTGGGAGGTATTTGAGTCATAGGAAGGATCCTTCATGAATGTCTTCTCACTCTATTAGTTCCCACAATAACTGATTGTTAAAAAGAGGATGGCTGCTGGGCGTGGTGGCTCATGCCTGTAGTCCCAGCACTTTGGGAGGCCAAGGCAGGCAGAAAACCTGAGATTGGGAGTTTGAGACCAGCCTGACCAACATGGAGAAACCCCGTCTCAACTAAAAATACAAAATTAGCTGGTCGTGGTGGTGCAGGCCTGTAATCCCAGCTACTCGGGAGGCTGAGGCAGTAGGATCACTTGAACCTGGGCAGCGGAGGTTGCAGTGAGCCGAGATCACGCCATTGCACTCCAGCCTGGGCAACAGAGCGAGATTCCTTCTAAAAAAAAAAAAAAAAAAGAGGATGGCACCTTCCTGTCCTCTCTCACTTCTCCCTATGTGATCACTAAATGCCAGCTCCCCTTTGCTTTCTGTCATGAAGGGAAGTTTCCTGAAGCCCTCAACAAAAGCAGATGCTGATGTGGTGCTTCTTGTATAACCTGAAGAATCATGAGCCAAATAAAGTTTTCTCTTTATAAATTACCCTGCCTCAGATATCTTTTTATGGCAACACAAATAAATTCAGAAAATCAGAAAAATGGAAATCAAAACCACAATAAGATATCATCTCATACCTGTTAGGATGTCTGTTACAGACACACACACACAGAGACTCAAACACAAGATAAGTCTTGGCAAGATATGGAGAAATAGGAACCTTGTATATTGTTGGTAGTAATGTAAAATTGTGCAGTCTCTATGAAAAACAGTATGTAGGTTCCTCAAAAAATTAAAAATAGAACTACCAGATGATACAGCAATCCCATTTCTGGATATATTTCAAAAAGAATTGAAATCAGGATCTCAAAGAGATATCTGCATTCCCATGTTCATGGCAGCATTATTCACAACAGCCAAAATGTGGAAACAACCTAAATGTCTATGATGATTTCAAGATAAAATGGCCTTTCCTACTTCTGTACTCAAATTTTTAAAAAAATGTTGATAGCCTATCCTAAATACTTTTCAACATATTATATGTCTATCTCTAGTATATTGAAAGTGCTGCGCTTAGGTGTGCAAGCAGAAAGCAATTTGCTTCTTTCTTTCTTTCCTTCATCATGCCTCCCCTTTCCAGTGTAATACTTGAACTAGGTCCTATAGCTTATCTTGTCAGTTACATATGTAAACAGACTCTTATTTCTAGGAATTTTCTAAAGTACAGTAAAGCTTAACACTAAGACTTCAATTCTTTATTTATTCAATCCCCTTAGCTATTTATCTTCCTACTGAGGCCCCAAAACTGGAAGACAGAACTTTTTGGTTATATTATTTTAAGAAAACTCTAGCTCAGCTTTCTTTACGTTTTGATAAAACTTGAGTTTTTGTTTATTTAGTCCAGGCTGTCTTAGCTCTCTTTGCAGTGCAGTTCCAAGCATTTCAGCCAGAATTTAAAATTCGTGTCCAAAGGGAGGTTCAGACATCAATTTTCTTATATAACCAAAACTACTAGGCAAATTTTGCAAAGAAAATACTCAACATGCTCTCATCTAGTAGCAGAACAAGGTTGACCTTTAAAATTGTATAACTCAGCAAATAAAACTTGATGTCAGTGTCCCTTCTGATAAGCACACCAATCTCTTTAAGAGGCACCCTGTTGTTATCTTCATTTTAGTTTGGACCTGGGGTAACTGAAGAAATGGTGTTAGAAAAAAAGAGACAATGGGGGAGTACCTTCTACTAGCATGATGAAACCTCCCCAGATAGCTCCAAGATAGTCTTATGCTTCTTTATTCATAAACTGGAGATGGATAATGAGTGGTGATGTAGATAGAAAGATAGATAGATAGATAGATAGATAGATAGATAGATAGATAGATACACAGATACATAGATACATAGAGTGACCATATATTCACATTTCCTTGATATGGTATGTACTTACATTTGTACTGCCAGCCTTTTCTGTTGGGGATTTATTCAAACTTTTTCCTTTTAATTTATATTGGTATTAATAGTTGCACTTAAATCATCTGGGCTGAGAGAAAAAGAATTTCTTCCTTTGTACTTTCATCTTTTGCCATAATAATGCATGTGCAATTAACAGAATTTTGTCTTCACTATGTCGTTAAATCTTCTTTTTTCCTGGCACTATCTAAATCCAAGGCAGAGCACTGGTTGATAAAACTAGGTGTGCTCTGATTCCTGAGGCTAGGGAGAGCTAACTCCCATTTGTCATTATGGTGATACTAACCAATTGTGTCATGGCTTATACTCTGGTCTTTGAGACAGAAAACTCCAGGCCACCAGTCAGTGAGTTATAAGAAACATGGGTAATTTGGGATTAGATGTGCATAAAATATGTGCAGGAAATAGCAGCTGAGCAGAATTGCCATAGATCATATTTAAAGTAGTCTGAACAATCTGCTCCTGTGGTTTTGTCATTTATTGTACATATATTTATTTTATTATTTTGTCATTTTTTTCATTTAGCAATGAGCTCTTTTGGAAACAATGAGCACTAGGAAGCAAAAGCACATATTTAATGAAAATTTAAATACTGTATTTCTGCTACTTAAGAAAGATGTTGGAAAACAGTTAATTTTCACAAATTCTTTTTTGACATTTATCATTAACCATGAAACCATACTGATATGACTGGGTACATAAAAAAACAGATGACGCAAAGCTACTAAAACGTCAGCAACTACTTCAAAAGTTAGTATTTATTTTAGTGAAACTGCTCCTGAAAGTGACAAGTTACCACCTGCAGTAGCACAAGTTGTATTTGCATATCATCTTGGGAATATGACTTTTTATTAGCTTAAATTATTGTTGTTTTTATTTAACTTTGCTCATTTCAATTATGAGTTTCCTTTTGAGGGTAGAAAAAGTAAAATGTAGCTATCGATATGTTTTCCTAAATTAACAGAAAGGGCACTTACAAATAGATGATTTATGCTAGCTTTATATCAGTGCCATGTAACATTTCAAGTAGAAAATGAGTTAGAGTGATTTAAATAATGGTCTGATTTTAAAAATTAAATTTGAAATTGAACATTAATGTTTAGTCAAAAAGTCTAAAATTATCTTGAGGGAGATTTCAAATTTAAAAATTCATAATTAAATATAAAATAGTTTTTTATAGTGATTACACAAATAATTTTGGTAGAGCTCAGTCCTGTGTTAAAAATAAAGCTCTTGCAAAATTAATAAATGGATGAAACACAAATATACTTGGGTTTGATTGTGGTACACACATAATTAATAATTCCATTCAAATAAACCATAGCATTCTACCAATTGAAGTAGAAACTCTAAGTGTCTTAAATATGCTCATGAAGTTCAAGGAGAGAATGTACAAACAACTAAACAAAATCAGAAAAATAATATATGAACAAAATGAGAATATGCAGAACACTTTTCCAACCAACAACAGAACATGCATTTTCCTCAAGTGCACATGGAACAATCTTCAAGATAGAACATACAGTAGGCCACAGCAAAATTCTCAATTACTTTTAAAATATTGCAATCACACAAAGAAGCATCTCTGATTACAATGAAATGAAACTAAAAATCAATAGCAGAAGTAAAACTAGAAAATTGAAAATACGTGGAAATTAAATAATCCACTACTATTAAACAACCAGTGAATCAAAGCAGAAATCATAAAAGAAGTTAGAAAATATCTTGAGACAAACAAAAATGAAAACACAATTTACCAAAACTTATTGAATGCTGTGAAAGCAGTACTAACTAACAGGATAATTTAGAGCCATAAGCACTTACTTTAAACAAAAAGAAATAAATCAACCTGTGTTAGACCATTCTTGCACTGGTATGAAGAAATACCTGAGATGGGGTAATTTATAAGAAAAGAGGATTAATTGGCTTATGATTCTGCAGGAAGCATGATGGGATCTGCTCAGTTTCTGGGGAGGCCTCAGGAAACTTACAATTGTGGTTGAAGGCTAAGGGGGAGCAGGCACGTTACATGGCCAGAGCAAGAGCAAGAGAGTGAGGGGGGAGGTGCTACACACTTTTAAATGACCAGATCTCATGAGCACTCACTCACTATCATGAGAACAGTACAAAGGGGAAGGGTGCTAAGGCATTTATGAGAAATCTGCCCCCATGATCCAATCATCTCCAACAGGCCCCACCTCCTACATTGAGGATTACATTTCAGTGAGATTTGGGCAGGAACACACATCCAAACTATATCACAATCTTAACTTTACACTTTAAGGAGCTAGAGAAAGATGGACAAACTAAACCCAAAGCAAGCAGAAGGAAATAAATAATAAAAATAACAGCAGAAATAAACAAAATACAGAATAGTAAAACAATAGAGAAAATCAATGACACTAAAGATCAACAATTTTCTTTGTAAAAAGATCAACAAAATTGATAAACCTTTAGCTAGAGTGACTAAAAAAAAAGCAAGACTCAAATAACTAAGATAAAAATGAAGGAGGAACATTATACCCAATTTCACAGAAATAAAAAAATGATTATAACAGAATACTATGACCAATTCTATGCCAACAACTGGGTAACCACAATAAAATGGACAGATATTAACAAGGAGATTCAATCAGTAATCAAAAACTTCCCCAAAAGAAAAGCCCAGGACCATATGGCATTCCTGATGAATTCTACTAAATATTAAAGTAAGCATTGAAAAAAATCTTCAAACTCTTACAAAAATTGGAAGAGAACATTTCCAAACTCATTCTGTACAGCCAGCATTACTTAGATAGGAAAACCAATTAAGAGTGTTCCCTCCAAAAATTACAGACTAATTTGTCTGATGACCATTGTGATATCTTGGATGTTTGTTCCCTCCAAATCTCATGTTGATATGTGATTCCCCAGTTTTGAAGGTGGGGCCTAGTAAGAGGTGTTTAGATCATTGGGAAAGATCCCTCATGAATGGCTTGGTGCTGTTCTGACTCTATTAGTTCATTCAGGAGCTTGTTGTTTCAAAGGAGCCTGTAACCTCCTATTTTCTCTTGATTCCTATATCTCCATGTAATGCACCTGCTCACACAGCACCTTCAATCATGATTGGAAGTTTTTTGAGGTCCTCACTAGGAGCAGATATTGGTATCATGCTTTCTGTTCGTCCTGCAGAACCATGAGCCAAAATAAACCTCTTTTATTTATAAATTACCCAGCCTCAGGTATTCCTTTATGGCAATGCAAATGGACTAACACAAAATTGGTATGGAGGGGTGGGGTATTACTATAAACATACTTGAAAATGTGGCAGTGGCTTTGAACTGGGTAATGGGAAGAGGTTGGAAGAGTTTGGAGGGCTCAGAAGAAGACAGAAAGACAAAGGGTGGTTTGAAACTTCTTAGAGGCTTCTTAAGTGGTTGTGACCAAAATGCTGATAGAAACCTGGACAGTGAAGTCCAGGCTGATGAGGTCTCAAATGGAAATGAGAAACTTACTGGGAATGGGAGCAAAGATCACCCTCGTTATACTCTAGCACAAACCTTTGCTGCACTGTTTCGTGTCCTAATGATCTGTGGAAATCTGAACTTAAGAATGATGACTTAGGGCCTGGCACAGTGGCTCACACCTGTAATCCCAGCACTTTGGGGGGCTGAGGTGGGCGGATCACCTGAGATCAAGAGTTCAAGACCAGCCTGACCAACATGGAGAAACCCTGTCTCTACTAAAAATACAAAATTAGCCGGGCGTAATGGTGCATGCCTGTAATCCCAGCTACTCGGGAGGCTGAGGCAGGAGAATCGCTTGAACCCGGGAGGCAGAGGTTGCGGTGAGCCAAGATCATGCCATTGCACTCCAGCCTGGGCAATAAGAGCAAAACTCCGTCGAGCACACGCCTGTGCACACACACACACAATGACTTAGGACATTTGGTGGAAGAAATTTCGAAGCAGCAAAGCATTCAAGAGGTGCCATCACTGCTTCTAACAGCCTATGATTAGATATGGGAGCAAATAAATGGCTTAAAGTTGGAATTTATATTTAAAAGGGAAGCAGAGTGTAAAAATTTGGAAACTTGGCAGCTTGGTCATGTGCTAGAGAATGAAATATCATTTTCAGAGGAAGAATCTAAGCAGGCTATGGAGCAACCACTTGTTAGATTTGCATGACTGAAAGGGAGACTGCTTCCTACACTGCACTGCTCCAGCTCCAAAAGCAGCACAAAACGCCCCAGGTAGAGCTCAGGTGCCACTTTGACAGTGCAAGATACAAGCTTTGGTGGCCTCTATGAGGTAGTAAGTTTGCAGGAGTGAAAGAGGCCTGGCAGCTTCCACCTTGATTTCATAAGGATACATTGGAAACCCTGGATTCTCAAGAAGAAGACTGCTGCAGGGGCAGAATCCACACAGAGATACTCTACCAGGACAGTTCCAAGGGAAAACATGGGCTTGGAGCGCCCACACAGAATCCCCACCAGGGAACTGCCTGGTGGAGCTATGGAAATGGGGCAACTGCCATCCGGACCCCCGAATGGTAGAGCCACCAGTAACTTTCACCCTTAGCATGGAAAAGCCACAAGGGCAGAGCTGCCTAAGGCCTTGGGAGGCCACCCCCTGCACCAATGTGCTCTGAATGCCAGGCATGGAGTCAAAATTATTTTTCTGTTTTAAAGTTTAATGCCTGCCCTGTTGAATTTTAGACTTTTGGGGCCTGTTATCCCTTTCTTTTGGCCAATGTCTCCCTTTTTGGAATGGGAATGGTTACTCAATTCCTGTACCACCATTGTGTGGTGAAAGTAAATAACTTGATTTTGATTTTACAGGTTCATGCGGGGAAGGAATTTTCCTTCAGTCTTAGGTGAGACATTGGACTTTGGACTTTGGATTGAGTTGATGCTGGAAAGAGTTAAGACTTTGGAGACTATTGGGAAAGGATGATTATATTTTGCAATGTGGGAAGAACATAAGATCTGGGGGACCCAGGACAAAATAATATTGTTTGGATTTTTGTCCCCTCTAAGTCTTATGTTGATATGTGATTCCCCAATTTTGAAAGTGGGGTCTAGTGAGAGGTGTTCGGATCATGGGTGTAGATCCCTCATGAATGACTTGATGCTGTTCTCACTCTATTCATATGAAAGCTGATTGTTTAAAAGGACCCTGGCACTTGCTCGTCTCTCTCTCTCTTGCTTCTTCTCTCGCCATATGACACACCTGCTTTTCCTTCACCTTATGCCATGATTAGAAGCTTCCTGAGGCCCTCACCAGGAGAAGATTCCAGTGTCAAGCTTCCTGTACAGCTTTCAGAACTATGAGCCAAATAAACCTCTTATCTTTATAAATTACCCAGCCTTTATAGCAATGCAAACAAACTAACACAAGTATCAATGCAAAAGCATCAGTAAAATGCTAGAAAATTGAATTCAACAACAGATTAAAATAATTATATGGTATGGCCAAGTAGGCTTTATTCCGAGTGCAAGGATGATTCAACATATGAGAATCAAGGAAGATATTGCACCGCATTATCAGAATAAAACAAAACAAAACACGTTTATCTCAAGTGAAGAAGAAAAAGTATTTAACAAAATCAAATATGCTTTTATAAGAAAAACACTAAATGAACTGGGAATAGAAGAAAATTACAGCAACATAGTAGAGATAATCTATGCCAATCCCATAGCTAATATACTTAGAAGTAAAAGACTAAAATATTTTTTTCTAAGAACAGGAGACGACAAAGATACCCATTTTAGCCACTTCTCCTAAACATAGTACTGGGATTCCCAGCCAGAACAATTGGACAAAACAAAGAAATACAAATAAATTGAAATGAAAAAGAAAGAAACAAAATTATTTTCATTCATAGATGATATGTTCATATATGTAGAAAACTGTAATGATTTCATACACACACGGAAACACACACAAATTGTTAGAATGAATAAATTTATTTGTCAAAGTTGCAGAATAGGAAATCAACATGCAAAAATTAGTTGCATTTCTATACTCTAGATGTACTAATAATTAACAATTCAAAGAAATAAATTAAGAAAATAATTCTAATTATGCTAACAGCAAAAATAAATAAAATGCCAAAAAAAGTTAAGAGACAAAGTTATATACACTGAAAACTATAAAATGCTGCTAAAAAATTGAAGAAGAGACAAATAAATAGAAAGATATTCCATGTTTATAGATTGGAAGAGTTAATATTGTTAAGATTGTCCATACATCTCAAAGTGATCTACAGATTTAATGCAATACCCATGAAAATGTTATTGATTTTTTTGGCAAATATTATTAAAGCATATCCTAAAATTAATATGGATTCTCAAGGGTCCATATGAATCTTGAAAGTTTATATGAATTTGGACAAAATAAATTGAATTACAATTAAGTGACAATTTTTTTGTCTTGAATGGGCAAAATAATCTTCAAAAAAAGTTGGATGTCTCATACTACCCAATTTAAAAACTTACCACCCAGCTATAGTAATCAAAACAGTGTGGTACTGGTATAAAACCAAGTATGTAGAGCAATGATATAAAGTAGAGAACCCAAAATAAACTGTTAATTATATGGTAGTGATCTTTGATAAGGATGGCAAAATCCCTCAGTGAAGGTAGGGCAGTCTTTTCAAGAAATGATGCTCAGAAAGCTGTATATCCATATTTCATCCTTACATGACACAATTTACAACAATTAACTAAAAATGGATCAAATATTTAAATATAAGACCTAAAACTATAAAACTCTTAGGAGAAAATATACAGGAAAGCTTCACATCATTGAATTTGGCAATGCTTTTTTGGGATATAACACTAAAAGCATAAGCAACAAAAGTAAAAAATAGATACATTGAGCTACACTAATATTAAAAACTTCTGTACAAAAAAAGACAGACTTAAAAGAGTGAAAAGGCAACCTATGGAATGAGATACAATATTTACCAATCATATATCTGATATGGAGAGCTAATATCTAAAATATATCAACAACTCTTGTAACTCAACAACAAAAAACAAACAGCCCAATTAAAAATGAGCAAAGGACTTGAATAGATATTTTTCCAAAGAAGATATAGAAATGGCCATCATATACATGAAAAGATGCTCAGCACTATCAATTATTAGGGAAATGCAAATCAAAACAATAGTAAATAAGATATTACTTTTGACCCATTAGGATGAGTTCATGTTCTTTGCAGGGACATGGATGATACTGAAAACCATCATTCTTAGCAAACTAGCACAGGAACAGAAAACCAAACACCGCATGTTTTCACTCATAAGCGGGAGTAGAACAATGAGAACGCATGGACACAGGGAGGGGAACATCACACACGGGAGTCAGTCGGGGGTTGGGGGCTACGGGACAGATAATATTAGAAGAAATACCTAATGTAGATAGATGAGGGGTTGATGGGTGCAGCAAACCACCATGGCACGTGTATACCTATGTGACAAACCTGCACATTCTGCACATATATCCCAGAAATTAAAGTATAATAAAAAAAAACCTAAAACTAAAATAAAATAAAATAAAATAAAGGATGACTACTCTAAAAAATATCACAGGAAATATTTTATGATGTGCTTATTTCACATTGCATCCCTGTATCAAAACATCTCATGTATCCCATAAATATATATAACTATTATGTACCCAAAAACTTAAAAATAAGAAAAAACTTTTTAAAAAATCCCAGGAAATAAGAAGTGTTGGTGAGGATGTGGAGAAATTGGAACACTTGTGTACTGTTGGTAATGTGTAATAGTGAAACCACTATGGAAAACAATATGGCAGTGTATTAGTCTCTTTTCACACTGCCAATAAAGACATACCCCAGACTGGGCAATTTGCAAAAGGAAGAGGTTTATTGGACTTGCTGTTCCACATGGCTGGGGAGGCCTCACAGTCATGGCAGAAGGCAAGGCAGTGCAAGTCACATCTTACCTGAATGTCAGCAGGCAGGAAGAGAGCTTGTGCAGAGAAACTCCCGTTTTTAAAACCATCAGATCTCATGAGACCCATTCACTATCACAAGAACAGCACGGGAAAGACCGGCCCCCCTGATTCAATCATCTCCCACCGGGTCCCTTGCACAGCAGTTGGGAATTATGGGAGCTACAAAATGAGATTTGAGTGAGGACACAGAGCCAAACCATATCAGGCAGTTACTCAAATAATTGAAAATAGAATTACCATATAATTAAGCAATTCCACTTTTCGGTATATACCCAAAATAATGGATAGTAGGGCTACAAAGAAATGTTTGTACACTCATGTTTATAGTTGCATTATTTGCAATAGTAAAAAGGCAGAGCAGACCAAGTTTCTATTGACAGATGAATGGATAAACAAAATGTGGTACATATATGCATATCAATGAAAGTTATTCATTCTTGAAAAGAAGGACATCTTGATGCATGTTTCATTATGGATGTACCTTGAAGAATTTATGTTAGTGAAATAAACTGGCCACAGAGAGATAAATGTTGTATGATTCAACTAATATGAGGTACCTAGATTAATCAAATTCATACAGATAAAAAGTAGAATGATGGTTGCCAAAGTCTGGGAGGAGGAGGAAATGGGAAGCTTTTATTTAATGGCTATAGATTTTCAGTTTTGCAAGATAAACAAAATTGTAGATTGGTTTCACAACGATGTGAATATACTTAATAGTATTGGAAGCTGTGCACTCAAAAATGGTTAAGATGGTAAATTTTACATTATATGTATTTTATCGCAATTAAAGTAAATCTAAGAAGTTATACATCAATGTGCAGGTTTTCTCATTGCTGTCCATCATCAATTAGATTTTAGAAAAATTTGAGTCTTATAACAACTACTTACAAATCCACCAGATGTGAACTACATTGGAATTTATCATATTAATATTTATGTGCCGTAACTGAACCCTCTAAATTCTGCTTAATTCTTGTTTTAAAAATCAAAATCCGTTGGAATACATTAATCAAATATTTAAAAAATAAAATTATACCAAACTTTAGATTTTGGCAGTTTTATTGAACTGAGAACAAAGCTTGCATATGGGAAGTAATTTACATTAATTACAACAAAAATGAGAGTAAGAATTTAATAAATTAAAAAATGGGTGTTCAAATAATGTGTAAGATATAATTTTAAAATTTCTTAATTGTGCTTTGAAACATCTTGACTTGATTAAAAAATTCATTGAAGCTGTTACTGTGACTTGGTTCAATTCATATTTAATAACAGTAAAATGAAATTGATGAGGCCTGAGCTTGTAGCATCTAATTTTGAAACATCAAAAGTATGAATATGGAAATTATTTGATTAGTCTTGTATCAAAATATTTGAAGAAATGTACCCTAAATGGAGGAAAAGAAGCAGTACCTCTGAGAATAGTAAAGTTTTAATTTTCACGATTTAATATAGAAAAAATAGAACTGAGAATAATCTTTATTTAGAAGACTTTTCTCTGAGGTTACATTATTTTAGCCCCTGTAGAAAGAATGGTCTCTGAAATATAAATATTATAGTCTATATAGAAGAATCAAGGATTTAAGCAATTTCAAATTTTTGAACCTCAAAATGTACACATTCCTACCAATAGTATTATTAACTTTAATTGTTAACAGTCTTAGTGTGCTAAATTCTATCTCCATGGTAAGAAAAATGTACATTCTCACAGATTTAATCTATTTTTAAGTAAGTCATATCACTTTTAAAATTAAATTTTCAGATTTTTTACTGGTGGCAAATACATACAGACACATATAATGTGCGTGTGTATATATGTAATGAGCTGAAGATAAGATTCTTGAATTGCAGTTCTTTTTCCGCAATAAAATGTATATTTATTTCATACTTTTTAGTTGTGAAATTATATTTTAGGAGTCACAACTGGGCAAGAAACTACCAAAATATGCCTTAGTGGATCACCTGGGTGCCACACATATTCCTCTCTGTGCCCATTTTATAACCACAGCCCAACATGTCCATGCTAAGAAGACTCAATGACCCCTCCCAAGATGGTCATTCTTTTCCATCCATTCTGTTCCCTGGACACAAGGGTACTGGCATGCCCAGGCAACTGTCATAGCTGTTGGTTCCATGAGTCCTTTACAGTGTCTTCTGGTAACATGTGCCCACTTTGGGTAACAGCGGCGGACAATGACCCACCTATCAGCAGGAGGTTGTCCTTTTTGCCAGCTGAACACAAGTGAGCTATCTCCAATACCTCACCTGCTTTCTGAGAACACTCTCAGCATCAGATGTGGTAGCATCTTTCCATGAAGATGCTGAGATGGAGTTTGACCTGCAGGAATTTTTTGGTTTTTTGTTTGTTTGTTTTTTGAGAACTCCTTTGGAAAAGAGAGAAAGTAAGTAAGGTTGGATACACAAAGACACTGACTCATGTCAAAGGCCTGGCAGAAACTCTGCCAACCCTCTCTGGAGCTCTGGAAATACACACGGCCCATCAGAGTTGTCCAGAGTTGGACCAAAATGTTTGGGCCTTTATACCCCAATGTAGATTGGTCATTAGATGTGGACCACTCTGAGGAAGAGGTATTGTAGGTCACTGCTCCTGCAGCAGACCCTGAAGGGACTTATAGCTGGAACAATCAAAGGAAATCTAAGTGGTCCTACTGTGTGTCTATCATGGACAGTAGGGATCTGGCCTCCAAATGTCTCATTTTTTTCTCCAGTGTTTCAGGTTTTTATATTTTGTTCTGTCCTTTTGGATATTTTTCTCACTTGTTCTTCTAGGTCAATAATAAAGCTTTTAATAGTAGTCTACTGATTGCTTAATGGAAAAATCATGATTATTTTTAAACTCCAAAGTACATGTCGGAAGATACTTTTCTCCTAAGTGCTCTGATCATATTTTTACTCAAGTTTTCATTTAAAGCCTCAGCTGTTCTCTTTCACTGAGTCGATGTTGTGATCACTCTGCTTGATTTTCTACTTCCTGAGTGCTTGACCTCCCTGGATAGTTTGTCTTTCTGCTTTGTTAGCATATGGGGGCCTTCAGACTGGCTTCTGTCATATTCTAAATGGGAAGGGGAAGAAGCATGGGGCAGTGTAGAAAGAGGGATGTTGCCTCCCCGCCATCCTTCCCCCTTCCAAGGAACTATAAAGATGCTTTTTCCTTCTCAAGTACCTTAGACTCTCCTAATCAGAATCTGTCCATTCATATTGCAGTTTTCATCTTGCCCATTTTCTAAAACTGATGAACGTTACCTTTTTTTGATGTAAAAAAGTACAAAATATTGTTACGCTTTTTTTCCATCTATAGGCAGTTGGACACTATGTCAATTCATGGAAAAGCTACAAGAATTCTTCTGAAATTTCCTTTCACATCTCTAAGGCTCAGTTTCCTCTTCTGAGATTTTACTCCTTGAGGAAATTATTCCCTATACTGGTTATTGCTAAAACTACCTTCAAATAACTGCCTACACAAGAAAAAGAGACAGGTTTGATAGAAAACTACAATACAACATTGTTAGAAGAGGAAAGGTTCGGGAATCAACTTGAGTTTGAATTGCAGCTGTTTATTTACTATGTTTAAATGTTAGGTAAATAATTTAATTAAAATGGAATGCTATTCATTCTCTTTAAAAATGTTTAAAATCATCTTGAAAGTTAATTTTGTTGCTTAGGAAAGATTTTTATGTATACTAGTTAGTTGGTGGGGCTTGAACATGAATTCAGAACTGTCTGATTCCAAGAACCTATGAAAAATTATTTATAATGATGTCATTTACAGCTTTATGTAGCAGCAGCATTTCTCTGTTTCTTGTTTTTAATCAGTTTTTGCCTTCCTTCCATTCCTCCTTTCCTCTGTGTCCCTCTTTTTCTTCCTTGCTCCTTGTTTCAATGCATATTACAATTACCAACTCTATGTCAGCTACTGTGCTAACTGCTTGATATATAAGGTTGAGCAGAATCATCGTAATTTTATCCTTCAAAATATTTTACAGTCTACTAAGGAAAATCAAAAGTAAACAAGTAGAAAACTCAAAAATAAATAATTGCCGATTGTGATAGTACTATAAAAATAATGAACAGAAAAATAACAGGAGGGGATTTACCTTTGGGATATCAGACTCAGATCATGCCCTGCCCCAGATTTGCTTGAACCCACCTGCCTCCTGAGACCAGTTCTCTCCCTCCATAGAAAGCCCTGATAGTTGCTGGTGTTACACTATCTGCTAGTTGTGCAGGCTGCCTGGGCTTCCCCTGGGGTGAGATGTAGGCAGCAGCATGGCTTTCATTGTGCCTGGTGTGGGGAGTCCACAATAGCTCTGGCATCTAAAGCCCAGCCAGGCCAGGTCCATTCAGGCTCTTGCTTCTTCTACCCCTTCCAGATTCAAATAAAGCAGTGGGCCACAGAGTATGGAATGTGGCTTCCTAGTACCTACCTGAGAGGTAGTAACACAACCCAGAAATATGGGAGTCGTTGCCCAATGGGGCGATTCTTGACTAATGAAAGATAGGAGACCAGAAAGAGTCAACAGATTCCTTCCCTTCCTCCTCCAGAGACCTTCTTTGGAAGCACGAGGGTTCCAAGCTCTCTGCCTGAAGTATTTTGTGTGACAACATGCCTGATTGTGTTTGATTATGAGGCCTATTGATAACATGGTTTTGCTCTGTCTCTATCTTAACCTGGGATTTGAAAATAATAGAACTTGAGGTGATGTTGATGTGCTCACGCTTTATTAAGGACATAACCTCTGGTTAGCAAGAGTGAGAAAAAAAGGTAAGTATAGCAAGAAAAGGAGAAAGCAAACCAAGTTGGCACATTACCAAATGGCCACGGCCTCCCTGCAAACATAGCACCAGAATCTTATGGAATGGATCACGTGGATTAGAGAAGCCACATGGACACACTGTGTTTTGAAACAGTCTTAGGAAAAGCAAGGGAGAGATTTGTCAGGTGCTTTTCACCTCTTGTTTTTCATTGGTCTACTTTTGCCCAAGGGACAGTAACTTCCCCATATTATGGGTGGTGTTACTCAGTGCCTCCTATATCTGGGAAAGCCAGAGTCTTCATAAATTCAATAAGGTTAAACCTTTTCACTGGAAGTCCTGGCTCATGATAAAAAGGGGAAGACACAGGCCATACCAATGCCTGGCACTTATTCCAGATGAGAATGGGCCTGAAAGCAGTGTGAGGAGATATATTATCAGGAACTAGTGGCCAGATCTCTGCATTAAGAAAGTGGTAAAGGAAATTGCTATGGCCATATACTTGGTCTGGTCTACCCTTCTTTCCTGCCTTGCTTTGCTTTCACTCTTTCTTGATGTCCTGGAATGAAAACCCCAATGATGTATTAGTATATAAGCTTTGGTGTTTCTGTGTTTTTCTAGGCAACTTGAGTACAATAGGCAGCCACAAATATCATCCTTGCTAGCCAGGAATGACAAGGAGCAAGCCACATGAGGAGTCAGAAAAGATTATTCCAGGCAGGTAAGTGATCCCCCAATACTCTTACACACAATAAATATACTTTCTTTATTTCAGTAATGCCTGAACTTGTTTTAATCCCTTGCATGCTCTAAAAGTTAACTCATTATCAACCTTTATGATTTAGTATTTTTATTTTATACTTCGAGATCTTTCCATATTAACACTCGATCACTCATTGCCTCAACAAAGCATTGGCCTGACTGCAGTCATTACTCTTACATTATTAAGATGCTTGATAATGAAAGAGTGAGAATAAATACACTGATGAGGAACTAGCTCAAAATGGGGCCAATCATTGGGTAAAGGCATGATTGGACATTGTGGTTTTTGGAATGAAAATCTGACAGCCTCATTTCTAATTCTGTCCATACTCTAAGGAACCCATAGATCTTGAGCATGGAACTCAACATCCTAAGCATGGAAGGCAAGAGAACATGGCTCTCAGATCTGCAACTGCAGGAAGCCCAACTGACAGATGCGCCCCTCTGCCAAGCTCTGAAATCTACCCCCACATTCATACTGAGGTCACATCTCCAGGCTGATCATAGCCAAAAACTGAATGTGGAAGGGATGCAAGGACAGACATGCTCCTGGGAACTGAATGCTTACTTTGAGGCACAACTTTGGCTCATGATCTCCTTATAGGCTCTACTAAAACTTACTAAGAATTGCACAGTCTATGACTTTTCTTACCCAGTCTCTTGTCCTTCTCTCCCATCCACAGGGCTGAGATCTGCATTATGGTCTGGAGGCTGCCCCAGTCTCTCCTTTACCTCCATATTTTTCTCACAGGTAATTTCTTATCTTGCATATATAATTCTATCTTACATCTATTGCTTATAGGACCAGAATTAACGTATTTGGGCTTGAACTTCCTCATCTGTGAAATGTGACTATAATTATAACAGCTAAATTCTCAAGATTAACCTCTTAGCTTTCAGGACTGCTTATGTTTCATAAATGTAGTTATTTTGAGAATATTTATGTATAATATTTATAACAGGAAAGAAAAGTAAGTAAACAAGTTTGTGCCAAAACTCTACATCAATTCAATAGCTTTGTGAATAGAGTGATTAGAAAAACACAATTAGACTATTGAAAGTTGAGAAAAATTATCTAAAATTGTGGTACCTAAACCATACTAGGAAGGAAGCATCATTGTCTACAAGTTAGTAATTATGGGTAAATCACTCAGAAAAGTGTCTAGCATAAAAACAACTTAATAAATGTTCACTATTATTATTTTGTTTCACTTGTTACCACTTCTGTAAGCTGACCTTCAAATGGGTAAAGTTAGCAGCCATGACATGAACAATATCTAAACAAGTTGGCATGGGCTATATTCCAAAAAAGTCTTATTTATGGTCACAGAAATTTTAATTTTATATAATTTTAACACATCACAAAGTATTCCTATTCTTGTAATTTTTTCTCATTGTTTAAAAATGTTAGCAAATGCAGGTCAACAAAAGATATTGCCAAACCATACTATGTTATACCTGGATTGAAACTCAGGGATGGGTATAGGTGAAAAAAAAAAAATAAGTGTGGGTTAGGGGAAAAGGAAAAGAATAGAGTAAGACAGAGAGAGAGAGAGCTATAAAGACTTTCATCTTTAGCTTTGCACCTTGTGGAATAGTGGTCTTGGTCCATTTGTGTTGCTACAAAGGAATACCTGAGATTGATTAATTTATAAAGGAAAAGTTGTATTTGTCTCATGATTCTGCTGGCTGAAAATCTGGCATCTGGTGAAAACCTGAGGCTGCTTTCACTCATGTAAGAAGGTGAAAGTGAAGGGGAGCCAGTGCAGGGAGAGATCACTTGGTGAGAGAGAAAACAAGAGAGAGGGAAGGAGGCACCAGGCTCTTTTTAACAACCAGCTCTTGTGGGAACTAATAAGAATGGGAACTCACTCATCCTCCCTCAGGAGGGCATTCATCTATTCATGAGGGGTCCACATCATGATCCCATTAGGCCATGTCTTCAACACTGGAGATCAGATTTCAACGTGAGATTTGGAGGGGCCAGATATCCATACTGTAGCATGGTCCAAGCCAAATAGATCTAAAGACAAGGTAAGGTAACATAACTCTAGCTAATATTTTGGACACATGGACACACAAGAAGAATTGATCCTTTAATTCTGTTACTAACTTGAGGTAGTCTAGATCAAGGATCAGCAAACTACAGACAATGGACAAAATCCAGCCTACCACCTGCTTTTGTATGTTCTGCAAGCTAAGAATGTTTTTATATCTTAAAATTGTTGAATAATATTTTGTGACATGTGAAAATTAAATGAAATTCAAATTTCCATGATTATACATAAAGTTTTACTGGAACACAGCCACGCCAATTTGCAGACATGTTGCTTTTGGCTGCTTTCTGGCTACAAGACAGTCAAGTAGTTGTAACAGAGACCACATTGCCAAAAAAACCTAAAATATTTACAATGAGGCCTTCTACAGAAAATGTTTTGCATCTCCTGGTTAATATCCATACTCCAATATCACATTTTGGGGGATCCACATTCTGGTTTGTAATTTTCAAAAACTTTGGACACAAGTGACCCATTTCTAATGTTCAAGGAGAGGCTTTGATGGGAAGTGCTGACCCTCCTTTCTGAAGAGTGATATTAATAAAATTGTTTCAGTCAGCCAGTCTAGGAACAGGCAATCTCCTGTCTGCCACATGTGCCAAGTTAATAAGCCTCCAAGAAGGTTACATTGCAGGTCTTGCTTTGTGCCTGGAACATCTTGGTAATTATCAAACAGCTTCATTAAACACACTGGTTCCCTATACTGTACTTCAGGCTTTGTTTTAGTTATATTTTTCCATTCTCTAAATAGATCTGTGTATTCATTGCTTTGTCTTATTATGTTGAATGTTACACTGAACTGTACCTAGACACTAACAGCTGAACAGCAGAATGGGACAAGCAGATTTAAAAAATATATATATCCAACAAATTTTTTTCTAAGGTACTGTGGAATCTGCATTCAACTCATTGATATATCCTGAAGTAGGCTTTCTATTGGCTTATTTCTAAGAATGTGTTGTCTTTCCTGATTTCAGCATTCAATTATTTTCTCTTTTTTTTCTTTTGAACTTTTTGGTGATTTTTTGGGTAAGTCCCTTTCTTGTTCTTTATAAAAGAGAAAAAATAGAACATTGAAGAAAAAGAACAGAATTTTAACTAACACTTCTTATGCTTAAACTAAGTAAGGTGAAAGAAAGGAAGCTTGGAATAATCCAATTTTCTCTTATAACTGGTATGGGCACTCACCCTTACAGTTATTTAAGCTTAAATGCAAGTGTTTATATTTTGCTTGTTTTAGTTTACATCTTATCATTTATAGGAGGCTGTGTAATGCACCCTAAGTAAAGACATCATTTGCATAGCTCACAGTCAAATGGAGACTCAGTGAGTATTATGAAATATCAAATTAGAGAAATCATGTAAAAATAACTTCCCTCTGCCTCAATCTCAGCTGCATTTCATCTTGCCCTACATTTTTGTGGACCTGTATATGCAGATAAATGTATGACTTCACAAGTTTGCTTGAAGTGTATGAGAAAGACAAAGCTTTACACTTATGGAGCTAACAAGATCCTGAAACACTTTGACATCAGTTGCTTTGGCAACTTTAGGCTGAATCAATTCATTACACCCTGATATTAGTTGACATCCTGTGTGGATATTTTATGGGAGGGGGATGGTCCACAAACTGACATAGTCCTGACCCAGAAAATTCTCTGGGAACAAGAATTCCACTTGGATCCATCCATTGCTATTTTTCTCAGCCTCAGGAGTGAATGTGTTGACATGTACATGCTTGTTCACCCTGCCAGCATTTACTAAGCACCAGCTATAAGTTAAGATCACAGACATAAAGATGAATTAAGACATCTTTAATTTTCCCATGGTGTTTCATGTCTAGTACAGAGATGACTTATAAGTCCTGCTACAAGGGGATATTACACAGGCTCTGAAAGATCTGCATACAAGTTTTGCCCACATACATATGAAGAAAGAAAGACTTCTTAGAGAAGAGAATACTCATGCTTAGAACCTAGAGATGTGTGGGAGTAACCAGGAGAACAAGGACATATCATTCCAGAGAGATGGGGATGGATGGTAGCTGGTCGCTGAAGATCTTTCCCCTGCCTTCCCCACATCCATAGTCATACCTCACAGTATTCCTGTCCTTGTGTAATCCCCAACCATTGGGTCTGGACTTGCTCTTGGATTTACTCTTGGTTAATAGAATGTGGCAGAATTGTTGCTGTGTGACTTCTGAGGCTTGATCCTAAGAAATCTATGGCTTTCTTCTGGGCCTCTTTGAACTCTTGGCTTTTAGATGTTCCCTCTTGAAAGCCACCTCAGAATTGCACCTACCTGAGCCCCTCATGTTGTGAGAATCCTGAGCCATTGGGAAGACTCTGGAGAGTGAGACATCACACTGAGTAGGAGAGGCCAAGAGCCTCAGTGTGAGGCCCCAGGTGTGCATGAAGAAGCTGTCTTGAAAGTATGTCTTCCAGCTCCTTCCACCTTAGCTGAAGCATGGAATTGGGCCCTTCCTAAATTAATAATCCTCAAAAATATGAGCAAAATAAATGATTATTAAAAGCCCCAATGTTTTGAGGGTGGTTTCACATAGCAATGAACAACCAAAATAGAGGGTATATGTGCAAAAGTGTTGAGTATGCAGGGTGTATGTTTCAAAAAAATTATGACCTGGAAGTAGCAGGTAGTTCAATAGATTTTCATGGTCGGAGAAAGAATGCTAGCCGGAATATACTGGTATTGGAACATTTACAGCTACAAGTGTGGAAACACTAGCTCGATCTGAGTTCAGAGGTAAAGCTGACTCCAATCATGAATGAGACAAATTATTCAAATGAGGTCATGAAGTCTTTTTCTGATTCCTTTTCTACCTCCTCCTCCTCCTGCTGCTGTTGTTGTTGTTCTTCTTCTTCTTCTTCTTTTTCTTCTTCTTCTTCCTCTTCTTCTTCTTCTTCTTCTTCTTCTTCTTCTTCTTCTTCTTCTTCTTCTTCTTCTTCTTCCTCTTCCTCTTCCTCTTCTTCTTCTTCTTCTTCTTCTTCTTCTTCTTCTTTTCTCTCTCTGTCTCTCTCTCTCTCTGTCTCTCTCTCTTTCTCTCTCTTTCTCTCTCTTTCTCCTGATCATTCTTTTCTACATACTGGAGAAGATGACAATAAGTAGCTTCAAAATTACACTTTTTTAGCTTTATAATCTTTTTAATTCTAGTTCCAAACTGAGTAACCCAACAGTAGGTCTCGCTGACTGGATATGGTTCATGTGCCCAGCCCTGGATCAAACACTCTGGTTAGTAAAACGAGCTGTTGCAATTCACTAGGTTAAAGTCAACTTTTCTCCCCAGAAGTGGTGGATGCTGTGGGTAGCATTTCCACACAAATCAAATTAATAAAGCAAGGAAGAAGCCATTTCCCCAGGGAACAGAGGATGTTAGACAATAGCTGTTCACTGCAGGGAAAATAGCAGGAAGTAAATATATTTTAGTAGATGTTTTTTGTGGACAGTGTTATATTTGAGGTGCGGGTAAAGCCAGAATTTTTCCAAAGACTGATGTATATTGTTGTATAGCCACTTTAGTATGTCATTGATTAGATGTTCTTTCTTGGTTATATAGCCTGCCAAAGCCATGTGCATTGTTTTATTTAATTATTTGGCCTTACTTTGTTATACTAAAAAAAAGTTACAATGTTTTTCTCTTAGGAGGAAAATATTGATACATTATAAACATTGCATTTGCTTCCAATTGTACAGATGATTTTGCATCAATAAAACCATATTCTCTCATATGGCCTATTTGCTACTCAGTGACACATTGTTTCAAGATGCTGAGTAAAGGAGGTTCATCTATAGCTATAGTATCTTCCTGCCTTCATTCACTCATTCACTAAATATTTAATAAAATCTTTTTTTCCTGGACTACATAGATGAAATAAAGAAAGAAAGTAAAGAAGGAAAGAGGTAATTGGCTTTGAGTTTTCCAGTAGCCATAAAAAATGAAGATGAATGCAGAAAGATGATCAGTTCTATCTGCTTTGATTTTCCATGAAAGAAAACATAAAATTGAAGCTTCTTTAGCAATTAACTAAAAAAAAGACTTTTCTCATACAAAGGTTCATATAGAAGACACACTTAAAAGAGAGGTAAATAATTATGTTTTTAATTACATCTTTCCTATAGAAAAAAATCTAGAAGTTTTCTGAAACAAATAAGAAACAACTGCTACACTCAATCACTTACCCAATAGTATATGAAAGAAGTATAATCATGAATAATGGTGATGTTTCGGATGTGGTTGTTCTGTAGTGGATATACCCAGGGTGTTATCAAAACAAAGTGGGTGTTTTGCTAACAAATCTGGGTCTCAATGGCTTTATTCTCCTCAGGGGCCTATACATATTATGGAAGTTTGGCCACTCTGTTGTCAGATACACTGGAAGCAACTCAAGAGCAGATATGGACTGGGAAGTCCATCAAGGCTGTTAGACATCCATTCATTGACTGTAGATAGAGCAGCAGGGGCAGCAGAAAGTCTTGTGGGAACAGAAGATGTGGGTGCCTAAGTTAGGATGCCTTCTTAAAAGCTGATTTCTTCCCAGCTGCCTTGGCCTGGCTTTTAAAACACAAATTAAGGGAAGTGAGATAAAATGTTATTTCAAGGATTTCCTCCAGTCAAGAGGAAATTGACATTTTTTTCCATGTTAATTTGTTAGTCTCATTGACAGCTATCAGAAATATTATTCAGTGTCACTACACTGTATCTAGTAGGGTTAGGAAAAAAAAAACAAAAGGAATATGAATCATTCTTGACAGTAATAAAGAGCTAATTAAGATGTGAGGCCAGGTGCGGTGGCTTAGGCCTGTAATCCCAGCACTTTCGGAGGCCGAGCCGGGCAGATCACCTGAGGTCAGGAGTTCGAGACCAGCGTGGCCAACATGGTGAAACCCCATCTCTACTAAAAATACGAAAATTAGCCGGGCGTGGTGGCAGGCACCTGTAATCCCAGCTACTCGGGAGGCTGAGGCAGGAGAATCGCTGGAACCGGGGAGGCAGAGGATGCAGGGAGCGGAGATCGTGCCATTGCCCTCCAGCCTGGGTGACAGAGTGAGACTCTGTCTCAAAAAAAAAGAAAAAAGAAAGAAAATGTGCACATGCACAAGGAGAAGTATCAAGTATCAGGTAGTAGTTAGGAGAACAGAACCTGAGGGCAGACAAACTGGATGGGTGTGAATCCTGACACCACTATTTACTAATTCTTTCATCTTGAAAAAGTTACTGAATTTCTCTGTGCCTCTGTGTCCTCATTTGTAAAATACAGATAATTTTACGTACTTCATGAAAATGTTGAAAAGATTTAAAGAATTCACATAAAGTACGCGGAACAGCAACCGGCACGCAGGTCAAAAAATACATATGTTAATTTCCATTTTTTTTTTTGTTTATGTAGCTTATTAACAACAGCAGTATTTTAGGTAACTTCTCTTCTGATACCGATTATCTCTATTTTCTGACTATCACTATTCTCCCTCTTTCTTCCTCTATCTAAACTACCAATCTGCTTATCTTTACACATCAATATATAAGCTCCCAAATCTCATAGGTTTGAAAACTTAGGCACAAAGAACTTTCAGCATCTCTGCCAGCAATTATTTCAAATTGTTCAGAATAATATCAATTAAACTTATGATGTGGTTAATTTCACTAACTGAGACTAAAGACACAGGCTAAATGTGTCATGAGATATATTTTTCTTTAAAATCAGTGTTTCAAAGGTCATCAGCAGCCCCCTTGCTCACTAGGCTGTTTTTTTTTTTTTTTTTTTTTTTTTTTTTACAATGTGTACTTATTATTTTGAAGGAGTTGGTCTTACGGAATTCACAAATACTGTATGCCATTGTATCACGTCAAGCAGTCCTTCTCATAAGGTAAGGAAATGAAAAAATTAAAATCTCATTTAGAACATTTTTAGTTTACACAAATCAAGTACCTGAAACCTCCACGTTATGAAACATACTGGTATGGGACATTGTTTAAGAGCATAGGCTTTGTAGCCAGTATGCACAGGAATGAAGATGGCTTGGAAACTTATTAGCAGTGTGATCTATAGCAAGTTAACAACACTCTCTTTGCCTAGTTTCCTTGTCTGTAAAATGAGGTACTAACAGTTTCCATCTCATAAGGTGGTTGTGAGGATTAAATTAGTTAATAAATGAAAGGCACTTAGAAAAAGCATTTGACATCTACAAAGAAATTCATCTTTGCAATAATTTTTCTGCTCAAAAATCCCTATCAGTGAAGTTAAATACAATCATTTATTTAGCCGTGCACTACAGGACTGCAGCTCCCACCAGGCTTCTTTTGTGCCTCTATCTTACTTTTTTATTCCAGCCAGCTGAACCCTTTTAAGGCCCTCCAGTATGGTGACATCTTTCTACTCTTGTGGTTTTAGTGTTGGCAGAGTTTGTTGCCTGAAAGCCTTCCTCTGGTTACTTTTTCCTTGCAGGCTCAGATCTCAGCTGAATGTCAGCAACTCAAAGCAGAGTCTCCTGACCCCCGTGTTCCCTCACCACAATGCCATGATGCCTCACTCGAAGGCCTTGCTTCCTTCACAGCATGTATCCCAGTGCACAGTTATTTTATTATTTGTTTATTTTATTTCTTCTGCTTCCCTAGTAAATTATAAGCCCCATGAAGTTAGAAAACTTTTCTGCCCTTTACACAACTTTTCAAAAACGAATAGATACAAGCCAAGTATAAGTTATGAGATTAAATAGAACCTGACTATATTATTTTTTCCTTAAATATCAAACTTTTCTAGACTCCGACATTACATCATTTTTTAATCCACTGCCCTGAAAGTTTTACGTAAGAGTGGCATAACCCACTTCAGGGTCTCTGAGCACATCAATTTAGTTGCATAATACATAGATTCCTAAAATCTTAGAGTCTAAAAGGATCTAAGAAGTCTCATAGATCAATGTGCCCATATTACTGATGAGAAAGCAGAGTCTTGCAGAGGAAGCATGGCTTGTCTCATACCTTACACTTTATTAGGGACAACATTAGGAAAAAAGTTACGTCTTCTTTCTCCTTGTCCAGTGTTTTTTCCAAAGCATTAGAGTGTTTTAAAATATCTTTTTCACAGTTCACTTTCTTTTAATGTTTTAAGTCAGAATGACTGCATTAACCGCCTACTCTGTCTACCTAACCATTTCACTTCAGAGATACGTGAGAGAGGTTCCTACTATTGAAAAACATGTGTCTGATAGAAACAAAATTTTCTATGATAATCACAGTTTATCATTATAGGGACAACTATGCAAAGTAAAAGCAATAGCTCTCTGTTGAGTGTTTACTATGAACCCAGTCTTGCTCTCAGTGTGTTGTATGAGTTAACTCATGGAATTGTCACAACTCTATGCAATAGGTACTATCACTAGGTCCATTTCACAAATGCAGAAACTGAGGCACTGCTTGAGCAACATTGCCAAGGTTCTCCAGTAGAGCAGGGATTTAAACCGTTGTCTCTCCAGAGAGCACCCTCTTAACTACAGTGTTGTCATACCCTACACAATTCAGAGGAGAATGGGGTTTGGTAAAGAGGGGAGACTTCTTAAAGAATATTGATTTGGACTGGGCTTTGAGGGACCTGATAGATCCTTGGAATTTAGCCAATCTTCCCCCTACAATGATATCTCACAGTAGAACATTGTGACAGAGAGTTTCTTTCTTATGTTTCCTGTACATGTTCATGCTCATGTTTAGCAAATTTGGAGTGGCCTCTTTATTCTTATTCATCCATCTACTTCTGTTGTCAGATCAGATTTTATGGTGGTAGCCCAAAACATTTCTTTCGCAGGATATTAAAGATTGGCACCAGAGTATGCCTGTGACTTGTTCTGATTTCTGGTGTGAAGCCATGTTTATCCACTACACCAGACAACTAGCTCATAGCCATTGTTTTATTTAGCCCTCAGTTTTCATGGTGGCCCTCAGTGATGGTTGGAGAGTCAAGGTAAATCTCACGCCCATGTTTCCTACTGCATGCAGGTCACACATCATTCAGTGCACATGAACTCATTTCTTATGGCTAATTTTATACATCAACTTGACTGGGACACAAAATGTGCCCTTTTTTATCTGGCCTGACTGATTGAGCCAAACATCTCATTTCATCCTCTCCTGTCCTCATGCCACAGGATTCTTTAGGTGCCACTTCACCAGCTGGAAACCTCTATGGCCAGTGGTGCCTCTGCTTGAGTTTCACTGGTGCATGCTGGGCTTGCTTCACCTACTCAGCCCAGGAGGCTGCACTCAGCTTGCACTACCGGCCTGGATCCCATGCCCATCAATGGCAAGCTAGGTACAGTGGGCGAAGAGTGTGTGAATGAGCAAGTGTGAGGTTCGGCCACAGTGCACAGCCCTGCACTCCAGCTGCTGTGGCGGTGTGGGCAGCTCCAGGCAGTGGTGCACACACAAGCTCCATGTGAGGCTCTTGCTGGATCAGGCACACCTCAAGCGTCTTCTGCTGTGGGCACCAGCATCTGGACAAGGGGAAGGTGGTGGTGCCCAAAAACTCAAAGATGCTAGCAACCTTGAAGCCCCAAGGGAGTTTTACAGCATGTCACAGTTCTGGCTCAGGGATTCCTGAGGTCCGGGCCCCCAGAAGAGTGGCAGCTCTTCCCCCATAGTCCAGCTAACAGGAACATGTCACTGCCTGCATTTCAGCAGGCCAGCCAGGAACGTGTTTCATCTTGTTCATGTTATAGGTCATTCAGTCCCACCACCACACTCCAGCCCATGGCTCCTGGGCTGGTCCAGCAGCGTGGCCACTCCCTGTCATGGGGGGCAGCTGCTGGAGGGCAGGAAGACTACAGTGTTACAGCTCCTATGGCACCTGCCATTCGTGGATCCTGGGTTCTTGTCCCATGTACAAGAAGAATGAAGTTACATGGACAACCAAAGAGTGAGCAAGGCAGAGAAGAGTTTTATTGAGCAACAGAACAGCTGTCAGTAGAGAGGGGACCCAAAGTGGGTAGCCCCTACCTGAAGACTGGTAGTTCCAATGTATGACTGAGTCTGGAGTTTTTATGGGCTCAGATGGGGGAGTGCATGCTGATTGGTCCATAGGCAGGCCTGGAAAAAGCATCATTTGATTGGCTAAAAGGCATGGAGGAAGTTCTCACTCCAGATTGTGGACTCTACTCAGAGCTGGCAGTTTTCAGGATTCAGGCTGTCTTTTTCCCTGAAGGTTGGGTTTCAGTGGAAACTTGCCCCTTTCTGCCTAAACATTTGTCTGCCCTCTGCTGCTGTCACTTGGGCAAAGATTTATACCATCATCTAACCTGGTTTTCAGGACTTCAGACTTGGATTGAATTATACCACCAGCTTTCCTGGATCTCCAGCTTACAAACAGCAGACAGATACCTAGACTTGCAAAGCTCCATAATCATACGAGTCAATTCCTCATTTAAAAAAAAATCTATCTATCTACCTATCTATCTATCTATCTATCTATCTATCTATCTATCTATCTATTTATCTATCTACCATCTATCAATCATGTATCCAATCTCCAATTTCTCTGGAGAACCCTGAATGTGTCCTGGAACCTTCTCCCTGTTTCAGAAGCCAAACAAAACCTAAGCATAAGCTCTTGTTCACCTCCAACACTTCCATTCCTTTTACAGTTCATTGAGATGCAGATCATCACAAATTTATTTTCTTTTAATAACTTATGTAGGTTTGTAATAGAGGAGAGGTATTAAGTCAGATTTCTCATAAAAAACCTTCTTCCATCTTGGCTAAAATTTACATAATTTTAATTTATAGGGTACAATGACTTTTTTCCACAGGCTTGGCCTCAGTTAATCATAAGGAACTGGTAGATTAGATATTACTATTTTAAACTTACAAATGAAGAAAGTGACTCAGAGATTTTATGATTAAGCTTATAGAGAGGTAGGGCTGGGGCTTGAATATGTCTCCTCTTCCAATTAAGCTTAAGTTAGAGTGGCCAGGAGCAAGGAGTAGGAAGTAAGATAATGGGGAATTGCATTCAGACTCCACTGCTTATTATTGTGAGACCATGGGCATTCCCACTCAGCACTTCAGTTTGGTCATCTGCAAAATGGAGTAATTACATTTACAACAAACCATTGCTTATGTGACACATTTACACAATTAAAGTATATTAACAATCTGAAATGACTTGTGAAATGCTCTTTAAGCTAATATCTACTTTCTGTTCATATTCCAGAATTGAGTAAATTCTCCATTGCCTTTCATTGGCTCAGAAATAGTCAAATTGGTTCAGGAACCTGGCAAGTGCAGAATTATGTCATGACTGGATTTGGGGTCATAGAGATTATTTTATTGTCAAGGGTGACATTATTCTCTCCCCTGATTTCCCATAAGATTTTGTGAAAGCTTATCATATTTTATATTACTAATAAGTCTTCAATTTACCATGCGGGCAAAGATTCAGTGGTGCATGTTATCCTGTAAGCTCCTCTTGTTTCTCAGCTAACAGTGCCAAACAAGCCTAGTATATATTTTTGGTGGTCATTAATGGTACTCACTTTTGTGTTTTTGAAGGACTGCCTGTAAACAGTGTTTTTAAATTTTAACATGTATGGGAATCACTGGAAGCTCGTATTAAAATGCAGGCTCTGATTCATAGGTTTGGAATGAGATTCTGCATTTCTAATAAGAGCCCAAATGATGCCAGTGCTGCTGGCCTATAGATCAAACTTTGAGTAACAAGACTCTAATGATTCCTTAAGCTGACTAAGAACTTTAAAAACATAGACATTCTTGAGCCCTACTTTTAGAGATTATGATTCACTCAGACTGGGACCAGATGTCTATAATTTAAAAATATCTGCACAGGTAATTCTAATAATATGTCTTGTTTTGGAACTGGCAAAATATATTCCAATTATAAATGTTTTGATTAATCTGGGTCCAGTCTACCTTTGCAGCCTACCCTCTACACCTTGTTCTTAGTCTATGCTGCAAGGATATCAAATTACTTATAATTCTTTGAATATACTCTCACTTCATGGGCGATTTCCTTTGATTAACAATATTATATTTCACTCTGTTTGTTGGAGAAATAACTGTTTATTCTTAAATAGCCACTATCACCTCCTCCAGGGAACCTTCCCTGATGTTCTAGCCTGGTGGTTCTCAAATAGAAGCAATTTTGTTTTTCTCCCACCTTAGGAATATTTAATAACTTCTGGAGACATTTTTGGTTGTCACAACTTAGGGGAGGGAGGTTGCTGGCATCTGGTAGGTAGAAAACAGTTAAATATTCTACAATATATAGAACAGCCCCCCGACAACCAAGAATTATCTAGCCACAAACATCAATATTACTAAGGTTGAGAAACCCTGCTGTAGGCTGAGTTAGACTCCTCTCTTTTAAGTTCTGCCTGATTGCTTCTATTCTGTTACTTATCACACTTAATTCTTTGTTGTCTGTTTTTATTTTTGCCCAGTAGCATGTTAGGTCCTAGGATGAGGGAGAAATTGTTCCTTTGATCTCTATTTTCTCACAGTGGATATTGTGTGTGTGTGTGTTTGTGTATGTGTGTGCATGTGTATGCAAGTGTGTATATGTGTGTGCATGTGTGTGTACGATTTATATATATATAAATATATATTATTGTGTATAACTATTTTCTAAATAAAGGGGTAAATAGATCCTTGAATTTACAAATAAACTCATATGCAGTGTTTTGTGGTGTGTAGATGGGCTAACCCAAGCATTTAGACAGATTCATGGACTCCGGCTGGGGTGAGATGTTACTCTGTCTTGAAAGGCATAATATCAAGTCATCAATCACCAACCATAGAGTTAACCTCCTGAGAAAAAAAAAAAAACTTTATCATTTGCCAATTGGAAAGAATACAATTGACTTGAACCAGCTGGCTTTGGCCTCTCTGAAAGGCTGTGACCCATTTAATCAGTTTGGAATGCATCCCTAACTTTGAAGGTAGATCAGGAAGGATGGCAAGCATGAACTAAGTCAACTAGGCCCACAATCTCCCATTTAAAGTATTTGATGTAAGAGACACAATGATTAAAAAAGTAAAAGCTATGTGACTGGGGTCAAGGGTAAGAGTAGGAAGATGGGTTATTCTTTCTGATTTCAAAAACTGACAAACAGTGTTTAGTTTGGAAAGACCTGAAAACCCTCACATAACTCAGCCTGTGCTCCATTTCATCAGAAGTGTAGGGAAATAATGAAGTCTGCAGTTCCTGCTTTCTGTCTGTCATCTAAGCCATTCCAGGGATAATAATCCTGGGTAGTGTCTTTCAGCTGGAGCCATTTCCCTGGAGAGATGGAGTTATTGCAAGCTTATATGCTTTCTCTTACCTGGTTTTGATTTTCCCTCTTCCTAATGCAATTTCACTGATCTCTTGGAAATGAGACAAACAAGCGAAGCTCTTTGCTACTCATACTTTCTAAACTTGCTCCATAAATTGTCCTGCTATGCCCTGTGTAAAACTCAGGTCTAGGAGATTGGAAATGGCCTCTTACATTTGTAGGAGATATTCCTTCTGAAGTGCACATATGACTTGTTTTATTTTATTTTCACTTTAGCATAGCGATTCACTTATCTTTCCATTGCTCCAAATGCCAACCCCTCCATAATCTTAATTTCAAGTATCCTTTCTCTCTTCTTGCCTTTAGTGTTCATTCCCTTTGATAACCCCATTCAATATTTCCTGAAGCTCATTAAAATTTAGAATTCATTGACACTCCCTTTTACTCTCACCCTTCTCTTCTTGACCTCACTTAATCAGCATTGATTCCAAGGTCTGTTTCTTATCCCCCTCTGATACCCTTCCATCCCTCCACAGTTCTCTCTTTATTGTATTAGCTGGTGTAAACACCAACTCTGCTTAATTCTAACACTCTTCCCTTTCTAGATATGTACCTGAATAGCTGAAATAACCTTCCTTCTCCTCCATCTAGCCACACACACACACACACACACACACACACACACGCATATATTAATGTTTACTAGTTTTCCTTCAAATTTACGACCACCTTGTGCCTCTAAACACTGCTTCAAAATCCAACTCAACTCTCTAGTCCAGGAGTTGCCAAATGTTTTCTATAAAGGTCCAGACACTATGTATTTTAAGCCTTGGGGGCCACACAGTCCTGTTACCATTTGGCACTCATAGCAGGAAAGCAGCCATTGACTGTACACAAACAAATGGGCGTGGCTGCCTTCCAAGGAAGGCAGTTTGTTTAGAAAAACAAGCTGTGGCTGGATTTGGCCCACAAGCTGTAGTCTGATGACCTAGCTCTAGACCATTCAGTCTTCCATTATTCTAAATGACTATTTCATATCTTCTCTCTTTTCTTAAACCTTTTATACTTAGGTTAAAAGAAAAACTTAGACAAATTTAAGTCATTTGAGTTTAATTGAGCAAAGAATGATTCATGAATCAGTCAGCCTCCAGTGCCAGAGTAGGCTCAGAGAGACTCCAGAGCAGCCATGTGGCCAAATAAGATTTACGGACAGAAAAAGGAAAGTGAGGTACAGAAAACAGAAGTGAGGAACAGAAATAGCCGGATTGGTTACAGCTCTATGTTTGCCTTATTTGAACACAGTTTGAACAGTTGGCTCCCTATGATTGGCCAAAACTCGGTGATTGGCACAAGAGTAGGTTCTAGTCTGTTTATGACTCCATTTAGGTTGTAGTTCACTATGTACAGAGAAACTTTTAGGCTGAACTTAAAATATGTAAGGAGATAGCTTTAGGCTAAATTTGATTTAACGCCTACTTCCCACACCATGCCAAGTCTTTGCTATTAACTTTGTTCTCTGTTTTATTAAAATATTAAAAGCAATTGAAGAAGAAAAATTGCATCTTTCATCTTCCCTAGATATGTGTCCACTTTATTTTGCATTCCTTCCATTACTGTGGATAAAATACTGTGTTTTTTTCTGAGGCCAACCCCACCTCTTGTGCACTGGATCTTGTCTCCTCTCCTTTACTGAAGGCAGTGGTCCAGCAATCCACTCCTCTCTTTCCTGCACTATTAATTTTTTCTTCTTTGCTTGGTTGGTTATTTATATAAGCATATTAATATGCTGCACTCACTGCCATCTTTAAAAAAAAAAGATAGAGAAAAAGAAAAAAACCATCCCTCGACCTCACATTCTTTTTTAGTTACTGCCCCATTTCTCTGCTCCCTTTACAGTGAATCAGTGAGTCATTTATTCTCATTATCTCCTTCCGTTTCCTCCTGTTCTTTCTGGAACCCACTCCCCTCAGATTTCCATCCCCACTATTCCACTAACATTACTCATTATATTTGACCTATCCCACTTACCTTCTCATTGTCAACATCAATATTCACTATTTTAATCCTTATTTTTTTGCGTGTCTGAGCCATATATAAGGTAATTGATAATGGTCTCCTCTTTGCCACATTGCCTTCATGTGATTCCTGGAATCTATTTCCTTTTTTGCTTCTTTCATCTCTGCCTGTTTCCTCTCTGGTTCATGATTTAATGACCTGCAGCTCAAATGTTGTCTTCTCAGAGACCTTTCCGAATCACCCTACATAAAACAGCAACCCCACCACTGTGCTCCCATCTCCCTTATCTGCTGTTTTTACTCATAGTATTAATACTAAGCACCATAAATCTCATATGTCTGTGCTTATTGTCGTTGCTTCCCTCCACTAGAATCAGCTCTGTGAGTGCAAGGGTAATGCTCTGTTCACTGTTGTGTTCCTAACACCTAGAACAGTTGTTCAAACACTTAATAAATAGTTGTCAAATGAATAAACAAATGAATCTTTTATTGTATTTATTTATTTTTTTGAGATGGAGTCTTGCTCTGTTGCCAGGCTGCAGTGTAGTGGCGTGATCTCGGCTCACTGCAATCTCCGCCTTCCAGCTTCCCAAGTAGCTGGGGCTCAGGCACACACCACCATGCCCAGCTAATTTTTTGTAATTTTAGTAGAGACAGGGTTTTACCATGTTGGCCAAGATGGTCTCAATCTCTCGACCTTATGATCCGCCCACCATGGCCTCCCAAAGTGCTGTAATTACAGGCACGAGCCACTGCACCCAGCCGCAAATGAATCTTTTAAGGTTCTACGCACAACCACAGGAGATGCTCATAGTCACCTCTTGAACACATTATCCACTGCAGAGAAGTCTAAAGCTCAAAGGATTTAGGTGATCTGTGCAAAATCACATCACAGATGAGAAAAAAATCCACTTTTTTTTGAGATATGGCCATCCATTCTGTGTTTAATACCCCAAAATGAGACTCCTGCAAAACCCTGTCCTATTCCACTCTTGAAGGGCTCCATCTATTAGAAATTTCCAAACTAATGTTATTTCCCTATCCCCTACTCAGTCTGACCAAAATTCTATATTTCACCACAATTATCCAAATCCATCTTTAAACAATTTATGTGTATGGTACCCAAATTTTCACGAGCTGTATCTGCTGCATTTATTTCCTGATGTGGTTTGGCTGTATCCCCACCCAAGTCTCATTTTGAACTGTAGCTCCCACATAAAAAGGAGCTGCACAAGCTTGCTCTTGCCTGTTGCCATGTAAGATGTCCCTTACTCTTCTGCCATGATTGTGAGCCCTCCTTCACTATATATTTGCTACTGCAATTTATATCTGCCTAATTATTTATCTTATCTTCTCCTAGGCCTATAACAAATGCTAATAAAAGTTAATTTTTATAGTGTCATTCACAATAACTTGGTGCATTGCCTGTATTGATTTCATTTAATTTTCACCATACTACAAGGTAAATACAAGGACATGCCTATTTTATAAGTCAAGAGAGAAAGGATAAGAGAATGCAACTCTCCATGGCAACTGCAGCTATTAAACATCAGAGCTTGGACCTATTTATACCCATGTCTTTTTTACTCTAATGACCAAGCTCGTCGCTAGTATCTCATGCTCACAGTAATTTTGAATGAAGGAAGGAAAGAGTAAGAAAACAGCAGAATGAATGAAACATCACATCCATGATCTATCATTTGATCCAAACTGGCCTGCTAGATAGAGAATAATTACGTCCATTCCCTAAATAATGACCTTGTCAGTCTTTGAAGAGGACAACTCTGATCCCACCAAGGATCTTTGGCAAGATTGTCTTACTGTCTTGGTCACTACTGAGCTCTGTGACCTTCAGCTGGCTAGCATTGGCAGGCCTAGGAGTGTGATCTCTGACTACCGTGGGTTCGAGGCAGTGGAGTATAGGAATACTGGTTAAGATCATGGGTAGTTTTGAGTGATATCTGGATCCAGCACCCACTGGCTGGCTGCTTTTCATCCAGTCACTTGATCTCTATGTGAATTTGTTTCGTTATCTGCAAAATGGGGTTAATAATGTGTTTTATGTTTCTTAAGAGAATTAAACTAGTCAATGTTTGTGAAGTGCTTAGGAAAGTGCCTGGTACACAGTAAACTCTTTTTAATTATTTGCTAAGTAAACCGATTTATCTCTGCCTCTCTTGCATCTTATTTTAGCAATACAATAAAAGGCACCTGGACTTTGTGGTGGGTGATTTGGAAAAAGTGCAGAGGAGACAACAATTTTGACTTTGTCTGCCTGAGGCTGATAATTTCTTCTGACTGATTTGACCTGTCAATTCAAAGAAGAAAAAGAAAGTTACCAAATACCTAGTCAATTCAGTTAAACATCACTTTGGCTGATTATTTTACATTAAGCTGACTGGCAGATTGCCTGAAGAGATCAAAATCGATTTTTTTTTTTTGCATCATTGGACACAGGCTGAGAGCTGACAAACGAATTTTGAATTTAGGGGACTGGTGTCTGTGATGATTATGCCCAAGGCCATGACTCTAGGGCATGAAGAGGAAAATCATCAGGCTAATTAGGCTCCTATTAGTGGCCAAACATCATGACTCATGGATTTGGAGTCCTGAATTGGTTTTGCTTTCTCTTTTTGGTAAAGTGTGCCAGATCTAGGTTTTCTTGGCTGCTGCAGGCTGTGTAGACTTAGGGGATGGGATTGCTATTTTCCATCAGTGTGAAGAACAGAGCTTTTCATCTGAGCTTTGTTGCCTCCACTTCCAACTTTTTTGATGCATATGGTAAGAACTTAATAAATGTGCTCTGGGTGAATGCTGCACAGGGCTGTGCAATCAATCTGCACTAAGCTAGACTAAAATTCAGAGGTTAGATAAGACCAAATTGAGAGGCATGGGTCATCCAAAAGTAGAATCCCTTTTAGGGGGAACAATGGGGTTAAAGAATGTCAGAGCTGCTGTGTTAGAACTATTCTTAGAACCCAATGCCGTTTTGAACAGCTTGGGCCCCTTTTTGAGAAAATTTGTCACTGTCCAACTGAGCTATGCTTGACAGGCCAGTTTAGGCCTCCCTTGAAAAGACAGACTGCAGTGTGTTCATGTGGATGTTTAATGGTTTCGGGCCTCCAGTCACTATAATCAGCTACCATTAGGTATAAACGCGGACCAGCTAATTACTCTGGTTTTTGTTTGTTTGTTTTGTTTTGTTTGTTTTTTTGAGACAAGGTCTCACTCTGTCACCCAGGCTGGAGTTCAGTGGCATGATCTTGGCTCACTCCAACCTTCAGCTCCCAGGTTCAAGCGATTCCGAAATAAGTAGCTAGGACTACAGGCATGCGCCACCACGTCCGGCTAATTTTTTGTATTTTTAGTAGAGATGGGGTTTCACCACGTTGGCCAAGCTGGTCTCAAATTTCTGACTTCAGGTGATCCCCCCACCTCGGCCTCCCAAAGTGCTGGCATTACAGGCGTGAACCACTGTGCCCAGTCCAATTTCTTTGTTGATGCAACAATCCAAACCTGAGAGATCTTCATTTTCCTCACAACTCCAACCAATGCTACTTGCCACCTTTGAGGTATTGAAGGCACAATTGCATCCTGTGATGTGGGGTTGAACCTTCAGCAGCAGAAGTATACAGGTGCCTATATGGAAGTATTCATCCATCACCTCTCTCTTTTCTCATTGAATGCCTTTTCTTGTGCAACTCTTTGTGGTTTCTTCATATTTAGGTGGTAATATCTACACCCTTGCTACTCAAAGTATGGTCCCCTCAACAATGGCACCTTGGAGCCTGTTAAAAAATGTAGAATCCTGCAGTTTATTCCAAACCTATAGAATAAAAATCCTCATTCTCACAAGATCCCTAGAGGATTTTAATGCACTTTAAAGTTTGAGAAGCACTGTACTGAAACACTGTTTCCTACAGAATTGTTGACAGGGGTCTAGGACTTTATTTTTAGGTAGTAAATTGGATAATTTTAGGTTTCCCAGGAATTGAGCTTTCCCTAATCTTGAATGGCATAACAATGAGAATCCCCTTTCAAATACTCCTTTGGTCCTCTTTTTCAGAGAGAGTTTGAGTTCTAAGCTAGATGTTTTAACATTTCTTTAATACTTGTGCCTCTCCCTTTTCACAGTGGAAATACAGGCATAGCAACCTTTGGCAGTCAACAATATCTAGCTATAATTTAGTAATATTTCTTACTTTTCACTGTATTTTTATGTTTATTCTCTACTTGAAGCAAATTGAGATGCTTTTCCTTCAATGGAATTGGTATAGTCTAATTTAAAAACGATTTATTTTTTAAGGTATGAGTTGGGTTCACATAGAAATTTTAAGTAAATAATAGTAACCATGGTGCATAAATAAGGCAAAACTCATGCAGGTACTGTTTAAATAATTGTAGTTAAGCAAGCATTGAGGTCTGAAATAAGAGTATAGCCATAGCACTTCTCAAACTTGAATTTAACCAACTGGGGATCAGTTAGCAGAAACATTATGATTCAATAGGCCTGAAATGGACTGTAGGATCTGAGATTCTGAACTTCCAATAAGTTCCAAGATGGTGTTGGATGCAATCTCACTATTTCTGCAGATGCTTTGTATGGCAAGTTTCTAAGAAAAAATGTCCCCACAAGACCTTCAACTACTGCATACAGAAACTCCTCTTACAGCTCTTCCTGATCCAACCAAGGTCACCAGGAAATTACATGTGGCATGAGATCAACACTCAATACTAGTAATTATTGCCTGTCCATTTTCTCTACATCAATGGTTCTTAAAATTTAGTGTTTTTTAGAATCACCTGAAGTATTTGTTAAGCCACAGGTTGCTGAGCTCACTCACATAGTTTCTATTTGAGTAGGTCTCAAGAGTGCCTGAGAATTTTCATTTCTAACAAGTTTTAGAATGTGACGTTGCTTGCCCAGGAACTGGGCTTCGAGAACCATTGCTCTCCCCCAGTATATATACTTCTTAAAACCTACGGTGGTGATAGGGAACAGGCAGAGGATCAAGTTGCCCAACGAAATATCACGTTGACTTGAGTAAAATCTTGCCAAATCCAATACACTACAGATACTTCTGGGGCCAAAACCCAAACAAATAGTGGAATTAGTGTGAATTTATATGATCCTAGCAAAATGTAGGTAAACTGTAACATGCTGGCCAAGATACCCACAGTCAAAGCCTGTCCACAGACACAGCATACTCAGTTTAGGAGATGAGATGGCAACACTGGACATCTGAGGAGGCAGCTTGTACTGAAGAGTGGGGAATCACATCTTAGCAATGTCAAATGAACAGAATGTAGGTGAAGTTTCCCTGCATACACTTTCATGCTGATTATCTCCAAGTCTTTGCAAATACTATCCTCTCAACCCGGAGTAATAGAGCATCTCCTCTTCATCTCCCTCCAGTTCAAATAACATGTTTTCTAGAAAGTCCTCTGTGAACTCCAGCCTGACTCAGTTAGGTGCTCTTTTTTCTTGAGGCTCCAAAAATACCCTGTGAATAATTTTATTATTCCATTTCTACATTGTTTTATAATTGTCTGCATATATACATTTTTGTATTTCCAGTGTCTAACAAAATACCCGTGACACATAGTAAGCATGAGTTAAATGTTGAAAGAATTCATAATTCAGACAGATGGCTCAATCTCTAATGTTAAAATCAGGGTGGTTCTCATATCTTATGAGATTAACTGAAGATTTAGGGGGACAGTAGGAAGTAGCTCTCAGTTGCATTTTGAATAAGACTAGGCATATAAATTTAGAACTATTTAAAAGAAAAGAAAAGTTTTCCTAATGACCAAAGTGAGATATGTTCTCTTGAAGGAGTCATAGAAAAGAACAAAGGATAAAGTAACAATTAATATGCTACTTCTCAGAGTTAACTATTGTTGCTATTTGGGTATAACAGTATTATGTCTTCTCTTTCTATAAAAGTTATATGGATGTGTATTTTTATTGAAATAATAAATTATATACAATTTTGTTTCTCTTTTTTCCACCTATCATTATATATCTCCAGAATTTGTACCCATGAATGGGGACAATTTTAACAACTTCTGACCACTTGCGCAAAAAAAAAAAAAACAAAAAACAAAACAAAACAAAACAAAAAAACCAAAAAACTCTTTCATGTCCACTTCACAAAAGAAAACAGCATTGTGAATTGTGATTACTCCCAGGGACTGTATTTTATCTTCAGTGGCTGCCTGATTTTACCCCCACAATTAAAGTTGAAGGAATCCTGAAAAAAAACAAAAACAAAAAAAGAAAACATGTATTGAGATATTCTTTTCAAAGACATTTTAGTTAACAGAGTAAAATTCCATCATGAAAAGCAAGATTTGCAAACATCAGTACTATTGATATTTTGGACTGGATAATTTATTGTTGTAGGGGACTATACTCTTGTGCATTGTAGAATGTTTGCCAGCATCCCTGGACTCAACCACTAGATCTCCCTGCTCCCTAGATGTAATAACCAAAAACAACTCCAGACATTGCCAGATGTCCTCATGGGTACAGAATTCTCCAGTTGAGAACCACTAATAAGGAATAATCATAATTATATTCACTCTTCTGTTGATGGACATTTCAGTAATTTGCATATTTTGATATAATATATCCAGCTTCAAAGAATGAATGAATGTTCCCTCCCCTCCTCCAGCTCTCTCTTCCTCTCTCTCCCTCTCTGATTTGCCTTCATTTCTTTCAAGTTTCTTCAGCCTGATAATTTCTAATTAACCAAGTAAAAGATGCTAGAGTTAAGAAGAATAACTGTGATGGAGCCAGTGTAGGTAGGAAGACTGACAACTTGTGATAAAATGGCTATGCTATGTGCTGAATACATCTATGTGAGAGTGCCTTGTTCAGAAGAAACAGTACCAGGACCACTCTGCACCAACCTGTGTTATAATTCTTTTCCTTCTCATATTTCTCTCATCTTGATCTGGCTCACAAGAGCATCTGTTTTCTAAGCCTCGATTTTATTTTTTTATCTTTAAAGGTAGCACAATAGGCTGGGCGTGGTGATTTATGCCTGTAATCCCAGCACTTTGCAAGGTGGGTCCATCACCTGAGGGCAGAAGTTCAAGACCAGCCTGGCCAACATGGTGAAAACCCGTTTCTACAAAAAAAAAAAAAAAATTAGCTAGGCATCATGGCAGGCACCTGTAATCCCAATTACCTGGGAGGCTGAGGCAGGAGATCAGGAGGCAGAGGTTTTGCTTGAGGATTTGCTGAGAGATTGCTGAGACAGAAGAGAAAAAAGAGAGCTTATAAGAAGGTAAAATGAACTGTTTGGCTTTCTATATTTCTGTCTTGAATCTTGAGCCAAGATCGCACCATTGTACTCCAGCTTGGAGACGAAAAGCAAAACTCCATCTCAAAAAATAAAAATATCGCAATAGTAGGATCTTATTTAAAAAGCTGTTAGGAAGATAAATAGAAAAATACTCATAGAGTGTGTTATGACAATGCCTGGACTGATAAACAGTAACAGCCAAATAAATAAACTCTATTTAAGCACAGAGAAAGGCTGGTGTGGCTAAAGCCTCTTGGATGATGGGGAGGGAGATAGGAGGTGCAGTAGTAGATGAAGAAGTAAGGGAACAGATCATACAGTCTTGTAGGACAGGGTCATTTGGATTTTGAGTGCAAAGAAAAGTAGCTGGAGGGTTTGAAGTATAAATGCAGCATGATCTGACTTATTCTTATGAAAGATCTGTCTGCTTTGCAAGAGAAGATAGAGTACAAGTGACAGTAGTACAAGTGTTAACTGCTGTAGTCCAGGTGTTAGGTGATGAGTCTTGGACTAGGGCTTTAACGGTGATGACAGTGAGAAGTATTCAGATCCAGGCCATGTCCTGGAGACCTGGAGATGGTGTTGATAGGATTTGCCGAGAGATTGCTGAGGAGTGGGAAAGAAAGAAAGGACTCAAAGAGGATCCTCAGACCTAAGCTAATGAGTGAGGATGTCTGTGCCCTTTAATGACATGAGGAAACTAAAGGTGTAGGTTGCAGGAAGCTCATTAGTCTTTTTGTTAAGGCGTAGACTCTAGAATGTTTATTAGATACATGAAAAGAGATAGTCAGAAAGTATAGAGTTTTCAATTCAGGGAGTAGCTCAAACCTATGATTCACATTTCGGAATTATGAGCATTCGGATGCTACTTAATGCCCCGCAACTGGAGGAGATCTCTTAAGATGAGAGTGTAAACAGGAAAGAGATTGCCTCTCAGTGAGTCCCTACCCACTGGGGATGGAGAAGTGAATGCTATAGGTATAACCGAAGAGGAAGACTTACTGCCTACAACTGCCAGATGCCTACCTTACACCTTGGCATTGACTATGTCCCTGTTGCTGGCACAACCTCAATGGATAGAAAATGACTTTCAAGTGCTCTTGGCAGTTCAAGAATATGCCAATAATAGCTGAAATTCTCATGAGCCAGACAAGGAATGGGGTAACTAACCAAAACTAAGTTAATCTAAAGAATATAATGAAATTAGAATTTGTTTCATGTGGCCTGAGACTTGTACCCATGATGTCCTAATTCTACCACTGATGGTATAAATACACTTCCCTGGCTAATAGAGAGAGGGTACTTTGCTCATCATTTTCAGATTCCCAGTGAATGCTTACATTGCCTAGTATACCAGTTTTGAAGTGTGATCTTTAAAAAAATACTCATTTTCTGCATAGTGTTAAGAATGCATTTCTCTGTGCCTGGAGTCATGAACCTGACACAGTTAACGCAGTGAAATCTACCATACATTTAATCAGAGGTACTTAATTTGATTTTCTAAAATTAAGCAGAGAATCAGTTTGCCATTAGGTCTGAGAATTACTGCATTTCTGAAGTTACTCCGCATACCCCAAAAGGGCTTTATTGGATATGAATAATAACAACCTACAAATATGTTGATGATAATGAGCATCTAAATGTTCTGCAAAGAAAAAAAGACAAAGAAAATCCCTGACAAGCATGAATGTTGACGCATGATGGCAAGAATTTTTAAAATTTATGAATATTACAACATGAAAAAATAATTATGAATAATAAAAATCTGTTACAATAATTAGCTGTAATGAATGCTCATGGTGAGTTAAATGAACTGGAACAATTTAAGGCAATAGCACATAATTTGCATTTTGTGTTATGTCAGATCATTTTATCATTAGTGAGAGAAAGAAGAAGAAGAGAAAAAGAGAGAGATGGAAGAGACAAAAGAGAGCTGAGGAGAAAGTAAAATAAACTGACTTTCTATATTTCCATCTTTAAAAAAAGTGAAAAATGCTGCATATTGCAGTCTTTAGTTTTTGCATCCATTTCAGTTTCTATTTTGAGAGTGTCAATAATGTGAGAAAGTGAAAGATAATAAGTATAGCTAACATTGAAATCAGAAAAACTGGAATGAACCTCTACCTGCCTTTTTAAATACATTATTTAACCTAGGCAACCTCCTTAACTGACCTAAGTCTCAGTTACATCTGTAAAAGGGGGTAATAATAGATGTAGCCTAAAGCTATCATGAGGAGTAAACATGTATTTTACAGCTAACTCTTAGTCCATGCTCACTATACACCTGGCATTCTGAGATACCTTCACAAAAACTAAGTCAATTAGTCCTCCTGACATCCCTAATCAGTAAGTGCTGTAATTATCTCTTTTACAGATGAGAAAATGGAGATACAAAGTGATAGAATACCAATAGTAATTACATAACAGGGTGGGATTCGGTACCCAGGCAGTCTGGCTCCTGAAAACTCTCCCTTTCGCCACTGCACTAGGCAGCTTCTCTTAGCCAGCATCATCACAATGCCTGGGACACAGCTAAGAGTTCAATACAGGTCAAGTGTGACTATTTTTTCATATTACCTTTATGGTGTGAGAGAGTGCATTTGCATATTTGAACAGGCCTTGCTGTAATTAGACCAACGCTGGCCTGCAGGGTAGCGTTTGGGGATGGCTTTCAAATTTCCCCAATACAATCTAACCGGCCCTATCCAGCAGGGGTTCCTGTACTGTAAGGCAACAAAGTTACCCCAAAGTGATTTCCTCAGTTAGCGAGTGATAAGCTGCTCCCAGGCAGATTGTCATTGCCAGCTCTGAGAGGCTAGTTCTTCATGACATTAAGCAGGATTGAAGGCCATCACTCATCAGCTCATCATCCTGGAAGCCTGGGATGACCCCCAACCTACTGACTCCCACAGGGGCATCTCTTTGATGCAGCTGGTTGAGACTTAGCTGGTACCTGGCTTGGAGTTCAGCAAGGTAGTGAGGAGTGATGAGAGGTTAGTTTTGTGCTCCCAGAGCAGGAGGACAAAAGCCCCAATTTGCCCAAGTGTCATTTTTCTCTGACCATTATCTGCAAATGAAGTTCCAGGAATACTTGAAATCTGTACCCACGCAGATAATATTAAAGAGTTGCTCATTCTAGCTCTTCAATTTTTTTTAAAAAAGTGAGCATTGAAAGGGAGTACTATTTTTATAACCCAGTTTTGTTACTTCTGCATTTAATAGTATATCAGGAGATTTGTAAAGTGAAATATCTTAAAGTTTTCACATCTGGCAAGGAACCTGGTACGGTTTACAGAGTTATAATAGACAAGAGTTATCAAAATGCAGACTTGCTGACCCTCTTCATTGTATTGGGCCAAAAAATAAATGCAAAACCAGAACAGAGTAAGCATTAACTAGTATTTCTCATTCTGTGCATTGCACTTTTTCCTGGATGTATCTTTTCTTTTCTTTTCTTTTTTTAGAGAAATGCAAAGACTGGGACCCCAGCTCCAGCCTTTTCCTCTTACTGTCCCACAGCTCAGTTCCTTCTTTTCTTTCACCCAGATCCCCCTCACTCACTAGCTCCCACGCTTCTGTTTGCTCTCTGTGGTGGTCCTCCTGCTTGAGGTTATCAAGTGACTGTGCACACAGCTGGAAACCTCTTTCCCCGCCTCCAGACCCCCAGACTCCCCAGATCAGAGTTCCCAGATCACCTCTGGGAATCCCCAGGGCAAGGAGGATGGTTTTCTTTCCCTCTTTTTTCCTTTTGAGGATGTGCCTCTACTTATAAGAAAAATGCCTCTAGGCCGAACAGAGGCCTGCAGGAATTTGCTTTTAAAGAAAAGAGAAAACAGTAAGACAAGAGGGAAGTTCTTTACTGGCAGCATTTCTCCTCTGGGCAAACAGCTCCAGTTTGAAGTTCCCAGGGCAGAACCACAGGGCTGAGTTTAAGGCACCATTACATATTCAACTATGGACAGAAAGTCAGATAGAAAATTTGCTGGGATTTGGGATGGTCTCATTCACTGAAATTTTTTTTTCAGTGTTTTTACCTAGTGTTTGCTAATTTTTACCTAGTGTTTGCCAAAATCTAACATACGAAAACTTGTTTTTGTTTGATGATAATCAGAAAGGATTGGGTTTCTTTTGCATGCACAGAGGCCCTTATTCCCAGTTGGAGTTAGCTTCAGGCAAAACAGAAAAAGGAGAAAAAAACCTCAGCCGTGGATAGCCAATTATCTCAGGTCTCTAACAAGAATTGTTTTACTGTCATTTCCTTGTCAATTGCTTTGTTAAAAAAAAGGGGGGGGGCAGGTGGGGGGGTGGTGGTGGATTCATTTAATTACTTAAACTTTATAGTGAAGAGATGAAGACATTTTTTATCTTTGCTGAATCAATGGATTCTAGTGGTCTTCCAGGGACTGAAGAAATACTCAAAGTCCAACTTTTCGTCTTGCCATTTTTTCAGGGGAACTTTTGAAACAATTTTATTCCCAGTTTACAAATTGGAGATTCTTAAGAAATCGGTATATGGTCAGGTTGTTTGAACTGACTTTAATCAAAGAGTTCAAAGTCCCCTGTTCCAAGGCCTAGATTTGTTGTTTTTACATTAATTGTGTGTGTTTGTCATTTCTGGGTCAAAGTAAATTTTTCTCTAAACCAAATACTTTCATGTAAGACAAGGGCAGTTGGACATCAAAATATGTATTCCCCCAGGAACTTCTATCAAACTATTTCTTTTGATAACATTCTGCCTGACATGTTCAGTGCACCCATTACATCAAAGCTGATTCTGTCTTAAAAAAAAAAAAAAAAGAAAAAGCTCTTTAATTTTGTTTTTCTTAGAAAATGCATGTTTCAGTTTTCTCTCCATGTATATCTTTAAAACCGTTGATGTACTTTCAAAAGAGGATTTTCAATAACCTTGAGTAGAGATGTAGAATGCACACTTCTTATTTTGAACAACATAGAAACTGGCAGATTTAGGAAAAATTGTTAGATGAGGTCACTTTGGGGCAGTTCTATAAAATGCTTAAGGCTGACCTCAGTGGTCATGAGCAGGATGAAGGCCTTCAAATTATGTTCTCTTCTTGGATGGTGATAGGTTGACACAGTGCTTAGTTTACACCATCTTTTCTATTATCATTTCCAAACTGCTGGGTTCTGACTTTCTGATGGACCTGAGCCATCATAGGGTGTCTCCTGTTGCCCAGGAGATGGATAGCTGAGATTAGGAGCAAATGACTGTCTTGGAAGCATCCATAAACTGATTAAAAATGTTATCATTGATGGATACACATTATAGAAGAAAAATATAAGGGATGGATACAGATTTATGGCCCGTCCCCTTCATTCGTTGTCCAAAATACCTTTGGGTAGAAGATTTTGAAATGAGATTTTAAGAGCTGCCCAAATATTTGTGCTCTGATAGAACTAGTGATAATAGCTATGGTAAAATAAATAATACATATCTAACATTTTTTGCACATATTTATTTTCTGACAGTTCTTGAGCATCCAGTAAATGCCAGATGAAGCATGGGGACACTGAGATAACTATACTGCTATAGCTTCTGGTCTTAGGGTACAAAGAATCTACAGAGAGAGCCACAGGAAATCCTCAACTATTCTAATAAAAATACATGTTCAAAAACAAGAATTGAAGCAAGAGAAGAATGATCAGTAAGGGCTTCATGAAAGAAGAAACCATTGAGTTTACTTTTACAATGAAATATCTTTGGGGAGAAAATGTTGGAAACTTGACGCTGATGTTGAACAACATGTTAAAAATTGGCCAACATCAACCAGTTTGTTTAATGAGTTTGTTTAACTTCCTTTTAGCTAGGTCTACATTGAGTTTAACATGAAATTGTGGAAAGAGGCCTAACTTTTTATGGTGTCCACTATTTGGACCTGGGTGGGCATACGATCCAAGACCTCTTATTGTTCAAAAGTTTCTCAGCTTGATCCTAATCTCTTTTACTTAAAGTTTACTAATTGTAGATATTAATCATATCTGAAAAATACCTTTACAGTTCACTTGTTTTATGAAACAACTGTTTATGGCTGTATCTTCTGCATTTAGCACATGGCTAGGTTCATGGTGGGTGCTCAGTAAATACTTGATCTAGAAAGGAGTAGTAAATGAATAATTAAATAGTTTATTGGGTGACTTTTCCTTAAAAGTCATTGAGTTCTTTGTGAGTAGACACACTCTCTTGTTTTGCTATTTTATTATCAGTTTCTAGCATATTATTGGGAATGTTAAAAATTTCCCCTTGAAAAATTTAGCTTAAATATACAGAGATAATAATCATTAAATGGCTGGCCCTATGCCCAAGGGTTCAAGAAATAAAATTGTGGTTGGCAGTCATGGTCTATCTCTAGTAAGGCGATAAACAGGGAACCTTGTTGGGGAGTGAGTGAGTGGACTGGCTAACATGAAAGATACCTGAACATGTAGAGAGAGTGGCCTCGGTTGTTAAATTTCTGCTTTTCTTTGTTTTACTTGCCTTCTGAACATACCTTGATTCTAGTCTTTGGATTCTGAGACATTTCAGTATCTCTATAAGAAATCTCAATCCCACTTTTTCCTTTTAATATTTAAGTTATTTATATAAGCTTTTACTCCTTGTAGCCAAAAGAACTCTGAATGATCACTCAGCCACTAGGGTATGCTTTGGCTGACAAGATTACTCACTACCCTGCTATACTTGACTTTCTCCTCCTGCAATTTTTCTGCCTTCCCTGTTCTCTTACTATCTCAAGAGCATGAAAAAAAAAAAAAAAGAAAAAAAGAAAAAAGAAAAAAAAAAAGAAAGATAAAACCAGCAAAATGCAATTTTTCCTTGCCTATTCTGATAGTGACCAATGGGGATTTGACTATATTTAAGTGAACGTGCATTGAGCTTAAAATCTGGAAAATAATAAATATATCCACAGTAACAGCTAATACTGTTTTTCATTTACATCCCTACATTGTGCACTGCACTTTAGTGGCATTTTCTGAAAACTTCCCTGACTGTTGGCGCTCCTTCTACCCCCAGTTGGATTAAGGACCCTCCTCAGTCTAGTTTGTATAAAATATCTTATTAGTATACTTACCACATTGGTTTGTAATGATTCTGATCAGTCTTTCTCACCATGTGGTGAACTCCTTCAAATGTGAAGATCCCAACACAATAATCTCTACATCAAAGGTGTTGAAATAGTGCCTTCTGTATGAATGAATAAGTAGATTAAATACATTATTTTAAATAATTTCAACATATCAACATATATATAGTTCTTATGAGCTGCCAATTGCTTTTTAAACCCATTCTTTTAAACTCATTTATACACTCTGTTTTTAAAATTGCATTCTAGGGGTTTCTCGATTCCTAAAACTGCACTTTTCCACCAACTTTTATCTCCTCAGATAAATTGGGTTCACATTATGACTCTGCACTTTATTTGCTTCGATATTGGACAAGTCCCTTAATCTCATGAGGATCAGTTTTCTCTCATATAAAATGAGGATAGTGTCACCCACCTCTCAGTATGCTGGGAAGACAGAATTGTCTTTTCCTAGCTCTCTATGACTATGGAGTGTATTATAAATTTGTAACATTTTCCACTCTCATTTTTCAGAACAATGCAATAGTACAATAAAGAAAGAGAAGGCAAGGGAGTTCAGGGTATAGAGAAGATAATGATTATACCTGTTGGGCACTTCAACGTAAAAAAAGAGGGGGAGTAAATCAAATGGATTTTTGGGCATGCTGGAGGTGAAATGCTAGTGAGTAAGCTGGAAAAAAGGAGATGCTAGTCAAAGAGGAGTATTCATGGAATGAAGACCATGGAAAGATCACCAGAGCTGGAAATGGTAATGTTGACATATAGCTATGGGAATGAGTGACTACGCTAGGAGAGTTGGCAGCAACACTACAGGAGAGGTATACAAGGAAATGAGAGGCCAAGAGGTATAAGAATAATCTGCACAAGTATATTGTAATTATCTAGAACATAAGGTGAGTATAAAATGTCAGAGAGACTATAAGTGAACTAGGAATTAAAATGGTCAAAAAATGTCCTACATATTCCCACTGAAATATTACATTACATAGTCAGAAGATATTAAACCTTACATTCTACGCTACCAGTTACTAGTTATGTAACATTGTGGAAACACTTTTTCTCATTGTTGGGTTTCTCATTTTAAAAATGAATGTAAGAGGCTGGGCGTGGTGGCTCACACCTGTAATCCCAGCAATTTGGGAGTCTGAGGTGGGAGGATCACCTGAGGTCAGGAGTTCGAGACCAGCCTGGCCAACATGGAGAAATCCCATCAATACAAAAATTAACCTGGTGTGGTGGTGCGCACCTGTAGTCCCAGCCATTCAGGCAGCTAAGGCAGGAGAATTGCTTGAACTCGGGAGGCGAAGGTTGCAGTGAGCTGAGATCGTGTCACTGCATTCCAGCTTGAGCGACAGAGTGAGACTCCATCTTGAAAAACAAAACAAAAGAAAAATGAATATAAGAATATCATCTCTGCATTCCTGGAGTATTTGGGGGGAAGAACATAATAAATAATGTATATAAGAATTATCTAATGTTATGCTTGGAGACTATGAGATGGTTCCAGTATCATCTTGATCTTTACATCTGAACTTTAGATTTTTCAGATCGGGGTAAGAGTTTCATCCAACAGATGGGGCGCTCAGTCTGTGGTATGGGAAAGTGAGGAGTCACCCGTCTTTTCTTCAGTCTCTTTTAGATGAAAAGGTGGATGACATTTGGGACTGCTTTTCATCTACTCTCCTATACTCACTGTCTGTTTGCAAACACCTCACTCTAATCAATAAACATGGTTGGTGATTTTATTCAATAAAGATTTATAGAGCATCTGTTTGGTGCCAACCACATATTCACCATATGAGATAGTTTACATTTCCATGTTTTTGGTCCAATACATCTCAGTTTACTTTTTAGTGAGTTCTTCAATTTTCATATATTTTCACTTCAGGTTCAGGAAAATATCCAGACTTCCTTGCCACCTAGATCATTCTGCACTGTAGAAAAATCCTACAGTGTTCCACATTCAACTCCATAGTCAAGATCTTATTCAACTACAAAGCAGTCGGGTAGAATCAATAAACTAAAATGGAAAAAGCAAACAAATAGAGAAACACAACAAAAATAACTAAACTAAAATATTTGAAGCTGCATAATTACTTTATATTACATTAGAATTATATACTTTGAGTAAAAGATCAATTGTCAACCTTGCTTTTTTAACAATAAATAGTAATAAGTTTGAACACTTTAGAGATAGAACAAAATATATAATGACTGTTCTAATAATTATTACAGTCTCTAATTTGTCTGTATTTGCCAGTAGATTTTAAATTCTTAGAAAACAAGGGGCATGCCTTTTCTGTACTTCTATCCCTAGGGACTAACACACACACACTGAGTTATCAGTAAATGTTAATTGCTTTTAATTAAGATAAAGATAGATGGAATTTATACAAAACAAAATTGTTTTAAAAATGAACAATAAACCTTGAACCAAGATAAGTTAATATTTTCAAATGTGAAAATAGGTATTATTTCTAAATTAATTCTTAAAAGTTGTAAATCAAAACTGTTGTGTCAAATGCTTTTATCTCCGATTTCAAGAAAGCAACTGTAATGCAAAATGTATAATATAAGTAATTTATCGTGTCTGACATTGAACAGTAGTTTAAATGACCTCTCCACTCTCCAAACATCTGGTATGTCTCCAATAAATAGGGAAGTATAAAAGGTAATATAGAAGAAAAACTTGCTCGTGGGTTTAGGGATATAAGTTTGCTAGGCTGGAGGATTATGGATGTATATGCTTTTAATCATGGAAGATTATAAACATACAATCAAAAATTTTTATTAAAAAATATAAATAGCTTCTGAACAACTGTTGGAATTTGAAATTGAAGCAGTGAGCTCCAAGGGCAATGTAGTTTTCTTAACAATAATAGCTTCTATTTGATGAGAATTTTTATTTTGCCAGACACAATAATAAGCAAATTTAATTCATTACTTTTCATTCTTATAACAATCTTAAGAGACACATATAATCTCCAATTTGATGTTGAAGAAACTGAAGTGCAAAGAATGTAACAAACTAGCCATGGGTCACAAAATATAAAGTAGTGAAACAAAGTTTGACTTCAGGCCTCACAAATGCTAAGACACATGCCCTTTTTGCTAACTACCTCTTAGAGCCTGTGTGAGACTACAATAATCATGATGATAATAGCTATGATAGATGTTTTTCCATGTGCAGACTCTGTTTCAAACCCTTCGCATATAATAACATATTTAATCTTTGTAGCACCCTCATGAAGAAACTGAGAAACAGAAGTTATACGACTGAGCCAAAGACACACAGCTAACGTAAGACCCTGGCTTAAGTGCGTAACTACACTGTTTTTTAAATAAGAGAAATTATAAACAGTTTCTAGCTGAAAGCATGGCACATACTAGGCACCAAGTAAATGTAAGCTCCTTTCTTCCCCCATATTCCCCAAATTAACATTTTATTGAATGAATCATGAAAATGATAACACATTATCATGTGCGATGTGTAAGAAATACTAGATGGGTAAAGGATACCTTCTCCATCTATGGTTTTGTTTGATATTTCAGCCCTCTCATTTAAAAGAGAGTTATGATTTTCTGTATTTAGGTTAATAGTAATATCTGGCACAGTCATCACGTTTAGGTTATGCCTGTTTCATAAACTCTTGTAGTCTGGGCATTTTCATCTAAGTGCCAGGCAATTTGTGATTGTGCTTTGTTTTATGACCTTTCAGTTAGTATGCAATCTATCTGACAGTGCTCATCTGACACCTGCAGCAATTTTGCCTAGTATGAAAGCAAGTTTTCCTGAGACAATAACTTGGGCTGAATAAATCAAATGTAATCCAATACTTCTGAAATGCTTCCATTGTCGATATATCTCTGAATGGTATGACAAGAAGAGTCATACTTTCTGGCATGAGTTGTTTCTTTAAAATTATTTTTTAAATTATTATTTTTTGAGACAGAGTCTCGCTCTGTCACCCAGGCTGGAGTGCAGTGGCGTGATCTCAGCTCACTGCAACCTCCACCTCCTAGGTTCAAGTGATTCTTCTGCCTCAGCCACTGGAGTAGCTGGGAATACAGGTGCACATCACCATGCCAGGCTAATTTTTGTATTTTTTTTAGCAGAGACGGGGTTTCACTGTATTGGCCAGGCTGGTCTCGAACTCCTGATCTTGTGATCCACCCACCTCGGCCTCCCAAAGTGCTGGGATTACAGGTGTGAGCCACCGTGCCTGGCCGTTTCTTTGAAATTCTATGCAAATTCCAGCTCATAGTCTATTGCTTTTAAAAATAATAATAATAATAACTGGTTATTTTCAAGAATTGGCAGTTCATCATTTTAGTGAAGCTAGAAATAAATGCTTTTAGAGAAAGGAGTTTTTATATCACCATCATATGGCAAATCATTGAACCCCACCATTTGCCTTTATGAATTTAAACAAGTTAATAGACTGTTTTGAGGTTATTTAATATTTAATCATTTCCTATTTCTCCCCCAATTGAGTGTTTATGTATGTATTCTTCTTTTCCCTTTAAATAGTAAGGACCAGAAGTAATGATTTGTATTACATTCTGTGCCTAGCACAGTAAAAGCACATAGTAGTTGCTCAACAATTTTACTTTGTTTTACCTTCTCAGCCAACTGAGGAAGGGTATAAAGTTATTGTTGGGTGTCCATGAGCAGATATCATATAAACCTCAGTTCTAATCTTCTTTTAATTCCTACTGGCTGTGTAGTCTTGGGCAAGTTAGTTAAACTCCAGGTTTTCATCTGCATTGGGGCCATGTGAGATCGAATGAGATAATTAGCACAGTGGTTGACACATCATAAGGACTGAAAATATTACTGGCGTTAATTATTTAAGTAAAAACATTTATTGGGCACCTACTGAAAGCCAGTTAGGAACTGAGCTAAGGGTTAGAGAAATCAGCGTATCTCTTTCCTTTAGGGAGAGAGATATGTAATATTATGCGACCAGTATTACAATCCGTTATGTGAAAACATGGCACAGCAAGTGTCTAAATGCCTTAGGGAATCAGTAACAGTTTAGAGAGGAGCAGTGTTTGAACTAATACCTAAAGATGAACCTGACCAAAAGTGTAGAGAAGAAACATTATAGACATTTAAATATATGATCAAATAGCTTGTCTATCTGAGAAGCATTTTCATGAAATTTGGTTGTTTATAGCCAACAAGTTCACTGAGTATTTTTTATTATTTACTTTCAATGGGGAGATCCTCCTTTATCTCTGCTTAATATTCCTCCCTAATTACCATCCCAATAATAGATACTTAAAACATTTTCTGTTGGAGGGGTATGTTTGTGTGTGTGTGTATTTAACTTGACAGTTTCTTCATAGTGATAATCAAAAAGTTACCTAACCTCTTTTGAGTTCTATATTTCTCATCTACAAAATGGGACAGCTCTTCTGAACTCATATACAATAAATATATAGATCCCTGGTGATGGTTCGGTTTGGATTCTTACCTTGTACTACTGTGTGACTCTTATTTGCAAAGAATGTCTGGGTTTGGAAGAATATCATGGAACCAGGGTTTGAGAGTCTTCTGTGCAGGCTCAGAACCACTGTTCTAAACAAGGGGGGAGAGATAATAGACTAATGTATTATGTTCTACCTATAATATCTGTACTACATGCTTTATACACTGATAAACTTAGGATTTTCGTTTGACTCTTTAAGATAGAAGGGTCTGTTTTTTTCTTATGTGAAATTTCACTATAAAAGGTAGTTTAGGGTCCCAACTCCATGAGATTTTATAGGCACTCAGATTCCTTCTCTCTTGTTTCTCCGTCATCTTTCATGATATTCCCTTATTTGCTTGCAAAGTTATTTCACCAACATCATGTAAACTTCCCAGCCTATGTGAACAAGGAAAGAGGACAGACCGAAAAAGAAACTTCCTTTTAAGAACACCACCCAGGAATTGAACAGCACTCGTATTACAGATCACTGGCTGGAACTTAGTCACAGGGGCTTAGCTAATTGCAAGGGAGGCTGGAAAATACAGTCTTTAGCTGGGACACTGTGTGCTCAGCTGAAACCCAGAAGCTTAATTATTAAAAAGAAGAATAGATAATGGGGAATAATTATCAATTTGTGCTTCATGCATGTTATTGCAACAATTCTCTAAGTGTGATCTTATTGTCCACATTCAATGGATAAGATAGTTGAAATTCAGAGAGAAGAGGTTACTTGTCTAGAGACATTTAAATGTGTAGGTCATGGGAGGATGATTACAGTCAAGGCAGCACAACCTTAGATTCTTAGCATAAAAGAGAAGGGGGTAAAAAAGCTGCTTAATACTGCTTTACAACTCATCAGAAAACAGGCAGCTGCAATGTTCATGTGCCTTTGGCAAGCCTGTGTTTTGCAGGCAATCTGTGAGAGGTGACATAACAGGATGAAGATTAAATCACTGAAAATAGTAGCTAGAGTTGAGCCCTTGGAGAAAAAAAAAAATAACGCCATTTGTTTTCAATTACTTGATTACACAAGCTTCAAAGATTCTCCTGTATGCCTTGCCATCTTTTAAACCATCAGCTTTAGTTGAAATATTAGTTTGAGAGAACAATCCTAGGAACACAAGCAATATAAATTTACAGGAAAAACAAATTCAACCCTGAAAACATGGGCAAGACAAGATAATAAAAAATGTAGGAGCAAGAAATTGGACATGGCCTAGCAATTTGCAGAAATGTTGAGGTCAGATGTCCACAAGCTATGGAATTGTTTAAAATTTGCTCGGGTAGATAAATACATGTTTGGCAGAATTGCTTACACAATGATTTTTCAAGTTTCTCTATAGGAAAATGACAAAAAAAAAAAAAAAAGTTAGATGAGAGAGAAAGTTCCTGAGGGCCAGTGACAACATGAACACTATGGAATATATCCATGCATAAAGATAATTTATTTGACACTACATAATCACTTCCTTTACTCCCCCTATTCATGGGGAAAAAATTCTAATCAGCCATTTTTAAGCAATCCTAAGTACTTCTTTCAAGAATTAAAATTTTTCAATCATCTTTCTAGTTTTATTTAATGTTTTTTAATTTGAAAATTCTGGCTAGGTGTGGTGACTCATGCCTGTAATCTCAGCACTTTGGGAAGCCAAGGTGGGCAGATCACTTGAAGCCAGGAGTTCCAGACCAGCCTGGTGAGGACTAAACTCTTATTTTTTTTATCTTGTCCAAATTCCTATCTAAAGGGTCTGGGAAGCCATGCCCTACAAACCATAAATTCTCATCAGATGGGTTTTATTTAATCCTATATATTGTGACTTACTTGCCAACCTGACTCTGGCATAACATTACGAGACAAGGAAGAAAATCACAATATTTTATCCCAAAATGTATTTCTTTGCCATATCTTGCAATGTCCCTGCAAAGCTGTCCTTTGTGGGGGAAAATTTGCATTTGTAAAGAATTCCTGTTAACATAGCAAGATCTTTTTCTTCCAGGCCCTCCCAATCCTAAAGAGATTAACTAAAAGTCTAATACCTTTAAAAAATCAGAATAGCAAATATTTGTCATTTATTGTCTCTAAGGATAGCCACTATAAGACTTCAAAAGAACTGTGGTTTCCACAATCTTTTAATTTAACCTGAACATTCCCCTTCTATGGTTCCCAGGTATTTAGACAAACTCAACCAATTGAAAACAAAAAATGTTTAAATTTACCTATAGCATGGGAGCCTCCACGCTTTGAGTGGTCCTGCCTTTCTGGACCAAACCAATGTACTTCTTAAATGTATTTGATTGATGTCTCATGCCTCGCTAAAATGTGTAAAACCAAGCTGTGCCCCAACCACCTTGGACACATGCTCTCAGGACATCCTGAGGGCTATTTCACAGGCCATGGTCACTCAGATTTGGCTCAGAATAAATCTCTTCAAATATTTTACAGAGTTTGACTCTTTTTGTTGACACTGGCCATCATGGCAAAACCCTGTCTCTACTAAAAATACAAAAATTAGCTGGGCATAGTGGTGCACGCCTGTAATCCCAGCTACTCAGGAGGCTGAGGCAGGAGAATTGCTTGAACCTGGGAGGTGGAGGTTGCAGTGAGCTGAAATCAAGACACTGCACTCTAGCCTGGGCAACAGAGTAAGTGAGACTCCGTCTCCAAAAACAAAACAAAACAAAATACAACGACAAAAAAAAATTCTTTGACTTTTGCTCATTATATAAGACTCAATTAGTTTCTACTGGTTGTGACATTTGTCTTTCACCCTATAAATCCTACTTAAAGAAGGGTTGCCTATAAGCTTTGATGGCAAGTTACTTTGTAGGGAAGTGAGGAGGCTGTGGCAAAAAATATTCCATGCTGGAAACTGAGAATCTGAGAATAGAAAATGTTCCCATGTATTAAGCATTGTGATTTTAAAGAGAATCTCATGTTGCACAATAGGTATCTTGAACTGATTTTTCCTATGTAATTGAAATTTTATACCTTTTGGCCAATATCTCTTCAACCTCTCACCTCTCTCAGCCCCTGGTAACTACCATTGTACTCTTTTCTTCTATGAATTCAACTTTTTTAGATTTCACATATAAGTGAGGTCACACAGTATTTGTCCTTCTGTGCCTGGCCCACCTCACAACATTGTGACTATAGTGCATACCAATTTTTTATGTTTTGAAAATCACAAGGAAAGTAGATTTTAAGTATCTTCACCACAAAAAAATAAGTATTTATGGTAATGCTTGCATTTATTGGCTTGATCAACTCATTCGACAATGTATACATATTTTAAAACATCATGTGGTATGCAATAAACATAAACAATTTTTTGTCAATTAAAAAATAGAAATGTCAGTTGGTTTTGTTACAGGAAAGGGGTCCTGATGCAGACCCCAAGAGAGAGTTCTTGGATCTTGAGCAAGAAAGAATTCAGGGCGAGTCCATAGAGTAAAGTGAAAGCAAGTTTATTAAGAAAGTAGATAAATAAAAGAATGGCTATTCTATAGGCAGAGCAGCCCCCCAAGGGCTGCTAGTTGCCCGTTTTTATGCTTATTTCTTGATGATATGCTAAACAAGGGGTGAATATTCATGCCTCCCCTTTTTAGACCATATAGGGTAACTTCCTGATGTTGCCATGGCATTTGTAAACTGTTATGGTGCAGATGGGAATGTAGCAATGAAGATAATCAAAGGTCACTCTCGTGGCCATCTTAGTTATGGTGGGTGTTAACTGGCTTCTTTACTGCAAACTGTTTTATCAGTAAGGTCTTTATGACTTGTCTTTTGTGCTGATCTCCTATCTCATCCTGTGACTTAGAATGCCTTAACCATCTGGGAATGCAGCCCAGTAAGTCTCAGCCTAATTTTACTCAACTCCTATTCGAGAAGAAGTTGCTCTGGTTCACATGCTTGACATTCCTCCTTCCCCCTTTTATAATAGAACCCTTAATCTTATGGATTTCAGAGGAATGAAGATCCATCTTCTAACTTCTTCAGGCTGAATAGGGGCAATCATATTTCTACCTAACTATGATGTCCTCTTGTGTTCAGGGTAGAGAGGAACTCAGTCAGAAAGCATCATTATGGTAAGGGCCATTCATGACTCTTGAGTTCTGACAACAGGTGATATCTGGAAGATTAATAAGTGTTCAATTTAAGACAATATTCAGGAAGCTAATTTTGCGTTCCTACCCAAAGAGTACAACAGCAATATATTCCACAACAGTAAAACAAAATAAGTAAAATTATTCCAAGTAAACTAAATAAGAAGGCTTTCCATGAACTGGGCAACTGTTGGACCAAGCTTATATGAGGTTGCTAGCTGATTGCAATGTGCTCAAGATTAGAATACTGATCCAGATTTTTACATTACCCATCCCTCTTGTTTCTTCTGAGCAGTAGTCAGAGATCACTGGTTAGTTCACAGGAACAAACTTTCGGTCTAAATTGCAGAAACAAACTTAAAAACAACTGATGAGACTAGAATTTGATAACAAGTGTACCATAGTTCTTGAAACATTTCTTTCCAGTTTCCCATTTTTATTAAAGACAAATCATGGTAAGACTGATATGCTTTATTATACTTGGCTGATTATTTGTATCAAGTGCAGCAAGAATAATTCTTTTGTACATAAGCTCTTTGTAAATTGGCTTTGATGGAACTCTGTTCCATAGAAGGACTCTCAGATATGTCTTTTTTAAAGCCAAGCCTTGCTATGGGTTTGTACCCTCAAATACCTATGAGTTGAGTTAATTCCTCTTCTCTTTGGGTCCCAAAATAACTTGGGGTTCCTGGACCTGTTAGAAAGTGACATTCTTTGCTTACCACAGTCAGAAACCTTGCACAGGGACTGTGAGGAAAAGGTCTGAGGCCAGTTCCCCAAGAGACTTTTATTGGCTTTACAAGTCAAGTTTGATTCCTTAAAGGAAAACACACCATTCTAGTCAAAGCCTTGGTAAAATAACCAATTTCTCCAATTGTGTCCTGTTGCAAAAGAAAACAGATTCTTATTGCACTTATGCAAATAACTATATTGCTGTAAATTAAGAATACTCACAAACAGTTTCCAAATTTTGGAAAAATCAAGCAGAGAGAAACAAATATGTTCCAAATGTTATTCACAGCAATATACTGTACTCAATTGCTACACACTGTAAATAGCTGAAAAGAAAAGTTTCCTTGACTCTGAAAAACAAATCAAAGGATCAGCGACATTTTAAGCACAGCTAAAAAAGATTAGACTTCTTCAGTTTAGCCCACATAGCTAACTTCTGTTTGACATTTATGAACATTTCAACTCTCTATAAGAGTTCTGAAAGTTTTTTCTTCTATTCTGTTACAATTTCCAAAGTTATTGGACACTTGTATTAAGTGCCCCTATTAAAGTCCTATAGCTGATTATAAACCACCTCCTAAAGAGGATTAAAACAATACAACAATTGTCTGTGGATGACAAAACATCTTAGGACAGCCAGTCAAAAACAAGATTGACAAAGAAATTTGGTTATCTCTATGGCATACAACAATTTTATTTAACAAACATAATTATTAATAAGATTATAATAATATATTATATATAATCATAACAAGTTATATCAAAATTGTAGGAGCACTCCATAATTTTGGAACATGTAGCAATAACATATTTATACAAATACATCCCAAAGAAAACCAAACACCATTTCATATTGATAATGCTTCCTGTATACTTTTTGTACCAAATAAGCCAAATTTCACCTTTACATTAGTGTACTATTAATGTTAAACTCAATTCTTTTTTTTTTTTTTTTTTTGAGACAGAATCTCACCCTATTGCCCAGGCTGGAGTGCAGTGGTATGATCTTGGCTCACTGCAACCTCGTCTCCTTGGTTCAAGCAATCCTCTTGCCTCAGCCTCCCAAGTAGCTGGGATTACTGGTGCCTGCCACCATGCCCAGCTAATTTTTGTATTTTTAGTAGAGACAGGCTTTCACTATGTTGACCAGGCTGGTCTTGAACTCCTGACCCCAGGCGATCCACCTGTCTCAGCCTCCCAAAGTGCTGGGATTATAGGCGTGAGCCACTGAGCCCAGCCAGTGTTAAAAACAATTATTACTAAAACCTTATAGACATATCTACCCAATTTCAATGTTTGACCATAAGGTAAGATTCTTATAAACCTCTTATTAACTCTTTACAATTTTTGTGAAAGAGCAGATCATAAGCAGATTTTCCTTAAAGAAAAACCAGTTGTGCTTTTATTCCGATGTTTAATTTACAGAAAAACTGAATAATACTCTTAACTTCAGCCAATATGTTCACACACAGAATCTCTTACAATTAATTTTTCACAAACCTTCCACAACTGTCTAAACCTTTAGATATTTCCTATTTCACCTAAAACAATCCTTTAACCCTTTCGTCTAGGTAAGAAAAATCCACATTCCCATGTCTTTTTATAATCTTCTACCAAAAGTATATTCTATTTTCCTTACACACCTTGCACATAAAACTATTCTTCAGTAGTTTCAGTTACATGTTACAATGTTAACTCTTAGCGACTTTTTTTTTGGTGAAAACCTTGTTAAATAACAATTTTAATGATGTACTAGGTGTGGAGCCTAGCCTAGTATACACCAGCCAGAGTGCAGATAAGGGCTGACTCCAGCACACCTCGGGGGCATGGCTAACTCCACATGTCCCCAGCCTTATCTAGAATCTATTGCTCCAAAGCAGGTAAATTGAACAATTTCCAAAAGTCAAAGAAGCAGTTTATGACCTTAAAGCATTTAGGATACTTAATATCTGATCTGCATAATTTAGACCAAAGATTTATTTCCCAAAGATTATTTAAGTCACGTGAACTAAAAGGCATTATACTTTTTATTTTTGTGACAAAATGTTTGATTTAAGCTCTTATTATTTTTAAACCAATTAATTAAAGCTCTTTTATGTTACACACACATAATACATAGAAATACTTAGACAGACAGAAGATAAAGTATCATTCCCTAAGCCGGGAATTGAACCCTGAACCAGGGCCACTGTTGTGATGGTGGAGACCAAGAGAAACTACTGCCAAATGGTTACAAGGTCAAGCTCCCAAGGACATGACAACCAGTTTGCTGGGCCATCTTTAAAACAGGCTTACAGGTGTTCTAAGCCCATGTTCTATCCTAAGGTACTCCCTTCCATTATAGAACATAGAAAGACACACAAAACACACCAAATTCACCATAGCTCAAGACTAGCCTCACAAATCCTTCTTCCGATTAATTAAAACTCTACAGAGGAGATAAACAGTGGTTTTTTACCATTCAACCAGTTTGCACAGAGAGAGAGAGAGAGAGAAAGGAAAGCATTGCCTGAGGCAGGGAGGGTGAGGAAGGAGAGGTGCTCAGGGAGGCCAGAGAAAGACCTGCCCATGGCAGCCCCACTGAGAATTTCAGGTGGCTGCTTTTCAATAGTGAAGGGATCTTTTCCAGCAGTCCCATCAGCTCTCAAATTTCCCATTTTAGGGAGGAAAAAGTTCCTCATGTCCCAAGATGCTGTACATGCCTAATCCTGTCACCCACAGCCATCTGCAAAGAGTGTAAGGCAGATTATTCCAAAAATAATAGCAGTTAACATCCCGTAGTGCCAAACCTGTTCTTAGCCGAGAGGGACTTTACTGAGAGGGCCTTAACTGAGAGGGACTTTACTAAGAGGGGCCTCCAACTCCCTAAATCTATAAGGGATGCTAACCCTCCTAAGCTGGACCTCTAACCCAAGGTCAGTCAAGCATCCTTGCCTTTTATTGAGAGGAGCCTTTAACCATCTCTGTCTTAGGAAAGACTCTAACTCCCCTAAGTTGGGCCTCTAACCCAATTCCATTCTTTAACTGGGTACCCCACCACTTACCTAATGTCATCCAATTAGTGCCACAACCTATTTCCTTTGGGTCAGGGGTCTCCTCAGTATTGTCTCTTCAGGGTTTGCCAGAAAGGTATTACCGAACCCCATCACTTACCCAAAGTTAGCATTTGGATTGGGGGTTTCCTCATTATAGTCGCTTCTGTGGTCACCAGAAAGATGTGACAGGACCTCACTACTTACCCAAAAGTAGCCTTTGGATGGGGGGGTTTCCTCACTATAGTCCCTTCTGTGGTCACCAGAAAGATGTTACAGGAAAGGAGTCCCCCGATCCAGACCCCAAGAGACGGTTCTTGGATCTCACGAGAGAAAGAATTCAGGGTGAGTCCATAGAGTAAAGTGAAAGCAAATATATTAAGAAAGTAGAAAAATAAAAGAACGTCTACTCCATAGACAGAGCAGCCCTGAGGGCTGCTGGTTGCCCATTTTTATGGTTATTTCTTGATGATATGCTAAACAAGGGGTGGATTATTCATGCCTCACCCTTTTAGGCCATGTAGGGTAACTTCCTGATGTTGTCATGGTGTTTGTAAACTGTCATGGCACTGATGGGAGTGTAGCAATCAGGAAGACCAGAGGTCAATCCTGTGGCCATCTTGGTTTTGGTAGGTTTTAGCCTGCTTCTTTACTGCAATCTATTTTTATCAGTAAGGTCTTTATGACCTGTACCTTGTGCTGATCTCCTGTCTCATCCTTTGACTTAGAATGCCTTAACCATCTGGGAATGCAGCCCAGTAGGTCTCAGCCTCATTATACCCAGCTTCTATTCAAAATGGAGTTGTTCTGGTTCACCTGCCTCTGACAGTTTCTTCTGTGAAATTAATTGATTAACAACAGCAGAAGAGGAATGATAAGACTCACATTACAGTCGTCTCCTCTATAGATTTCTTCTTTTCCTATTAATGACTTCAACCACTAAAAATTGACAAATAAATTTAGAATCCTAGTGTAAGTTGGCTTTGGAAATTTTTCTCTCCTTGATCTACAGTCAATAATTGAGTAATAAACATTCAATGATCCCAGTGGTATATTAATATTCTAGTGTTCAGAATTAAACAAAACATTTAACTATGATGGTGGAAAAATTGAGTTACACTTCATGTAGATTAATTTAAGTGGCTTATCAAATCTATGTTTTGTATGGTCTATTTATCTCAGCCTGGAGGATGGCTAAAGTTCGCACCATTTTATCCAGTCTTCAGATAATGGCTATTAGTCTCCCCTGGTTGCCATAACAGGAAACCACAGACTGGATACTTGAATAATATAAATTTATTTTTTTCACAGTTCTGGAGACTTTAAGACCAAGATCAAGATGCTGGCAAGGTTGGTTTCTGGTGAGGACTTTCTTCCTGGCTTTCTTTTTTTTTTTTTCTTTTCTTTTCTTTTCTTTTCTTCTTTTTTCTTTTTTTTTTGACAGGGTCTTGCTCTGTCGCCCAAGCTGGAGTGCAATGGCACAATCTCGGCTCACTGCTACCTCCACCTCCTGGGTTCAAGTGATTCTCCTGTCTCAGCCTTCCTAGAAGCTAGGATTACAAGCGTGTTCTAACACACCCAGCTAATTTTTGTACTTTTTGTAGAGATAGGGTTTACCAAGTTGGCCAGGCTGATCTTGAACATCTGACCTCAAGTGATCTGCCTGCCTTGGCTTCCCAAAGTGCTGGGATTACAGGCGTGAGCCACTGTGCCCAGCCCAGATGGCTGCTTTCTTACTGTGTCCTCACATAATCTTTCCTCTGTGTGAGTGTAGAGAGAGATTTCTGGTGTCTCTTCCTCCTCTTATAAGGACATCGGTCCTACTGGATTGGGGATCCATCCTTAACCTTCATCGCCTCCTTAAAGGCACTAGTTCTAAATACAGTACGGTAGGAATTAGGGCTTCAACATATAAATTTTGAAGTAACACAATTCAGTTCATAACATGCTGTTCCCCTCTTTCTCAAAAGAAAAACATGAGGAGAAAACAAATCTGTATCCTTCATGAATAAGAAGGCCAGAGACTTTCAAAATATATCTGTAATATGGGCAGCATTATCATGTTCATTAATTGTCATGTTACAAATCACAAAGCAGGATTTTAGTAATGTGGAACATGGGACAAAGCATTTTGATGGAAATAGTCCAATGGCCAGGAAAAGACAGTACACCATTTGCAGGTACGAAAGGTCTCATGGGGAACAAGTAGATGAAAGATGAAATGAGGAACAGAGATACAAAAATGGGCTATACAAACTGTATTTGTCCCATTCCTGCTCTTTTGACATAAGCCACCTGCCTTTCTACTATTTGGCTAACATGCAGGAAGCAAATTCCTAGGAGTACCCTTCTATGATTTAGTGTCACTGTCTTGATCCCTTTTTTATGTCATTGTTCCTTCTCAGTCTCAGTCTCTGACATTTGGTCCTAATAATTATTCCTCTAATTCCTTAGACATGATGATGGAAACGTCCATTAAACATAACATTAAAAATAATAATATGCTTATCTAAGTATAAATATTGATACAATTATTTCAAGTACTTATCTACAAAAACATCAACTGACAGTTCCTGAGAACTTACAGTGTGTTAAGTGCTTTATACTTTATTGTATTACTCTGTTCTCACACTGCTAATAAAGACATACCCCAGACTGGGTAATTTATAAAGAAAAGAGGTTTAACTGACTCACAGTTCACATGGCTGGGAAGGCCTCACAATCATGGCAGAATGCAAAGGGGAAGCAAGGGATGTCTTACATGGTGTGAGGCAAGAGTGCTTGGGCAAGGGAACTCCCGTTTATAAAACCATCAGATCTCGTGATGCTTATTTACTCCCATGAGAACAGTATGAGAGGAACCACGCCCACAATTCAATTATCTCCACCTGGCCCCACCCTTGACACGTGGGGATTATTACAATTCAAGGTGAGATTTGGGTGGGGACACAGCCAGACCATATTACTCATTTTTTAATTGTATTCTCAAAACAACTTTCCAAAATACATTATTTATTACATCCACACTTTCCCAGTATTGAACCTAGAACCTTTTCATTTAGCCAACATCTCTTCCTAGCTTGTCACCTATGCTTTAGAATATAACTCAAGATATAAAACTATATTCGAATATAATAACTTAGGATACAATATTACAGGAACACAGAATGGAGGATTGCATTAAGTTGAGCCCCCATGACATAATAGCACCACAGCAAGTGGCTAGTTCTGTGGTAAGCATCCATCAGACCTGCTTGTTTGGTGCTGGGGTGGATTTTTTACTTGATAATGAGGTTATTATTTCATAGAGCATAGCAAAAAATACATGAGTGCTTCTTTGGATCTGTCATCTTCCCAAAGGGCCCCTCTAACCTGTATAGCGTGGTTTGCTCATCTGTCTTATTGCTACTGAACATCAAGGGCTCCCTTTTTCCCAAATACCCAGGAATTTTACTGGCAAACATAACTGTTTAGAATGAAAGAACATAGAAGTAATTGTGCTTTCAACTTCTTAATTTTTTGAATATATGTCATTACTCCTTTAATGTAGCTTAGATAAGATTATCTTAAAGTTGATCCAATTAAATATAATCTACAAGTCCTTTTAAGCAACGATTATATTAAATTATATTTATGTATCATAAGTATTTTGCATGAATGTCTCATATGTACCTGGCATCATAATAAAATGAGTATACTAACAGCAATTAATATTTGCTACCTCCATTTAAAGGTGCAGAAACTAAGGTACAGAGAGGTTAAATATCTTTTGCAGAGCTATGGACCTTATAATTGGTAGACAGAGCTAGGGTTTGAAGCCATGGTTGGCTGAGACTACAATTCTGATGTGTTTTGCCATTAGTCTGTGATTTCTCAAATGATTTTGACTTTTCTAAGTTATTAAATATGACCACAGGTGACCACAGCCACTACAGTTAGTTTCTATTCTAGTCTATATAAAGATTTATTTGCTCTTCTTACCATTTCCTTCATTTTCCAATAACATGTCTCAATTTCTTTATATGTTTATGATTTAAGTAAAAATGTTGCCTTCTTTGAATATTTTTTTATCTTGAATTAAAGAAACTCCAGAGAAACATTCAGATTAAAATTTTCTTGAGACATTTTAAAGAAAAAATAAAAGGTACAGATTTTCGTTTGCATTTTTTAAGTTTGAAGGCACTTTCCGCTTTTGCAGGTTAGGGATTTGGTTTAAACCCTTGGCCCTGCTATTCATCCCTGGCTTGTGTATGACCTAAGAATCACTATGCAAATATCACAAATAGGCATGTTTGGGTGTTTTTTGAGAGTATGTTTTCTGATCTGTGGACTTCATTTCTGTGTTTCCAAATGAATGCATTTTTATATGAGTATTTGCAAGTCTTTCCCCCGCTCTGCCCCAGAGAAGATTTCATTTCCAATGGGATCTGTAATGGCATAAGGAAGGCTCCTGATTTTTAAGAGACTTAAAATCCTGCTTCAAGATAATTTAAACTTAACCCTTCTATTTTTGCAATATTCGATTATCCCCAGGTCCCTCTGCCCACTTATTTTCTGACTTAAATCATAAGTGCTCTCAGAGCCAATTTTCAAAAAATTTTACTTTGAAATTTTTATTTGATCAGCAGCCTCAAGATCTGAAGGGGATTACATTTTTCCCCCTTTCTTGTTTCTCAAACTAGCATAAATAATCCTCTTTGTGATAATACCCTGTGTCCCAGAGCACTTGTTTATCATAAGAGGACTCTTGTTTCCATGGACTAATGAACTCAGAAGCTTGGCTGACTTTCTGATGCAAATGTCAGACAGGAACCATGTCTTTGCTTTTCCAGCCAAATTGCTTCGGTTTTACAACACGATGCTTGATTTATAGGAGTTTTTGAAATATTGAAATTGCCCCCTGTACTAAAAGAAATGCAATGTGTAGGCATTTTATTATAGAAACATTAATAAGAATAATTTATAGGGGAAATGGGTTGCAGGGTTTTGGAAAATACTCAACTCTTTGAGCAAAATATGGCAGTGTCAATGAACAAAACTGACATTCTAGAGGGAAGTGTATGTATTGAGGAACAACCAGAGCCAACCTCAAGAGAATGTCATAATTTCTCAGTTTGGATTAAATAACCCTTATAGAAACAGAAAAAAGGGGAACATAAGACATCAATTCGTTTTTGTTTTCTCTAGTATGCTTCTTTATTTTTTATTGATAAATGATCCAAAGTGACCATCAACCATGTGCTCACTCAAAAATAGGTTTTCTATTTTAGTCAGGCATTTAACTAGGAACCATAGATGTTCCTATATAAGCACTGGGGAGGATGGTGAGAGAGACTAATTTATTGTACATATTCAACATGCCAAAAACAGGGACAGACAGCTTACATGTCTTTTTAAAGCTCATTCCTTTTGTATAACATGAAAACTGGGTGTTAGTGTCTGCATGTCATTGCTTTGGACACCAGAAGTGAGAGAGATAAAGGACATGCCTAACATCTCACAGTTAGTAAACTTTGGGTGAAATATGCAATTCAGAGACCATGTTGATAAGGACAGAGCAGAGTAAAACAATAGGCTGGTTTGAAAACCTTCATTTTATAGTGTTAAAATATAAGAAAACGCTGACTAAATCCATTTAGTAAAAAAAAATATATGTGTGTGTGTGTGTGTACGTATATGTGTGTGTGTGTGTGTGTGTGTGTGTGTGTGTGTGTGTATTTTTCCCCCAAATGTACGGCATCATTTGTGCTACAATTGGTATGTTGCTGTTGTGGGGATGGAAAGTGGGTTCTGGCAAGATGATCTGCATGCCTCTTCAGAGTAGTTTTTATAATGTTTTTATGTAAGAATTCAATGATTTTATCACCACTTGGAGGTCAGAGAGAACCTTTCAAGATGCATTAAACAGGGACCGTGGTTAACAACAGACACATGACATAAAACTTAAAATAGGAGACGGAGAGTAGAGAAAAAAGTAGAGACACAACAGAACACAGAAAACTGGCCAACTGAGGCACTGGAGAAGAAAATGTTGATTAAATCCAATGCCCTGGAGATATAGACTGCTTCTGGATAGTGTTATTCATTTGTGTTTGATTATTTTGGGGGATCATTAGTTTTTGAACACCTGGCAGATACCAGCCTTTGTTCTGGACAGTGAAGAGACAGAATTCCATGGCACAAGTTGCTTACAGCCTAGGAGGCGCAACAACCAAAGAGACACGTGATGGTGCCAAGATGGGGATAATCCGGAGTCACCCTGGGAGAACAGAGGGCCACTAGCCCATACATAAAATGTCAGGAAAAGCTTTCCAAGGGAAAGACAGTTAAACTAGGCTGAGATTAGAGGTGTAAGGAAGAGTTAGGTAAAGAAAGGGAGATTTGGTGGGGACAGAAAGTATTTCAAACACATTCTTTGATGCACAGTATCCCATAAGTGGGAGTGAAATGGAACAGTCTAGGAGATGTAAGCAGTTTGGAATTCCTGGAATGTAGAATGAGAAGGCACAGCAAACAGGGTAGGACTAAAAAGGCCAGCAGAAGCTATCCATACTTTCATTAAAAAAAAAAAACACCATCACCATTATTATGTTACTCATCTATTTACTGTTCACAAACATTTATTATATGGCAGGTACTCTGCCATTTAATGTGAGTTTTTTATAATGGAAAATACTATTTTATATGTAAGAGCAATGTTTTATTTATCTTTATATTCTTCATGATACCCTGAAAATTGCACAGTGCATAGAAGTTGTTATTATATACATATATGTGTGTGTATATATATATATATATATATATATATATATATGATACTTGTTAAATTATCCGGATGTGATAATGAAGTGTAAATATCAGCTAAGGATCAGAAAAGAGTTTTTTTAAATCTATGAAGAAATTTAGAAAATGATTTAATTTACTACAGCGTCAAAAAGAATAAATTAGGAATAATTTTAACAAACAAGTATATTGAAAAATGTAAAATGTCATTGAAAGAAATTTAAAATGGCTTAAATAAATGGAAAGACAGTTTGTATTTATGGAGTAGAGGATTTAATATTGTTAAAATGGCAGTACGCCTAAAATTAATCTACAGATCCAAAGCAATCCCTGCGAAAACCCTAACTGCCTTTTCTGGTAAAAAGTGACCAACAGCTCCTAAAGTTCATATGGAAATGCAGAGTACTCAGAATAGCTAAAACAATTGTATAAAAGTAAAAGCAAGTTGGATGACTAACACTTGTCAATTTCAAAATTGTCTACAAAGCTATAGTAAGCAATACGGTGAGGTCCTGGCATAAGAAAAGCCATATAGAACAGTGGAAAAGACTTGAGAGTCCAGATATAAACTCAGGCATTCATGGTCAGTTGATTTTTGATATGAGAATCAACACAATTCAATGGGGAAAAGAATAGTCTTTTCAAGAAAGTTCTGGAACAAGTGGCTATCTATACATAAAAGAATGAAATTGGACTTCCTCCTCACACCATATAAAAAAATTAATGCACAATGGATCAAAGGCCTAAATGTAAAAGCTAAAACAATAAAACTCCTAGAAGAAAATAGAGGAGTAAACCTTTGTAACCTTGATTTAGGCAATAGTTTCTTAAATATTATACCCAAAACGAAAATAGATAAATTAGACTACATTAAATTTTTAAAAACTTTTGAGCTTCAAAGGATACAGCAAAGAAAGTTAAAAGACAACCTACATATGGGTAAAAATATTTGAAAAAAGTTTTATAGTCAGGTAATAAAATGTGTTGGTGAGGATACTGGGAAATCAGAACTCATGTACACTGTACACTGTAAAATAGTGTGCAGTTTTACAGTGCATGCTATTTGAACAGTTTGGCAATTCCTCAAACAGTTAAACACATTGTTACTATATGTCTCAGCTATTCCATGCCGAGTATGTGTGTGTACATATATTGGTACACACACACACACACACACATACACACACACCCCAACTTTTACATAAACATTTATAGAAGTATTATTCATATTAAGGAGAACATGAAAACAGTCTAAATGTTCATCAACTGTTGACTAGAGAAATAAAATGCAGCATATCCATATAATGATATAGCATTTGGCCATAAAAAGGAATAAAGTACTGACATATGCTACCACATGAATACACTTGAAATTGTTCTACTAAATAAGCCAATATAAAAGGCTACACATTACATGATTCCATTTATAAGAAATGTCAGAATAGCAAAATCTATACAGATGGAAAATAAATTAGTAAAAACAAAGCAAAAAAATGAGGATAATTTGGAAGTCTCTTATTTCTGTCTTCTGCAATTAAGGGCTGACTTATTCCAAAGAGGCATTATGCAGTCCATGGGACTCCTGATATTTTTTTTTTACCAAGTTTCACTGAGTAATAGAATTTTAATTTTTATTTTTATACAAATGTAGTAATAGAATATATTTTTTAATAGAGGAAGGGTTCAACAAAGGAATGTGGCGAGGACCCAGCAAAATCATAATGAGACTCTGCTTGCTGCATTTGAAGACAACCTCATCCCATCCCGCCCCAAGGTAGAAATCCCTAGGATGAAACAGAAACTATTCTTTTTTGTAAATTGCATAAATGGCCATCATACTTTGCAATACTTTCCATCAAACAGTGGGTTTAATTTTCTCATGTCTTGTATCTGTGCTCACCTTTGATTCGTAGAATGTGGTGAATATGATGTTATGCCTGTTCTGAGCCTATGCCACAAGAGGTATTGCAATTTCCAATGCCATGCCCTTAGAACTGGAAAAACACCATGTGAACAATCCTGGACTAGCCTGCTGGAGCAGGAGGGAACAGGTGGACAGAGGATCTGGTCATAACATCCATGCCAGAGAAGTTATCCTGACCCGCAAGCCCAAGGGACCCCACATCTTCTGGCAAGCACCTGAGCAGAGATCAGCTGAACCTGTTCCTTATTTTGCTGCAATACAGCCCAAGATAGTCAGATTTTAAATATCTGACTCCAAATTGACCTACTGTGTTAGAAAAACTTTTTTAGAAATCTCAGTTTTGAAGTATCTATTCTTGAGTTTGATTGTGTACATTTGACCTAGCTGAAATTTTATTATCTGTTTTCTTCAGTGCGAGCTAGAAGATTCCACTCTTACCTTGATTTCAGAACAATGATCAGTCAATGCTATCTGTGTTGAGAGGTAAAGTGGTCTCTAGAATAAAATATGTGGCCATGGCAGGACAGTATGCTACTCCAACTCTTAGATATAACTGTTAGTTTTTTCTTACAAAACATGATAATTTATTTATTCAATTATTTAAAAGTGCTAACAAAAATGTGTAAACAGTAACAGCATATAAAACATTGGGTTTTTGAATGCATTGCCTCGGGGTCCAACCACTGGTGATTTTCATAACATAAAATTTAAACAACCTCTCCCCCACCCCAACACACACACACACACACACACACACACACACAGCCAAACACAGTGGTTCACAACTGGAATCTCAGCATTTTAGGAAGCTGAGGTGGGAAAATCACTTGAGCCCTGAGGTTTGAGACCAGCCTGGGCAACACAGTGAGACCCTGTGTCATTAATAATAATAATATTGAAATAAAATAAAAACCACAATTTAAAAAAATGAAACATACTCTTCACTTGCATTCTGAAATTAGGTGGTTAAACAAATAAAGAAAAGCTCTTTTTCTTAGCTTGGCCTTAAAACAAACTAGTTATTGTTTTCTGTCCATCAAAAATAACCATAAGCTTTGAATCACAGCACACCTCAAAACAAACCCCAGATAGTTACACAATTTAATAAAAGGAGATGAAAAACATAAATATATTTTTATCTGTAACATAAAGAGGAAGACATTCTTATAATCAAAGCAAAGGGAAAAATCACAAAAGTATGTATCAGATTTGGTGTTCTTAACACTTTTGTTTGTAAAAACATCATAACATTAAAATACAAGTAGAAACCTAGAAAAATATTAAGCGCAACCTATATAACACAATAAAAGCTAATGTCATTTATACGTAAGGTGTTCATACAAATTAAAAAAGAAAAATTCCTGTAATTTATCTATTTCCTAAATTAAAATTACTTATAATCAAAGAAATACAAACAATAATATTTTTTACACACCTATTTAACAAATGAACTTAAGACCTGTTTTCACTGGGTACTATTGCTAGGGGTTAGTTTTACAAAACTAAAAAAATGTATATTTTTCCTTGGAAAGTTTTCAGTTTTGTGTGAGAAAACTAGATCAATAGGTCCACTAGGTATAGTTGTGTAGGTTGTGCATAATATACAGGACTCAGTTTAAGATGCAAGTTGATTCTACCCATCAAGCCACAAGCCCTGGTATGAGCTTCATTTGCTAAAATTAGATATTAAAAATATTTTATATAGGCTAGGAGCATGTACACAGACACAAACATTAAAAACATAGGTATAATATAATAACTACTAAGGGGAATTTTCAGAGTTCTACGTGAGCACAGCCTGGTGTTCAAGAAAAGGATTCTGTGTGAAGGGGTCAGGAGCAGAGTCCTGAAAACTAAACCGAAATTGGTCCCATTAATAAATATGCATAGATAAAAGAGCTTTAGACAGGAAAGATTACATGGCACATTTAGCATGTCATGTAGTGTGTGAAGAGTGTCATCATGCTTGAGACTGGCAAAACAAAAATGAAAAATATAGGAAAGACTTCGTATAACCTACTAGGAGTCTGGCTGAGAGTAATGGAGAGCTATGGAAAGCTTTCTAGGCAGGAAAGTAATAAACAGATCTCAGTTTTAGGGAGATTAATCTGCCACACCAAGGAGAATAGATTGATGATGGTTTTGGAAAGAAATTAAAAGTCTGGCAAGATTTGCTGTTCCTCTATTTATCTCCTAACCAAGTTTTTCCAGTGCCTTGCTGTAGTACAGATCTGAGTTCTCTGTGACATCTGTCCACCCAATTATTCTTTCCCCAGCTCACTTATTGTGCAATCTGATAATTTCTGTCAATGATTTTTTACATCATAGCTCCAGGAACATATGGAGTCTGACTCAAATTGCTATTAGTCTTAACTCCAAATTCCTGGGAGAGGGAATATGGTTGGTTTAGACAGTGCAGGGTAGTTTGATCCAAATAGCCATGGTTGGGGTGGCTCAAAGCTGGCTGCCACCCCTCCTTATTCAGGGAATAAAGATGGAGCAATTCCTGCAAAAAGAGAGAGGTTTTGAGTCAATTTTGACACAGCCACACACCTAAAATATACTGTACTAAATCAGGGGAAGTCTGGTGTTATGGTCTGAATGTTTGTCCTCCCCTCAAATTCATGTGTTGAAACCTAATCACCAGTGTGAGGATATTGGGAGGTGGTGGGGCCTTTGGGAGGTGATTAAGTCATGAGGGTGGAGCCTTGGTGAATGAGATTAGTGCCCTTATAAAGGAGGCTGCACAGAGCTGTGTTGCCTTTTCCATCACATAAGGACACAGTGAGAAGATGCCATCTATGAATATGAAATCAGTCCTCACCAGACAGTGAATCTTCCAGCCCCTAGATCTTGGAATTCCCACCCTCTAGAACTGTGAGAAATAAATTTCTATTGTTTATAAGTTACCTAGTTTATGGTATTTTGTTATAGCAGCCTGAATGGACTCAGACAGCTGGTATTTTAAGGACAGGCAGGGGAAAGTAGGTCGTAAAAGAGAGATATGGGAAGGAATAGGAGAAACATCAGGAGAGTGGCTGAATTCGTTATGAAATACATGCAGGAAACCAATCTGAAATATATCAAGAATTTTTATATTGCTCACATTTGACCCAGCAATTTCCCTTCTAGTATTTCATATGCTCCAGATACATCAGAGATCTCACAGGAGTCTTGCTCCCTTCTCTGCGTTTCTTCTAGACTCATCTCCCAGCACTTCTGGATCTACTCTCTATGCCCCAGCACCATTTATATGCGTGAAAGTTCTCTACTTCTTGCTTGCGCTTTTTCACTTCTGAGTTATTTATATGCTTTTGTCATTGCCTAAAATATCTCCTTCTGAACTCTTTTCTATATGTGTACAGGACTTTTCTTCATCATGTGAAGAAGCCAACACAGACATCAACTCTTGCAGAAATATTTACATTCCAGGATGGGTGGAATATTCATCCTCTAAGACACTCTCCTTACTGCTCATTTCACTTCTGGGTACAGTAAATATCATTATTTTTTGGTTTTTTAATATATCTGTCTCATAATATTGTTCATTCTTAAAGGATAACAACCATATCTTGTCCATCTTCATAACCTTGAAGAATATTATAGTACTTTGTTAATAGATAACATTCAATAAATATTTGTGGAAGAAATTTAATGATTGGATAATTATAGTCAAATATATTGAGAAGAAACAGGGTAAAGATATTGATTAACTACTGTCATTGTTTAAAAAAATTGTCATGTTAATATGTGGGGACAAAGAGATTAGCTCCTCTATAGCTCTGGGAACTGTTATGTGCGTTGCTGTGAATATTTTTATTCAAGAGAAATGTCTAATTTTGTTTGACTGAAAAGATAAGCTTTTATCTTATAATCTTAAAAGTGAATGTGATTACCAAGCCTAGCTTCTGGATTAACAGGGTAAATTATTAGCAAGATTTTACTGAGTTAAAAGGCAAACATTAGGCAGTTAAAATTATAATACAGTAGTTTCTCATGTAAGGTCATCAACAAATTATTGGAAACTGCGACTTTAAGCGAAATGACTTACTATAGGCTACTTGATATAAGGAAAAGTTCCTACTACATATTTCTGGTCACAGAAACATTATCAAATTTCTAAATAAAGCCCCCAAATGCTTCTAATATTAAACATCAAAATAAATCTGAGCTATCCACACATTTAAGAAACATTAATTAAAACAGGTAAGATAGTTATTTACCCACTTATTCTCTATTCAGGTTCACAGATGTCTTGAGCCTCTCACTGTAGCTCAGGGCACCGGGCAGGGACCCACAGTGAACAGGAAGCCATTTCATCACAGGGCACACTCACACACACCCCTACCCCCGCTCAAACTGGGACACAAAAATTCACCTAATGTGCACATCTTTGGGATGTGGGCAGAAATGAGAGTACCTGGAGAAAACACACACAAACATGGGAAGAATATAGAAACTCCATAGAGGAAGTGGCCCCAGCCGTTTTTCTGATCGTTATAATAAAACAATGTTGAACGAAATAACATCATTTGAGGGCCTGCTGTAGTCCTATTCTGAATTTCTAATGGTGTTTTAAAGTGATTATTGATTGATTTGATTCTTATCTCACCTTATTAAGGATCTCAAGAATTGGCATATTGGCTGGGGGCAGTGGCTCATGCCTGTAATCCCAGCGCTTTGGGAGGCTGAGGTGGGCAGATCACCTGAGGTCAGGAGTTCGAGACCAACCTGGCTAACATGGTGAAACCCCATCTCCACCAAAAATACAGAAACTAGTCAGGCATGGTGGCATGTGCCTGTAATCCCAGCTACTCGGGAGGCTGAGGCACGAGAATCCCTTGAGCCTGGGAGGCGGAGGTTGCAATGAACTGAGATGGCGCCACTGCGCTCTAGCCTGGGTGACAGAGAGAGACTCCATAAAAAAAAAAAAAAAAAAAAGAATTGGCATGTTTATTCCCTTGGGTGTTTATTCTAGGGAAAACTGTTGAGTAGGCAATACCAGCATTTGGTGTCATCAATTACAGCGTCTCACGAAAGTCTTTCATGTACCCAATAGTCTCAAGCTCATTTCACATATTTTTAAAAGCTATTTTAAGAAAAAAATAATAATATACAATCACTTATAATCTCATGTAATTTTAAATCAATTTTTAGTGAGCATTAATCCTTCTTTCTGATTGTGGAATATATTCCTCCTTTTCCCCTCTCCTTTCTTCCTACTATCATTCGTTCCTTATTTCCTGTCTTTTAATTCTCTACCCTTACCTCCTGTCTTTCCCTCTTTCCTTTAAATTAAATAGATGAATATATTAAAGCGATATTACAATGAAAAAAGAGCCCTCTGGAACCTGTGAAATCACATCCAAACCTGATATTAAAATGTATGCTTCCCATCAAATACATGTTTAGTCACCTTAATATCAGTCTTCCTTATATGCAGACAGCCATGTGTCACTTAAAGATAGGGATACATTCTGAAAAATGCATTGTAAAGCAATTTCTTTGTTTGTCAACTTCACAGAGTGCGTTTACACAAACCTAGATGGTATAGCCTGCTACACACTTTGACTATGTGGTATAGACTATTGCTTCTAGGCTACAAACCAGTGCAACATGTACTGTACTGTACTGTAGGCAGTTGGAACACAAGGGTAGGTATTTGTCCATCTGAACATATCTAAACATAGAATAGATAGAGTAGAGATATGGTATTGTAATTTTATGGAACCACTGTAGTACATGTGGTTTGTCATTGACTGAAACATTGTTATATGGTGCATGGCTATTTCTTTAGGAGAGATTCCAGTACTGACAGTTTAAAAGGCCAAAACTTGTTTTGAGAAAACCTATATAGTTTTGGTTGTTGTGGCCTAGAAATTGTCTTGAAACTAAATAACATTTTAATTATCCCACGCCTTCAACTAACATAAGGTTGAGTCAAAGTTAATTAATAGATTGAAGGTTGTTTGCCTCAGGATAGCATTTAGAAGACATGTGTTAATTCCTTAGTTGAATTTCTGACTTGAAGCACAAAATAAATAATAAGCATTATTTCAAGAAAAGATACTTTTCTATCTTCCATTAAGCTTTGCAAAAAAGGTAAACTTATAAATAAGAATAAATAAGAAATAAGAACCTACAGAGTTTATTATTTCCAAGAGACATTTGCAGGTGGCTGACTTCTGTTTAAATTTAGGTGGTTTCAAAGAACAAATATAATGAAAGTGCTTAATGATTAGAACTTAAATACATTAGGATCCTCATTAAAATCTAGAATATCTGCTTGAAATTACCATTCAATGTAGATGCATCTCAATTAAACAGATTACGTGTATATTTCTTCACAAGTTATACTCTTCTGAGAAAAAAAACTACATATATGGCTTCAGAAGTATATCAGAAGGGCTTTGGACAAAATGACCTTCAGTTTCCATGAGTTTTGTGAATTGAAAATACGGTGTATCTCAAAGGGGAGCAGGCTTATATATTAGGACTGAAAAGCAACATTTATTTTGATATTGAGACTATTCCCTTCCCCTAAGAAAAACATTTTCAGAAGGCTCTTAAAATTGGATTGCTTTAAATGATAAGTAAAATTTATATATGTCTATATTTTGTATATATGCTTGTATATTTGCATATATACATATATACATATAGAATAATAAAGTTTCTTATAATAAATTATATGCTTGAAACTTTGAAATAAAGATGAATGAATCCAGTACCAGACTTTTTAATATATTCTTAGTTGAGAAAGAAGTGAATTTTCCTCGCTGCATCAATTTGTCACTTTTGTTGACAGGGTAGGTACAGTAAATTTCCATCCAGAGAGAATCAGTCAAATTTATACATAGTCTTTGTCATGACTCAAATAAGAGATTTTGGTGATTTCTACGTCTTCAACTAGAGCTGTGTTTTTGTTGACGTTAGAGTTGCAGTAATAAGGTAGGATAAGGATTGGAATAGATAATAAAAATGCTCCAGATGTAGTTAAGCTTAAAGGGAGATAGAAGGAAGGTAGGGCAAGATATCCGCCATGGTAATAAAAACTAGAGAAATGGCAGATCTTTGTATCTAGAAACCACACTGATAATAAGCCTGATAATAATCTTCAAGATAAATCACTTGTAAAGAGCAGTTGTGGAAGCTGTCACCTGGACTTGCGTTTATTGGCTTTTATCAGTGGTGCTGGGGTATGGGTAATAAATCTGGTTAATATAAATTCATAATAATGCATGTGAAGATTCTAATAAAATAACTATGTTTTCACTTGAGTGTTCAATTTACTCTACATTTTTTGAGTGTAAGTCTTATGAACTAAGAATATAAGGCCTAACTACCATGTGCTCCACTCTTTTCTATCCATTGCCAAATGATAAAACTCTCTCAGAAATTATGGATTTGACATGAGATGAGGTGTTAATTGGAGTTTGGAAACAAATTGAAAACCCCGATCCTATCTTTTGAAAGTTTACAATAATTATACTCTCTTACAAAAATCATCCTTTAACTGCTTTTCATGAAAATCTTGATCAGGACAGGATGTTCATGAGACCATCACATGAAACAAAATAAGCACATTTCCAGTTGGATTTGATCACCAGATTCTACCTACTGAAATCACACTGAGTCAAATAAGCATGTTAACCTGCATCTACATTTTGTTTCTTTATTTATAGAGGAAAGTGTTGGATTAAGTCATAAAATTGAACTCTATTTTACTTAAAGGCAGCTGGGTACAGTGTATAGAACAGATTTTATAGGTCTCATTTAAAATCGAATTGTGCCTATTTGGTGTGTGACTCTGGGCAGAGTTGCTTTACTTCCCTGATCCACAGTTTACTGTTTCTTGCATCTAGGATGAATGCATTTGCTGGTCTTCTTGCATTTGTGATAACATTTAATGTATGTTGTCTCTGTTAGTTGCATTTATCTATGGCATTATTTCCATATCATGGATGGATGTGTGTATGTATTTGTGTGTCTATGTATAAAATGCCAACTAATAATTTTTATTATCATTTTATGAGGTAATTAATTTAAACATTTATTCAGCATAGTAATTTGGGCAAACCAAAAGGGAAAACACCCTTTTGGTAGTCTGTTTAATATAACATCTTTCTTTTGACCTTTGATTCTCAAGTTTACCTGGAAAATTTACTGTAATGGCCTTAAGATAGCACTCTCCTGGAAATCAGAACTTTTTCAGCCTAAACACAATATTCAAGTTTGTTTTCATGTTTAATGTGTTTTTAAAAATATGAGTGACTGGCCAGGCATTGTGGTGTGGGCCTCTAGCCCCAGCTATCCAGGAGGCTGAGGCAGGAGGATAACTTGAGGCCAAAAGTTTGAGGGTACTGTCCACTATGATTGCACCCATGAATAGCCACTGCACTCAAGCTTGGACAACATAGCAAGACAACATCTCTATTTAAAAAAAATGGGTGACTGATAGCAGTCATTTGACCTTGCATACATCTATGAGTAGTTTCCCAGATCATCTAAAGCATTAATTCTTCAAAGGCAAACTTAACAGAAACACCCTCAAATAGTGATAGAATATCTAGATTTTCATTGTGGAATTAATATAACTTATTTTAGCAGCTACAATTATACGTCATTTATAAATAGCCTAGACTTCAGATAAAATTTTCTTTCTTAAACAAACAAAAAAGAAAAAATAAATTTTTGAAGTGGTAACTATGTGAATTCTATTGACATGTTTATATTTCAGGTGTGAATATTTAATTTTTACTACGGATCTATTATTTCCATTCTTAAATTTTTGTTTGGTTTTGTTTTGTTTTGTATTTTTTTCAGAGTCAGGGTCTCAGTCTGTCACCCAGGCTGAAAGGCAGTGATGCAATCCTAGCTCACTGTAATATTGAACTCCTGAACTCAACCAATCGTCCTGCCTCATCCTCTCCAGTAACTAGGACCACAGGTATGCACCACCTTGCCTAGCTAATTTTTCTGTTTTTCTGTAGAGACAGGGGTCTTGCTATGTTACCCAGGCTTGTTTCAAATTCCTGGGCTCAAGCAGTCTTCCTACCTTGGCCTCCCCAAATGCTGGAATTACAAGTGTGAGCCACTCCCTCTGGCCTTAAATTTTTCAATAGAATGACTTTTGTTTTTTTGGTAGTCACCTTGCTTAATAGTTTTGATTAGCAGTAGCTGAAAACGATGCCACAATTTTCATATTACTACATGAATAGGTCTGCCCATCTGACAAATGCATAATTTTTGAACATTTTTTGAAGGTCTGATGGAATCTAAACACTGATTTCTATTTCGTAGTTGGCTGAATAATGGCCCTGCCAAGATGCCTGCATCTTGATTCCCTGAACATGTACCTTATGGCAAAAGGGACCTTGCAGCTGTAATTAAGTTAGGAATTTTGAGACATGGAGATTGTCCTGGATTATCTGAATGGCCCAATAAAATCACAAGTGTCCTTTATAAAAGAAGGCAGGGGGAGATTGAACCATAGAAGATGAGAGGATGATGGAAACTGAGGTTGCAATAATGCACTTTAAGATGGAGAAAGGGGCACCAAGACAAGAAATAGAGGCCTAGAAGCTGGAAATGCAAGTCTAGAGGCTGGGAAAATCAAGACACAGATTTTCCCCTGGAGAATCCAGAAAGAACACAGCGCAGCCAACAAATCAAGACACAGATTATCCCCTGGAGAATCCAGAAAGAACACAGCCCAGGCAACACCTTCACTTTAGGCTTCTGACATCCAGAACTATAAGATAAACTTGTGCTCCTTTAAGTCAATAAATATGGGGTAATTTGTTAAAGTTTCAATAGGAAACTCACACACTACTGCTTTAAAAGAAGGGCTGAAATTATATATTTTGGTGTTTTTCTCTTCCTCTCCTAAATTAAATAATTAGTTGAACAAATTATCGACCTATATTCTGACAATTTTTAGAGAGGGCAAGTTAGGGATTTTAACCTTATAATGTTTGTGGAGTCTCTGATCTGCAAGAATGTGATGAAAAAGGGAGAGGGGATGGGGTGAGAACATCCCACTTAACCTGTAGTTACTTAAAGTAGAATTGCCTTAACAAATGAGATCGTCATCACCCTTCCCTTTACAAAAGTGACTGATGTCTTCAGCTGCTATTAATAAATGGTGCTGGCAATTCTACTGGGTTATTTGTTTCATGACCTTCCCAATCTTCACATTCTCTACATCTTAAAACTTTTCACTCATTCATGAACACTGCCTAATGCACCAGAACATTGCATTAGGTTGCTATCTGGCTCTCTAGATAAACATTAAAATAAAAGAGTCATTAGGAAGAGGTGAAAAAGATTACAGTAGAAAGAAAGGCCTTTTGTAAATTGCTTTCCAAGAGCTAGGCACCATTCCGGGAAAATGAAGGGCACTGTTCAATGGACTTTAACCTTCTCCTTTTGGTGGCATAAAGTCCTTCTTTAGGACATCAACTATGCAAGCCAAGGATGAATATTTTGCCAGAATTTTTGCATTAAAATTGTAATCACTTAATATTTTGAGGTTATCCAAAGATATTTGATTATATAGTGATGTTAAAATTTGCATTTTATGTTTATTATAATTAACAGAACAAGTCTGTCGAATATTTCTTTTGGAACTCATACAGCTACATTTTTTCCATATATTTGTGTCAATATAAGAAGAATTCCCATTTAGGAAAAGAAGTTGTTCTTTTATGAGTAAAACCTATGTTTTCAATACTATGACTCCTCGGAAAATAAATATTCCTTACAAGATAAGAGTGATAGAAATTTGGACATGAGAAACCAAACATTCCTTATACATCACCTACCCTCAATGAAATAAACAAAGAAAATAAGACTTGGAAGAAATATTTTTAAATGTGAAGTAAAGTGAAATATAAAGAGAGACATATAATATATATGATTAAATCATGCCATTAATGAATTATTAGAGCAGAGCCAAATTAGTTAAGTGTATGTGTAGGCTAAGCCCTTCTTTCTCTGATACATTAATCTATATGAAATCAGGTTTGGAAGAGCTTGCACATTTATTATATGCTACACAGGTGTGTGTACTACCCAACTCCTATTCTCCATTTGACACCATTGGTATGACACCATTTCATAAACTACAAGGAAATGGAATCCCTAAGGAGTACTTTGGTTAGAATTTCACAACTAGCACATGACAGAGATGAAATTAGAATCTGTCTTTTGATGCAAAAAGTATGCTCTTTTCTCAAGTAAGAGGTAGTCTAAAAAGCGAGTGTCAAAAGGGGAAAGGGAGTATTCCATTGAAATTCTTCTTTATGAAGTTAATGTGGAAGGGATAATATTTTGAGATTTGTCAGATTACTGTATGAGTCTTGGTTCCATGTATGTGTGTATCACAACTGGTGGGTCACCTGAGTTTCTCAATGAAAAAATCCATCCACCAAAAATTCCTTATCACAATCCCCTTTAAAAAAGGAGAAGTAATTACAATGGATCTATCAACCCAATGAAAATGAATCTATTACCATATGAAAAATCTGAAATTTACAAAAAACATAGAACTGATAGGTAAATTACATGTGCATTTTTTTTTTTTTTTTGCTATTTGGTATATGATATTTTCTGGGAGAAAATTCATGTAATTGTTATTTTGCAATAGCCAAAAAGATTATCACTGGCCTATGGAGACACTATATTGTATTAAACATATAAATATAATGTTAAGAAACATTTAAGTGTGCTAGTTGCCAGATAGAATTCTCAGATTTTTTATTTGTTATTTTTGTATAATGCATGCCAACACAGTCCTCACAGTTATTTATGCTGTTGGGTCTGTTATAATCCCTATTGTACAGATTGAGAAACTGAGCACACAGAGGTACAGTAACTTATACAAAGTCACCAACATAGTGGCTGTACCTGGGATTCAAATCCAGGTGTCTTGGCTCCAGAGATCTTTGTGTTAATATATGCTCAAATATATAATAATTTCTAATACAAGTTGAGTAGATTTTCTTAAGATATTAACAATTGTTTAAAAATGGAGAAATAGAAAAATGAAACTTCCTAAAGCTAAATTATGATGTGAGTTTTCAGCATAAGAGAGTCTGCTAAGGACTGAGTAGGTTAAATAAAAAAATGTCCATTTAGACACCTTCCTCATAACATTTCAGAAAATTGAAAAATATGTAAAAGATTCCAAAAAGATATGAACACAAACAACAAGCTGGTTACTTATAAAGAAATAAGAATTAGAGGCCAGGTGCATTGGCTCACGCCTGTAATCCAGTACTTCAGGAGGCCGAGATGGGCGGATCAACTGAGGTCAGGAGTTTGAGACCATCATGGCCAACATGGTGAAACCCTGTCTCTCCTAAAAATACAAAGGTTAATTGGGCAATTGGGCATGGTGGCGCACACCTGTAAGCCCAGCTACTCAGGAGACTAAGGCAGGAGAATCACTGGAACCCGGGAGGCGGAGGTTGCAATGAGCTGAGATCGTGCCTCTGCACTCCAGCCTGGGTGACAGAGCAAGACTCTGTCTCAAAAAAAAGAAAGAAGAAAGAAATAAGAATTAGAGTGGTATTTGACTTATCATCAGCAAATCCAAATGTGACAGTGGAAAAAAACAGTTATTTTAAGTTCTAAAGGAAAATACCATTCCTTGCCAAAATATCAAGGACAAGTGCAGGACAGACACATATTTGGATATGCACGGACTCATTAAGTCTACCACTCACCTCCTAAAGTGATTTTGTAGAGTGAACTCCAGCAAACTTAAGATGAAATACCAGAAAGAGAAGACATGATATTCAAAATATCACACAAAATGTGAGTGAAATTTAAAAGCTTGATGTTAACTGTGAAATTGTCTTAGAAAATAGAATAGAAAGTCAAAACGTTTTAAAAGGAACACATTAAAGGACACAATTGATTCACTGAAACATAGAAAATAATATAGAAATTACATTATTTTGGTCCAGGGTTTCTCAATCTGGGCACTATTGACATTTTGCATCTGATAATTCTTTTGTGTGAGAGGGTGTCTTGTGAATTACAGAATGTTTAGCAGCAACTGGCAAAATGATGAAATGCTTTACTTTTCTGACACAAATGTGCTCTATAAATATTTGTTAACTGAACTAAGTTTACAGAATAAAATGGGATGAATGTCAAAAACATTTATGTGAAAAGTAATGGTGAATAAAATATGAGCAAACATCAGGCATTACATTGCTTAGCTTACATCATAAAAATCAAGAGATAATGACAAGTTGATGGGTTATGACCTAGTATTAAAGTAAGTATGCAAATCTATGCAGATAATAAAGAGGGAAGCTAAAAATAAATTTGGTATACTTTGGGAGGAATGAGGAATAAGAAAAGCACAAAAGAAGGTATACTTTATGTATGTGTATGAAAAATAGCTTCCCATATTAATAAAAAACAGGAAGCAAACAAAACAAAACAGAAATGCAAATGAAAAAACCCAACATATTAGTGGGACAAGTCAATGGTTGTGAAAGTCATACCATTATCTTTTACTCTTATATCATTCAATTTATTATTTACTTTATTTAAAACAAAAATTATAGATTTTATGGAAGAAAATCTGAAAATAACAAAATGGTTGTGCTATGTAATTAATTGGTTGTCTCATGGGAAACCTAACATCCTCTTCAGGAACACTGAATGCTGAATGAGAAATTGATAGATGAGTTTTTAGGAGCTGCTCCCATAGAAAAGTCTAAGTTATGGCATGGTGCAATAAGGCTTACATTTTGGAAATATCATTTTCAGGGCTGAATAAATGATAGGTCAAAGAGGTACTATATCAGAGATACAAATTCAATTAGTAGGTTATTTTGGGTGAGAATAGCTGCGGATTTGAAGGGAAGGACAAACAGACCGATGAGAAACTTGGGAAACAGGAGGGCCAGGATGTGGGAACAAATTCTATATGAGAAGTAGAAAAAGAGAACGTCTAGCATGACCTCTGTGATCAACTGCGAGAGGTAATATAGGAAAAGAAAGAGTTTTATTTTAGGAGAAAGAAAAAATCAGTTTTTGAAAATGTTGACTATGAGGGCATGTTTTAGTTCATCTGCACTGCTATAACAAAACACCATCAGCTAGGTGGCTTATAAACAAAAGAAATATATTTCTTCCCATTTTGGAGGCTAGAAACTGCAAGATCAAGGCACTGGCAGATTTGCTATCTGGTGAGGCCCACTTATTGGTTCATAGAAATGGTGCCTTCTCACATGGTGAAAGTGAGAACTTTGGTCTCTTTCGCCCCCTATAAGGGCACTAATCCCATTTACAAGGTCTCCATTCTCAAGACCTAATCATCTCCCAAAAGGCCCCACTCCTAATATGATCACCTTGGGGGTAAGGATGTCAACCTATGAATTTTTGGGGGGGAACCTAAACATTCAGACCATAGCAGGATCTGCTGTTTGTTCACACAGATGTTGAAAGATTCAAAGAGTTATATAGAAATATAAATTTGTCGAAAATATTCAGTCTAGTGCTATTATTTTCAAGATAATATTATGAATGTGGTAAGTGGTATGTTATTCAGGGCTCTAAGCACTTAGCTATGTCAACTTGAAATATTATTTATTTTCCACACTAATAAAATGAAACAAAGTTAGGATAAGATGACATTAAAGATATCTTGAGGTTCTGGGAATTTGTCAAAACTTTTTTTTGTTGTTTTTTCTTTTCGAGACAGAGTATTGCCCTGTCGCCCAGGCTGGAATGCAATGGCACGATCTCAGCTCACTGCAACCTCTGCCTCCCAGGTTCAAACAATTGTCCTGCCTCAATCTCCCGAGTAACTGGATTACAGGTGTCCGCCACCACGCTCAGCTAATTTTTGTGTTTTTAGTAGAGACAGCATTTCACCATGTTGGCCAGGCTGGTCTCGAACTCCTGACCTCGTGATCCACCCGCCTCAGCCTCCCAAAGTGCTGGGATTACAGGTGTGAGCCACCGCGCCTGGCCCTAAAACTTCTTACTGAAATTAGTCTAGTATTGACAGTAACTAGATACATAGAGACTGAGTTGTAGTCTGTATGTCAGAGTTATGTGTATTCCAATCAGCTCTCTCTATAATTGGTACTTCATAATGCAAATGCTAAACTGAGTCTGGAGTTTTCAGAGTTGTATAGTCTCTGACAAAATGCCCCTCATTTGTTTTTATTATTGTGTTCATGGACTATATATTATGTACTAATGCCCAATATGTTCCTGATTTTAAGTGAAGCCATTTATCTTATTTATTTTCAATCCATTTATAACATATTGTTAATTTAAAAATATCTTCAGGACAACTGGTTGAGTTAGGAGGAAATGTGCCTGGGACTCCAGGGGATGTTTCTAGATAGAGAAGTAGAATTTTGGCCTGAGCACATTTTTGTGGCTTAGATTGATACTGTCTTCTTCAGTGTTTATTTCCTGAATTAATCCTGATTGCTCAAAACACAGTTAATTTTCCTGTTGTTTTTTGTCTGCCTCTCCGGTCTAGACTGGAAATATGTCTTCTCTAAACATTTGGTAAATAGCCCAACCTGAAACTCCTTTACCAAATCTATATACAGCATTTCCCCAGGAAAAATACTAAATTTGACCACTATACCCAAAAGGAAAATCTTAGCAACCTTTCCAAATTTAAACATTATGATTTTTCCAACAAGGATCTTTGGAAGCAAAGATGTATGGAGTTTGCATATTTTGGTTTACAGAAACTCAAACTGAAATTTGATTCACCTTACTTTTCATTAAGTACAAGGAAGAGAATAATCCAGGCTTTTCCTAGAATTAAATATAATCTCTTTCCAACTGTATTCTGTGAATTTAAAAGCACTTCAAGTGATTAAAAATAACTTTGTATCTATAACTCAGTCACAGTGCATATGATCACAGCACAGCTGACTTTTATCACATGTGATATCTTACAAATAAATGGCCTTGTCTGTGAGAGAGAGGAATTTTAGATTTATAAAATTGAAGATTAAAACTAAGCAAATTCCAGGTTCTATTTTAAAGTCTGTGCTTTAGCAAAATACTTTCCAAGTAATGTTGATTAGAGAGCAATGCATATTCAACTAGTTTAAGATTTTTTTATTTGCATTGATGGTTTTGCTCATTTAAAAACACAGTTTAGTACTTTAGTCCAGGTTATAATCTATATTATTAGAGCTATAGATTACTTGAAAATTAAATATTACTTTTATCACTCATTATTATTGTTAAACTTGAAAACTTTACACAGTATAAGAATTGGTTCATTAGAGAGAGGGATGGATTACTTTGTGGTCTCTCATGCAAATTATGTGTGTTTGCATCTTTCTAAATGTACCGGGGAGGCTATTTTAATAATGTTTGGAAATGAAGATTTTGGAAAAAGGGAAAGGAGCTAATAACTATTCAGTCTTGTGTTAAATTAACATTAGAAAAAGCTCCTGGAATTTGAGTGGATTTATGAACTATAAAAATATTCAATTTTTGAGATGGATTGACCTATACCTCACAATTTTAAGAGTTTGATTTTGAACACCTTAGTAAAATTAAACTTCTCCTGATCACAGCATTTTGTATTACTAAAAGATGTACAAATACAGTAATGTTTAGAATTGTTGCTCTATATATTAAATAGCATTTGAAAAATATTTTTCAAATGGACATATTTTACTTGACTTTTAATTAAATTTTGTATGTGGTAGTAGTCATGACTATAAATAGTTTGCCTGCATGACAGTTGTTGGCATACTTCTATGAATAGCCCAGAATCCCCATACAAAATAGATACAGTCACCAAGATAAGCATAACGGAAAGACTACAGGCATCATCTTCAATACAATTATATAATAAACTATGCTGATGTAAGTGGGGTCAAACAAAAAACAGTAATAAAAGGCATGATTTCAACAAATCTATAACAGAAAGCAGATACAGGAAATAATCTTCAAATGGGCCTGAGAGCAGAAGAACCCAAAAATCACCCTCATTTGTTATGAAAAGCTTGATGGGCAAATCCAGAAGAGTCCAGCTAAAAAGACATCTACAAAGGCTACCTTTCCAAGGAAGTGAATGGTGACCATGAAAATTTTAGGCAATGTTAAGATGGTATGGTTCTTATGCAGTTTTTTAGTTAATTAACTCATTTTTAGGATAAAGCTCCAGACATAGGTGTAATTGCTGTCAATAGACTTTGCACTGAGCAGAAAATAGATACTGGGCACAAATGGTAAACATAGTCCATAAAAAAGTCAGCAAAACAAACAAACAAAAAACAGAGCTAGCCTGTCTCAGAAAATGCAAGGCTGTGTTTTTAAATTTTATAATAATAGAAGATATTTTTCTAGAGTCATGTGACTAAATGACATTTTTACCCTACCCTTCCCTTCTAAGAGTCTGGGAAAACTTATTTCACTTGGAAATGAACAACTAAAATATATATAAATGGAACCTACACTAAATTCCTATAAGGAAAAAAAGGAAATGAGCAAAATAAAACACCTATAGACATTTAAGTCATTTCAAAAAAAACCAAGCACAAAATAAGATTTATAAGCTAATATTTTAAGCAGTTAAAAAGTTATTAATAGCACAATGGAAATCAGAATTAGAAAAGATTGTTAATAAAAAATAATATGAATGAAAGACAAACAGAATTCAGAAAATAATTGGAAATGAAAGTAAAAGGTCAATTTCATAGGTAAATTTAAACCAGAATGAAAACAACAGTTATGTCATAAGGGACATAAGGAGATATATACATATGCGTGTGTATGTGGCTTATGATATATCTTTCATATATATACAGCACATAACTGTATAATAGTAGTAACTGCAGAAAAAGAATAGCAAACAACAGTGAAGCAAATACTAAAGAAAATAAGAAAATTTCCTCGGAATAAAAGACTCAAAATCAAATTTTGAAAGAATACAATACACACCTTTAATAACCCATAAATACTGATTGTTACAATAATTATGGCCTTTAAAGAAATAAAAATCCTTCTGGCATTCTCACAAAAAGATGAAGTCATTAATACGAAAAAAAATATCAGACTGTTATAGAAATTAATGAAAGCAATATTTTAAGCCAGGAAACAATGTAATATTATATTTAAGAAGATTTAGAAAAGAAAATGTGAGCCAACAGTTACAAATCTACTCAAATTGATATTTAAATATAAAGTTTTTTTCAAAATACAAACATAGTGTTATTCACACAGAATATCAGTTAATATTTTTTATGTGAGTCCTTCGTAAAAATATATTAAAGATGTATAGTACTATGTAAATGATTAAAAAGACACTGTCATAACTATTCACAGTGAGCATTGGATAAAATTTTAGCAATAGAACTAAAATCTGTTTTGAGAGAATATAGACAGTGAAAGGAAAGCAGAATGAGTTCATATACTTTCCTATAGATATTAAATGAGAGTAAAGTATCACATATCATGATAAATTATGTGCAGGGAGAGAGGAGAGGTTTTACTTAACAAACTTGCTTATAGTAGGAGACAAATAGACATATCCAAAAAGAAAAAAAATAAAAGCATGAATTGCATATTCTGAAAAGTAATTACTACAAAGGTAATTATCATAAAAAATACAAACTTAGCTAAATAGCAAATACATGCACTGAGAACAAGAGTAAGAACAAGGATGAAAGAAAGATAAAAGAGACAAACACTACAGTAAAATGACATTTAAAGGCAAATAGAGTTTGAGTATTTCCTACTTGAAGCTCTTGTGACTAGATGTGTTTTGGATTTCAGATTTTTTCAAATTTTGGAAAATTTGCATATACATAATGAGATATCTTGGGAATGGAACCCAAGTCTGAAAACAAAATTCATTTATGTTTGATATGCAGCTTTTACACATAGACTGAACATAATTTTATAAAATATTTTTAATAACTTGATGCATGAAGCCAAGTTTGTGTTAAGTATTTATCTGTGGGATTTTACATTGTGGTGTCATGTTGGTGATCAAAAGTTGTGTATCCTAGAGATTTGGGATTTCAGATTTTCATATTAGGGATGTTCAGCATGTATAGCTGTTGCAGAGGAGTGACATCAGAGTGATGGTAGAGTAGAAGGTGCCATCCTTCTTCTCCCCCACCCCCCACCTAACACACACACAAATACAACAGCTATCGCTGAACAAAAATATCCCTGGGAGTGTTCAAGAGTTCATTTAAAAACCTGCAGCCACAGAGTGATGTGAAAGTAGAAAACAATTGCACAGAAAGGACCCCTGAGGTAATTGGCATACCTGAGTCATTGGGAAATGGCTAGGAACAAAGATGAAGAGGAGAACTATCAGTGTAAGCTGACCCAGAAAGACTGATTGTTAAGATACCATGGGTGATACACAGTGGGTGCTACCATGAGTCCCAGTTGCCTGCTTTATGGAGAACCCAAGCAGCCTTTGCCATTGAGGACCTCAACAGCACATATGATACTTGGGGGCTTCATGGAGCTTTCACAGCAGTGGTCCCATTAGTGTTCATTGGTGTGGACCCTAGTAGCCTATTTTACAGAGAACACTGGCAGCTTTTGCCACTGAGGTACCCAGATGTGGCTACCATAGGCCCTCTGGAGAGAGAAGCTGCTGTACCTCGAAGAAGAAGCTGCTGCTGTGTCTTCTCAAATTGGGGCCACCAACTCCCCAGACCTGTGCAGACTCCAGACCCAAGAGTCACAGCCACCTTGCATGTGCCCATGCTCTAGATCCTGGATCTGTTGATATTTCACATGCATTCATGCCTTGCACACAATACTAACACTGCAGTGGAAGTCCCTGCTCTCTTGGAACTGGTGCCACCATCTTTTTAGACACAAGAACTGCAGTACATCCATATTCACTCACACTCCAGCCTCTGGTTCCATGGCTGCTCTACAGGAACCATTCATCAAAACCAATATCATCACCACAGTAAGCACACTGACAAGCTGGATCCAGCTATTCTGCAACCTCCACTGGTGATATCCAGGTGAACAGGGTCTGGAGTGGACCTCCAGCAAACTGCAGCAGACCTGCAGAAGAGGGGCCTGATTGTTAGAAGAAAAACTAACGAACAGAAAGCAACAACATCAACATCAACAAAAAGGACCCCTACACAAAAACCCCATCGAAAGGTCATCAGCCTCAAAGATTAAAGGTGGATAAAGCCACAAAGATGAGGAAAAACCAGTGCAAAAATGTTGAAAATTCCCAAAGCCATAATGCCTCTTCTCTTCCAAATGATCACAACTCCTCTCTAGGAAGGGCACAAAACTGCACAGAGAATGAGTTTGATGAGTTGACAGAAGTAGGCTTCAGAAGGTGAGTAATAACAAATCCCTCTGAGCTAAAGGAGTGTTTTCTAACCCAATGCAAGGAAGCCAAGAACCTTCATAAAAGGTTACAGGAATTGCTAACTAGAATAACCAATTGGAGAGCAACATAAATGACCTGATGGAGCTGAAAAATACAGTACGAGAACTTTGTGAAGCATACACAAATATCAATAGCTGAATAAATCAAGCAGAAAAAATACCAGTGGTTGAAGATCAACTTACTGAAATAAGGTGTGAAGACAAGATTAGAGAAAAAAGAATGAAAAGGAATGAACAAAGCCTTCAAGAAATATGGGACTATGTGAAAAGACCAAACCTGTGATTGATTGGTGTACCTGAAAGTGATGGAGAGAATGGAACCAAGTTGGAAAACGTACTTCAGAATATTATCCAGGAGAATTTCCCCAACCTAGCAAGACAGGCCAACATTCAAATTTAGGAAATACAGAAAACAATACTAAGATATTCCTCGAGAAGAGCAACCCCAAGACACATAATCATCAGATTCTCCAATGTTGAAATGAAGGAAAAAATGTTAAGGGCAGCCAGAGAGAAAGGTCAGGTTACCTACAAAGGGAAGCCTATCAGACCAACAGTGGATTTCTCTGCAGAAATCCCACAAGCCAGAGTGGGGGCCAATATTCAACATTCTTAAAGAAAAGAATTTTCAACCCAGAATTTCATATCCAGCCTAGCTGAGCTTCATAAACGAAGGAAAATAAAATCCTTTCCTGACAAGCAAATGCTGAGGGATTTTGTCACCACAAGGCCTGCCTTACAAGAGCTCCTGAAGGAAGCACTAAATATGGGAAGGAAAAACTGGTACCAGCCACTGCAAAAGCACACCAAAATATAAAGATGAATGACACTGTGAAGAAACTGCATCAACTAATGTGCAAAATAACCAGCTAGCATCATGATGACAGGATCAAATTCACACATAAAAATATTAACCTTAAATGTAAATGGGCTAAATGCCGCCAATTAAAAGACACAGATTGGCAAATTGGGTAAAGAGTCAAGACCCATTGGTGTTCTGTATTCAGGAGACCCAGCTAATGTGCAAAGACACACATAGGCTCAAAAGAAAGGGATGGAGGAATATTTACCAAGAAAATGGAAAGCAAAAAAAAAAAAAAAAAAAAAAAAAAGCAGGGGTTGCAATCTTAATCTAATTTAAATAGACTTTAACAGAGATGAAAAGACAAAAAGAAGGGCATTACATAATGGTAAAGGAATCAATGCAACAAGAGAGCTAACTATCCTAATATATTAATTTTAAAATAGTTTTTCTAATTCTGTGAAGAATGTCATTCGTAGTTTGATAGGAATAGCATTGAATCTGTAAATTTCTTTGGGCATCTTGGCTATTTTGACAATATGAATTCTTCCTATCCATGAACATAGAATGTTTTTCCATTTGTTTATGTCATCTGTGATTTCATTCAGCAGTGTTTTCTAATTCTCATTGTAGGTATCTTTCAGCTCCCTGGTTAGCTTTATTCCAAGATATTTTATTCTCTGTGTGGCCTTTGTTAAAAGAAATTTAGAGACCAATATTACAGTATTATAGTATTCTGAATTTCATTATATACATACTTTTACCTGTGATTTCTATATTTTAAAAATTTTCATTAATTACAGCTTGATGGACTCTCTTTAGCCTTTCTTATGAGGTAGTACTAGTGGTGATCAACTCCCTCAGCTTTTGTACAAATAAGAACGTCTTTCTCTTTGTTTTATTTCTGAAGGCCAGCTTTGTCAGGTATAATATTCTTTATTGGCTTATTTTTTGTTGTTGTTCATTCAGCACTTTGAATATATCATTACATTCTTTCCTGGCCTATATGTTTTCTTCTGGGACATTCATTGATAGCCTTATAGAAATTCCCTTGCATATGACAAAATTTCTTCTACTGTCTTCAGTTTTTTCTTTCTCTTTGATTTTTGATAATTTTATTGTACATATATTGGTAAGACCTCTTTGAATTTAACTTGTTTGGGAATATTTTCAGCTTTAAGTATGTGGCTGTTCATATCTTTCCTAAGACTTGGGAAGTTTTCAGCCATTAATTCTTTAAATAAGCTTTTTGGGGCAGGATGGCCATACAGGAACAGCTCCAATCTGGAGCTTCTAGCAAGACCAATGCAGAAGGAGAGTGGTTTCTGCATTTCCAACTAAGGTACCCAGTTCATCTCACTGGGACTGGTTAGGCAGTGGGTGTAGCCCACAGAGGGCTAGCAGAAGCAGGGTGGGGCACTGCCTCACCCAGGAAGTGCAAGGAGCTGGGGGACCTCCCCCCTCAGCCAAGGGAAGCTGTGAGGGACTGTGCTATGTGGCATGGATACTATGCACTTCTTGCAGTTTTTGCAATCTGCAGATGAGGAGATTCCCTCGTCTGCCTACACCACCAGGGCCCTGGGTTTCAAGCACAAAATGGGTGGTTGTTTGGACAGACACTGAGCTAACTGCAGGAGTTTTTTTTTCGTACTCCAGTGGCACTTGGAATCCCAGCGAGACAGAACCATTCACTCCCTTGGAAAGGGGGCTGAAACCAGAGAGCCATGTGGTCCCACTCAGCAGGTCCCACTTCCATGGAGCCCAGCAAGCTATGAACCACTGGCTTGAAATTCTCACTGCCAGCACAGAAGTCTGAAGTTGACATGGGACAATTGAGCTTGATGGGGGCAGGGGCATGGGCCATTACTGAGGATTTAGCATGCAGTTTTCCCCTGATAGTGCTGAGGAGCCTGGGAGGATTGGACTGGGTGGAATTCACCACAATGTGGCAAAGCGCTGTGGCCAGATGGCTTCTCTAGATTCCTCCTTACTGGGCAGGGAATTTCTAAAAGAGAGGCAGCAGCCCCAGTCAGGGGCTTACAGATAAAACTCCCATATCCCTGGGACAGAACACTTGGGGAAAGGGGTGGTTATGGGAGCAGATTCAGTGGACTTAAACTTTCCTTCCTGCTGGCTCTGAAGAGAGCGACTGATCCTGACAAGGAGGATTCTCCAGCACAGTGTTTGAGTTCTGCTAAGGGACAGACTGCCTCCTCAAGTGGGTCCCTGACCCCCATGCCTCCTGACTGGGAGAGACCTCCCAACAGGGGTCAACAGACACCTCATGTAGGAGAGCTCTGGCTGGCATCAGGCCAGTGCTCTTCTGGGATGAAACTTCCAGAGGAAGGAGCATGTGACACACCTGCTCCTTCTTTGCTTTCTGTCATGATTAGAAGTTTCCTGAGGCCTCCCCAGAAGCAGATGCCATTATGCTTCCTGTACAGGCTCCTGAACCATGAGCCAACTCTTTTCTTATAAACTACTCAGTCTCCCATATTTCTTTATATCAATGTGAGGATGAATACACCATATGTTCTCATTTATAAGTAGGAATGAGGCACTAGTACACATGTACATAGAGAAGGAAATAACACACACCACTGCCCACTTGAGAGTTGGAGGAGGACAAGGATTGAAAAACTACCTATGAGTTACTATGTTTATTACCTGGGTAGTGCAATAATTTGTACACCAAACCCCTGTAACACACAATTTACCTATGTAACAAACCTGTACATGTACCTATGAACATAGAGTAAAGGTTAAAATTAAAAACTCATATAATGGCTGAATAGATTAAAAAACAAGACCCATCTATATGCTGCCTAGAAGAGACACATCTCAGTTTAAGCATCCACATAGGTTGAATGTAAAGAAATAGAAAAATGTAATTCATAAAAATGGAAACCAAAAAAGAGAATGGATAGCTATACTTAGATCAGTCAAAATAGTCTTTCAGTTAAGAAACTATAATAAGACACAAATCAGGTCATTATCTAATAATAAAGGGGTCAATTCAACAAGAGGATAAAACAATTATATATTCATCCAGCATTGGAGCACCAAATTAATTTAGAAAATTAACAGATATGAAGTGAGAAATAGTAATACAATAACTATAGAGAACTTCAATATCCAAATTTTAATAATAGGTAGATCATCTAGACAAAAATCAATGAGAAAACATTAGACTTGAACTATGCTTTAGACTAAATGGATCTAACATATATACATAACATTCCATCTGACAGCATAAGAATATACATTCTTGTCAAGTGCACATGGAAGATTCTCCAGAGTAGATCATATATTAGACCACCAAATAAGTCTCACCATATTTTAGAATATTCAAGTTATATCAAAATGATATCTAACTACAATGGTATGAAACTAGAATCTAGTAACAGGAGAAAAACTGAGAAATTTACAAATATGTGGAAATTAAATGACATACACCTGTTAACCAATGGGCAAAGAAGTGATCAAAGGAGGAAATTTCTTAAACATTTTGAAACCAATGTGAATGAAAACACAACCTAACAAAAAACTATGAAATGCAGCTAAAATACTGCTGAGAGTAAAATTTATAGTGATAAAAACATACATGAAAAAAAAATTAACTTTAAGCCTCAAAGAAATTAAAACAAAACAAAAACTCAGCTTAAAGTTAGCAAAGGAAAGAAATAAAAAGATTATAGCGAAATAAATGGAGTAGAAAACAAGGTAAAAGATTAATAAAACTAAGATTTTTAAGATAAAAGTTAACAAAGCTTTAGCTAGACTAGTGAAAGAGAAAGAGAGAGAAGAGAAAGGACTCAAAATCAGAAATGAAAAATGAAACATTGCAACTTATGCCACAGAAATAAGAAAAATCATAAAGGACTATGCACAATTATATGCCAAAAAATTAATGTGCAAAAAGAAACAGATAAATTTCTAGAAACATTCAAGCTACAAAGATTGAATCATGGAGAAACAATAAAATCTGAACAGACAAATAATGAACAAGGAGATTGAATCAACAACTGAAAATCTCTCACCAAAAAAGGTTCAGCATCACAAGACTTCACTGGTGAATTTTGTCAGACATTTAAAAAGAATTAATACCAATCCTTTACAAACTCTTTGAATACATCAAAGAGAAGGGAACATTTTCATCTCATTTCATTAGGTTATCATTACCCTGATGCCAAAGTCAAATAGGAAAAATACAAGAAAAGAAAATTATATATCAATATCCCTGGTGCAAATAGATGCAAAAATCCTCAACAAAATACTAGCAAACAAAATTCAAGAGTACACTAAAAGTACACCATGATCAAGTGGAATTTATCCCTGGGATGTAAGTATAGTTCAAACTACATAAATCAATAAGTGTCAGACCACTATAAAAATGAAGAATAAAAATCATACAATAACCTGTACATGCAGATGAAAAAGGATGTGATAGAGTTCAACATCTTTTTTTGATAAAAACTTTCATCAAATAAGATATAGAGGGAAGGTACCTTAACATTCTAAAGACCATGTAAGACAAGCCTAAAGCACATCATAATGAATGGTGAAAATATGAAAGCTCTTCCTCTAAGATCAGGATTAGAAACAAGTAAAAGATGGCCACTCTTGCTACTTCTAGTAAACATTGTACTGAAAGTCCTAGCCAGACCAAACAGGCAAGAAAAAATAGGAATCCAAATAGGAAAGGAAGAAGTAAAATTATCTGTGTTGGAGATAGCATGATATTGTGTAGAAAACCCTAAAGACTCCACCCCAACCCCCCAAAAATGTTTAAATAAATAAATTCAGGCAAGGCATGGAGGTTCACACTTATAATCTCAGTATTTTGGGAGGCTGAAGTGGGAGAATTTCATGAGCCCAGGAGTTTGAGACCAGCCTGGGCAACAGAATGAGACCCTACCTATACAAAAAATTTAAAAATTAGCAGGGCATGGTGACACATACCTGTAGTCCTCACTACTAAGGAAGCTGAGGTGGGAGGATCCTTTAAGCCTAGAAGTTCTAGGCTCCCATAAGCTCTGATTACGCTACTGTACTCCAGCCTGGGCAACAGAGTGAGACCTTTTCTCTAAAACAAACAAATAAATAAATAGATTCAGCAAAGCTGCAGGACATAAAAATCAACATACAACAACCAGTTGTGCTTCTATGTAACGATAACGATGTGAAAAAGAAATTAAGAAAATAATACCATTAAAATAACATCAAAAAATAGACTACTTAGGTTTAAATTTAATCAGGAAAGTGAAAGATCTGTACATTCAAAGGATTAAGAAATCGAAGAAGACACCAATAAATGGGAAGATATCTTGTGTTTATGGTTTGGAAGTGTTAATATTGTTAAAAAGTCCATACCACCCAAAGAAATCTAAAGATCAGTGCAATCCCTATCAATATTCCAATGGCATTTTCCAAAAAAAATTTTAAAAATTATAAAATTTGTATGAAACTATGAAAGATACTCAATAGCTTAATTTGGAACAGAAAGTACAAAATTGGAAGAAATAAAAATCGTATTTCAAAGCTATACTAATTAGAAAAAGTATAATTCTGGCATAAAAACAGACACATAGACTAATGGAAAAAAAATAGAGCTCAGAAATAAACCCATGCGTATATGGTCAACAAATTTCTAGGAAAGGCACAAATAATACACAATAGGGAAAGTGTGGTCTTGTCACTAACTGATATTTGAAAAACTGTATATCCACATGTAAAAGAATGAAATTGGACACTTTATCATACTAACTCAAAATGCATTGAAGAGTTAACATCAGATCTGAAATTCTAAAACTGCTTGAAAGAAACAGAGGAAATCGCCTTGACATTGGTCTTGGCAATGACTCTTTGGATTGGACACCAGAAGTACAGAGAAGACAGGCAAAAATAATCAAGTGGAACACATGAAACTACAACGTTCTGCACAGCAAAAGAAACCATCAAAAAAATGAGAGGAAACTTACGGTATAGGAGAAAATGCCCGTGATATGGTTAGGCCTTGTTTCCCCACCCAAATATCATCTTGAATTATAATTCCCATAATCCTCACAAGTCAAGGGAGAGACCAGGTGGAGGTAACTGGATCATGGAAGTGGTTTCCCGCATGCTGTTCTCATGATAGAGAGTGACCTCTCATGAGATCTGATGGTTTTATAAGTGTTTGGTAGTTTCTTCTGCATTCATACTCCTTCCTGTTGCCTTGGGAAGGAGGTGCCTTGCTTCCCCTTTGCCTTCCATCACTGTAAGTTTTCTGAGGCTCCCCCAGCCATGCTGAACTGTGAGTCAATTAAACTGCTTCCCTTTATAAATTACCCAGTCTCCGTTATTTCTTCATAGCAGCATAAGAATGGACTAACACAGTGAATTGGTACCAGGAGTGGGGCACTGCTATAAAGATAAGCAAAAATGTGGAAGCAACATTGGAACTGGGTAGCAGGCAGAATTTGGAACAGTTTGGAGGGCTCAGAAGAAGACAGGAAGATGTGGGAAGGTTTGGAACTTCCTAGAGACTTGTTGAATGGCTTTGACCAACATGCTGATAGTGATATTGACAATGAAGTCCAGGCTGAGGTGGTCTCAGATTGAGATGAGGAACTTATTTGAAACTGGAGCAAAGGTCATTCTTGCTGTGTTTTAGCAAAGTGACTGGTGGCATTTTGCCTTGCTCTAGAGATTTGTGGAACTTTGAACCTGAGAGAGATAATTTAGGGTACCTGGTGGAAGAAATTTCTAAGTAGCAAAGCATTCAAGAGGTGGCTTGGATGCTTTTAAGAGCATTCAGTTTTATTTATTCACAAAGGTATGGTTTGGGATTGGAACTTAGGTTTAAAAGGGAAGCAGAGCATAAAACTTCAGAAAATGTGTAGCCTGATGATGCAATAGAAAAGAAAATTCCATTTTCCGAAGAGAGATTCAAGTCAGCTGCAGAAATTTGCATAAGTAATGAAGAACCAATTGTAAATCACCAAGACAATTGGGAAAATGTCTCCAGGGCATGTCAGAGCTCTTCACAACAGCCCCTACCCATCACAGACCTGAAGGCCTAGGAGGAAAAAGGTTTCATGGGCTGGGCCCAGGGTTTCCTACTCTATGCAGTCTCAGGACTTGGTGCCCTGTGGCCCAACCATGGATAAAAGGGGCCAACTTACAGCTTAGGACATAGCTTCAGAAGGTGCAGGCCCCAAGCCTTGGTGACTTACACATGGTGTTGGGCATGCAGATGCACATAAGTCAAGAATTGAGGTTTGGGAACCTCTACTTAGATTTCAGAGGATATATGGATATGCCTGGATGTCCAGGCAGAGATGTGCTGCAGGGGTGGAGCCCTCATGGAGAACTTCTGCTAGGGCAGTACAGAAGAAAAATGTAGGATTGGAGCCCCCACTCAGACTCCCCACTGGGGCACTGCTCAGCGAAGCTTTGAGAAGAGTGTCACTGTCCTCAAAACCCCAGAATGGTAAATCTACTGACAGCTTGTACCGTGCACCTGGAAAAGCCACAGGCACTCAATGCCAGCTCATGAAAGCAGCCAAGAGGAGGGCTGTACTTGAAATCTGCTAACAGAGTAAGTCTCAGTTGTTCTCAGCATACCTACACACACCTATGTATCCAGTCACACACACACACACATACAAGGTAACTAGGTGGGATAATGGGTGTGTTAGCTTGATTGTAGTAATAATTTCACAATGTATAAGTATATCAAAACTTCAGATAATATGCCTGAAATAGATAGAATTTTAATTGTCAAATATACCTCACTAAAACTCAATAAAAAGAGTTCATTGTAGTTTAAAACTTTTGGAATTAGAATATTCTATCCTTAAAAATTAATTTTATGGAATCATTATAAACAAAATAAAGGTAAACATAAAATATGAAAAATACCACAAAACTCCAATGTCTGAATTAGTTAGTGTGTCAGTCAAGCTTGAGTCAGGAAGACAGAAGGCATCCTGTGTATTCAGGTAGAGTCATTTTATGCACAATAATGGACTTAAATATCTGTTGGAAGAGCTGTTATGGCAGAGACAGGGAAGCTGCTATTGAAAATCGGAGGATCTCCTGCAAGTCAGAGGAGTCAACACTAACAGTCTCAACCTGAAGCACCAAAGTGAATAATTCTTAAACTGGAAGCTGCTGCAATTCTTAAGAAAATTAGAGTTCCCCACCAAATACCTCAGCTCATTGTGGAGAAGCAAGTAATTCCTAAGAATTGTCAGGAATTTTTCATGTTCCTACATGTCAGGCCACAACTGCCTCAAGAGAATAATCCATATTTTATTTTCTCAGATAATTCTTTTCTTTCTGATGTCTCCTTTTTCATCCCATTTTGTGTGATATTTACACTGACATATAAAGTACATCCACAAAACCAGCAATGGGCAGATCCTTTTTGTTTTATGAGAAAAAAAGTTTCTTATAATTCATGATAATTTTACTGTACTATATCAATAATTTTTATATTTACAGGTGGAAGCAGATTGAGCTAGTTGTTCTAGAGAAAATTTTTCTAAGAAAAGAATTGCTCTTCATTTAAGAATAACTCAACTCAATGAAGTGTCTGTTTTATTATGTAAGGTGTTCTTCTTTAGTAGAGGCTTAGACAAAACTCTACTAATTAGATCTTACAATATGATAAAGTTTCAATAATTCTGACGTTAGCCTCTTGTAGGTCTTGAAGAATATTGACACCCAAAAAGAGGAGAGATGTAAAATGAATGTAGAAGATAAAGTATGGTGAGGGATAGGGTTGAGAAGAAACATGGCTAGTGGAATGAGGGGTACATTTCTAGGAATAGTACATCCTGACTCGTGGTTTTCAGTAGCATTTCTCGTAGTGTCATAATCAATTTACAAAACTGTCTTGCCTCATTTCCATTTACCCAAGTAACCAGTAAAATGTTTTATACTTAAAGTCCTTGTGGTAGGTGTGCTTTTAGTGAGTGAAAAGGGAAAGAGATGTTTCATAAATTTGGGATAAGTGAGTTGAGAGATCAGGAGCTGCAAAAGGCAATACCAAAGCAGGTGTGGAAGATTCATTGTGAATTCAAATTGAGAATGAAAATAGCCTTGACAATGTAAATTGCCCCTGAAGTTTCCTTGGAGGATGCTATAATTTCTGCTTTTGAATGGCATGTTAGCTTGAGTGATTTGATTTTTTTTTTTAAAGAAAAGGCTATACCAGAAAATGGAGGACAGATTACACATATTTGGACATTCAACCGCACTTACTAGGCCTGCTGAATTATTTGTAAAGTTAAATCACAAGGCATAACATAAGAAACGCGAACATTTTGCAATCTCCAAATAGCTGAATACATCCTACTATTGGGTTGCAAGCATATTAGAAGTAGGTAAAATAAGTGTGGAAGATTTTTAAAATTGAAAAATGGGAAATGAGAACTGTCACTGGGAAGAAGTGCCTGGCATTATAGCAAGGGGTATGAAATCAAAGAAACATGGGCAGGAGGATGATATTTATAAACTAAAGCCCTTGCTAACTATTTTTAAGAATATTTTTAGTTATTTCAATTTTCACTTCTAATTCTGTCTCCTACAACTGAGGTTGCCTTTGCCTAAAATAGCAAGCAAGTTCTAAACTGTAAACCAGGAGATAATATTTGCAGATCTAAACAAGGTGTAGTCACCTTGTCTTTCTACAGCTTAAAGGCAACTGTTCTAAGTTGTCCTATGAGTCTCCCTGCAAAACAACCTTCAAGCCAGATAATCAAAGACACTCATAATTCAACTACTGCATAGAATTTAAGATAATTCCAGAGTTTTACATTATCTTAGTAAAGAAGAGACTAAAGGGGAAAATTCTCATATTTTGATTAGTGACTCAAGGAAAGATTGTATATATTAGTTTAAAATATTCCATTTATTTTTACCTTGCTATATTCATTATCTAAAACTGTTCAAATATTTAAGATCTGTATTTGGAATTAGATATCAGGCACTTACACCAGCAACCTTAATATTAATATTTACCTTTGTTTAAGACTATATTTATATATAACAACAGTTATAGAGGTTAAAGAGACTTTTCTTGTCCTTGATGACTTATGTAACCAAGCTCAGAGAGCATTAAACAGATCTTTAAGTATCAAAGAGATCTACTGTTATATGTTAAATGATTCTGTTATCTATTGTAATGGGCCCCCAATACAGTATTACTTTAAGTCCAGAAAATAAGGTGGATAAAAATAAATGGTCTGACAGATAGATACATAGAATGGAATAGAAGACCTCCAAAATAGACCCACATAAATATGACCAATTGATTTTTGACAATGATGTAAAAATTATTGACATAATTTGTATATTTGTCCCCACCCAAATCTCATGTTGAATTGTAATCCCCAAGACTGGAGGTGGGGTCTGCTGGGAGGTGTTTGGATCCAGGGGGCAGATCCCTCGTGGCTTGGTGCTATCTTTGTGATAGTGAGTTCTCATGAGCTCTGGTTGATTAGAAGTGTGTGACACCTTCCCCACCCCTAACCCCCTTCTCTCTCTAACTTGCTCCTGTTTTTACCATGTGATGTGCCTGCTCCCCCTTCACCTCCACCATGATTGTAAGCTTTCTGAGGCCTCTCTAGAAGTAGAGCAGATGCCCACAACATGTTTTCTGTAAAGCCTGCAGAACTGTGAGCCAATTAACCTCTTTTTATTTTTAATATTACTCAATCTCAGGTATTTCGTTATAGAAATGCAAGAATGGCCTAATACAATTACTGAATGGTGAAGGAAAGGAAGGGAGGAAGAAAAGAGAGAAAGAAAAAGAGACAGAAAAGAAACTAAACCTTTACCTCTCTACATGAACTCAAGATGGGTCACGATGTACATGTAAAATGTACAATTATAAGACCCTTGGAAGAAAACATGAGAATAATCTTGTGACCTTGAGTTAGGCAGAGTTCTTAGATATGACACCAACAGCACAATCTTAAAAAAGAAAGGTTTTTGTCCTTTATCAAAATTCCAATCTTTTTGCTCCACTAAAGGTATTTCTAAGAAAATAAAAAGACAAGCTACAAACTAGGAGAAAATATTGCAATCACATATCTAAAAAAAGACTTGTATATAGAATATTTTTTAAAAACTTTCAAATTTCAAAAATAAGTAAACTAATCACCCAATAAAAATTTGAAGAAACTATTTGAATAAACCCCTCACTAAAGAAAATATTGGTATGACTAATAAGCACATGTAAAGATATTCAACATCAAATTAAAATAAAAATTAAAACAACATTGAGATACCCCTATACAACTACTGGAATGGCTAATTTTATGCAAAAACACACACACACACAAACAACAGCCATTACTAGAACAGCAAAAATCCTCAGCCACTCTGCAAACAGATGCATATGTCCTATAAAGTTAAATAATATACACTTACTAGATAGCCTGGCATATAGTATTTACCCTAGAAAAAAGCAAACTATTTTTGCCCAAAAACCTGTACACAATTGTTTATAACTAGTTTATTCTTTACCCTCCAATCCACATATTCTTCAACCAGTAAAAGGAAAAGCAAATAGTGGTATATCCATACAATGATACACCATTACATAATAAAAAAGGAGCAAGCACTTGATGCTTACAATACATGGGTGAATCTCAAAGGCATGTTGCCAAATAAAAGAAGCCAGTAAAAAAGTTACATACTTTATGATTTCACTTATAAGGCATTCTCTTAAAAGCAAATATATGATGATAGAAGGAAATCAGTGGTTGCCAGGGGTTAGAGGTTAGGTTTGTGGTTCATGACAAAGGAACAGCAGAAGAGAATTTTGGGGGTGACAATTATTTTGTATCTTGATTGTGGCAGTGGTTACATAAATCTATATGGATGTTAGAATAATTAGAATAGTATACCCAAAATTTAAAAAGTTAACTTTATTGTATGCTAGCTTAAAATTATATTTTAAAAAGATAAAAATTCTATTGCAACTGTAAAACTAATTTTCCAAAATGATTGGAGAAACCCTTGTGTAAATTTATAGCTGTTGAACACATTCAGCTCCTAAATCAAGGTTAAATGTCTCTCCTTAAAGCTACATTACCTGTGTTCTTCTTTCTCTCTCTCTCTCTCTCTCCCTCCCCCACCGCCCCCGTGTTTGTGTGTGTGTGTGTCTTTCTGTCTGTCTGTGTGTGTTGTGTTGCACTCATTAGGAATATTTGCCTGGACCTCAAATTTGAGGAACTTTGAAATTATAGTTGCTTTCCAGTAGCTTCTAGTTCAAGAGAGCCTCCAGAATCTTCATTACAACCCTTGATATACATTAACATCCACCCCTTCTGAAGCTAAGTGTATGGATTTAAGAGTGAGAGGGTCTCAGAATCTGAAAGCCATATTTTGTTTTTTAGAAGAATTGGAAATATGCGGCTACATATTCTGTTATACTCACTCTAGTTCCTGGTCTTTATTTAATCTGCCCTTCCCAGCTATTTCTGCTTCTCGAAATCCTTCCCATTCATCAGAGACAATCTCAAATTCTACATTGCCCAGTAATAATCCATCTTCCCCAACTCTAAGCTATATATATCTAATTTATCTCTACTGTATACTTTAAATGTTTGCATGCAGCTCCCCAGTGACTATATCTATTTGTTTTTACTACCAGATTGCAGTTGCCCTGATATTACTAAGAACTATGTATGTATAAATTTCACATTGCATGGCATACATAAAACCTTCATTAATTTACTAACCTTATTTTCCCTTTGTGCCAATGCACTAAGAACTAGAGTTACAAAGAAGAATATTGCAAAGCATATGTGTGAAATTTCAACAAGGGCTTATTTAAGAATATGTGAGCCTATTTGAATTTGAGCACACCCAATGCCACTACCTATTCTTTACTTGTGTCTAGAATAGAATCAAAGACTGCCAGACACTAAGGAAGAATAAATATCTAACTTGCTTCCTAGAGCTAAGAAGTAAGCTATATAAAAACGGATAATTTGTCAAGCACACTCCCACCTTTCTGGGAAAGAGCATTCCAAGCCGAATGAACAGAAAGTGCATAAGCTGAGTTAGGATGGTAGCTGGCACATTCTAGAAGAAGGAAGAGGCCGATGTAACTGAAGCAGATGGAACACATGGAGGGAGTTGTAAGACATGGTGTAACAGAGCTAATAGGGACCAGAACATGCAATGCCTCCTGTGCTATTGTAAATATGCTTGCTTTTATTACGAGTGAGATGGGGATTCACTAGAGGATTTGAGAAGAAGAGTTATAGAATTACTCTACCTTTGGGTAAAAAACGACCATAGTTGGGCAAGGATATAGCAGAGAAACAAATTAGGAGACTATGGACAGAATCCAGGTGAGATTACACAGTGTCTTGAACAAGAGTGTAATGTCATTGGTTTTGAAAAGTGGCTTTATAGCTTGTATATTTTAAGAAGGTATTAGCTTTGGTAAAGTGCATAGGAGAGAGAAACCATATAGGAATGATTTGGCCTTAGCAACTGAAAAGTTTGTGTTGCCATTATATGAGATAAAGAAGATTTTGGGGAATCAGTTCTAGTGGGTAATAGGGGGAAATCAGATTATAATTTTTGGAAACACTGGGTTTGAGATACATATTAATCACCTATGTGAAGGTGTCTAGTAGGTAATTGTGTTTATAAGTCTGAGGTTCCAGAAAAAGGCTTGAACTGAGGATATAAATTTGGAAGTTGTCAGACTGAAGATAATATTAATAATCTTGGGTTTGGAAGAGATCACTGAGTGTGTTAGTGTAGATAGACCAGACGTCTGAGATTTGTCACCCAAAGCTTTTTATTGCTTTGAGATCACAATAGGTAAACAAATAAACAAAGGAGAATGAAAAGAAGCTGCAAGTGACATTGAAAAAAAATAAAGTAAGGGAAATGTCCTGGAAACTAAGTAAGTGGATGAGTTTCAAGAAGAGTTGATTCACTGTATCAAATATAGCTGATAGGTATAGTACGACACAGGCCTATAATTGAAACCAGTAGTTTTAGTGGAACTACGGGTTGAAAGCTTGATCATATAGGGTTTAAGAGAGACTGACAGAAGATGATTTGGATACCTAATATTGAAATAGCTTTTCTGAAAAGATTTTCTATAAAAGAGAATAAAGCTGGAAGGGGCTATAGGATCAAAGATAATTTTTGGTTGGTTTGAAACTGAGAATTATTATAGCATGTTCACAAGTTAATAATCATGATCCAATAAAGAGTATAAGGTAATGATTTAACAATGCTGGAACAACCATCTCCTTGAGCAGGTGAGAGAAGACAAGTTCTAATGCATCCCAGTGGGATTGGCCTTAGACAGAAGCCTGAGCAGTATGTTCATCTTAACTGGAATTAAGAAAAAATTGGCAAAGGCAAAAGCAGTTTTCTTGTAGGTATTTTGGTCAGAGCATATGGATTTACCTTCTGATTCTCTCCGTTTTGTTGGTAAAATGGGATCCTAGGCCATCACCTGAGAATGAAGGTGAAAGAGGAAGTGTTGGAAGTTCAAGGAGACAGAAGTTGTGAAATAGTTATCTGGGGGAAGAAGAAGGAAAATAAATTTGTACTAGAATGTATGGGCATCCAATAGGCTATATGAAGTTAGAATTCGAGCATTTAAAGCCAGACTTCTTTGCAGAGTTTTATGCTTTCTTCTACCCAAATTTAGTTGCTCTGGTTCAGGTGTGGCAGAGGCAAAGAGTTGAGTTTTCCCAGATAAGTACGACACAGTGAGATGAGGGCAAGGGAATTGATGGGATATACAACTGTCATTAAAATCATGCATCTTACTTGAGGGAAAGTCAGTAGACCTTCTATTGCATTTCCTTCTAATTTGGTGTTGATCTGTAGTACAAACCTTCCAAGAGAAAAGGAACTGTCAGTGCTAGTATTGTGGATGAATGTGCATCAGAATTTACCTATATCTATAGCTGATAGCCTAACTGGAGTAATAATTACATTGATGCCCGTGGTTTTCATCTCTCAAAGTGTATCATTAAATGATACCCTATGAAGATTAGACAGGTTCAAAGCAGATGAGAGATTTGAACTCAGAGAGGAGAAGTGTCTTTCTTTCCTAAGGCCCCAGACAGTGGCTGAGCTGAACGCAGACCAACTGCATCCTTTTACATGAGCCTTGCTCTGTCTACTACAGTGTATCAGCCTTGGGCCATAATTTAATTACATGTGTTAGTGTTAGTTCTGGTTTGGGACAACTGTTATCTGACTTGCAATTTCCTTTGCATCTATTAGTGAAAAGGTCAAAAGTTTTAACTATAACCAAAACTCTTTTCTAATAAATGGCAGGCCTTCCTTTTTAACTTTCTTCAGTCTCAAGGCTGTAGGATACAAAACTGCAAAAGCCTCTGTTTATGCAACACAGATTACGTATGGCATTAGAGGACTGAGAAGGTTTTGGAAACTAAATCTGAAAGGCAAATATAGGGTAATTAAATAAATTATTTTAGGGTCAGTGTTTATTTTGTCATAAAATGTGGATCACTCAAGGAAATAAAAATTAAGAAAATATCTTTTGTCAAAACACTAAGTGGAAATTTAATTTTAAAAGGAAAAAATGTCTCTGTTTTTGACCATGGGGCCTAAGCTCTGGGGAATTACCTTGCTGTCTATGTGATGTGTTTCTTATACATGCACTACCTAATTTTGCAAGAACACAAAGGAAAGCATTTTTCTGTAGTTTCTTTATCTTAAACCACTTAGAAATAAGTTACTTTTATTGGGAACTTACTGTAGCTCAGTTATTAAAATGTAGAGAATATGCTATTTAGTAGTATGTTGACATTAGTTTGCTATACTGGTGTCTGAACCTTTTCATTCATCTTCATATGACATTTTCAGAGAGAGGTGCAAATGATGGTGTTTTAAATATGTTGCCTTCCAACTCTATACCTGCAATGCAATTGTATGAATCATAAGCATCTGAAATGCAATGCACTACAATGCACATCTGACTTGTTCTCCTATGAAACAGTAACCTCTGTGGATATTCTTGTCATGTACTAGGGGACCCAAGCAAGAACTATGGAATTTATCCCAGGCCCCATACCTCAATGGGTAAGAATTTAGGCTCTAGAGCCAGGCAGATACATATTCAAATCTTGACTCTGAATCTTATTAAGGCTTCTCTAACATGTCCTTTAGCTTCTCCAAACACCATTTTTTCTCATCTTTAAAAGTGGGAAAATAATAGTGTCTAATCCATAGGATTATTTTGAGGATTTAAGTAAGATAATTTGGTTAATAAATATTTACTGAGCTTCCACTCTCCAGCATTGTGTGGACATACCCATGAGGAAGATATACAAAGTTCGTCCTTTAATAGACTAAACATTCTAGTTGGGAACACAGACATTAAATCAACAAACTAAAAGCAAGCATGACTGTATCAAGTAATACATGTAATGATAAAAATAAAAGCCATCGACATGGCAGAGATCAGGGAATTAGATGGACAAGAGTGGGAAGATTTTTGAGGGAGGTGAAAGTCAAAACTCAGTAATGTAGAGATCTAGAGGAGGAGGATTTCAGCTGAAAGAAGGCAGCAACTAATGCAAAAGCACTAAAGTGGAAGTGATGTTCTTGAGATATGCTGAACAAGAGAAAATAGGCCAGTATAGTAGGAAGGGAATGACAAGGAAGGATGCAGCTGATGTCAGAGATGGCAGGGACTAGATAGCATTCTTAAAAGACATAATCGAGTATGTCTACTTTCACTTTTCATGAAATAGTAATGAGATAGATAAAGATTTGAATAGAGAAGCGGCATGATGCATTGTATTTTTGGAAAAATATGACTTGGTCAATCTTTATGCTGTAGTCTCACCATTTATGCTGTAAACATGTCCTCTGATTTATCTTTCACTATAGTTCATATAATTGCTTGCCATATTTGACATATGTTTATTTGCTTACTGTGTACCTCAATCCAATAAAATATAAAATGCATAAGAGAAAACCAGAACCCTGTCTGATTTGCTCCATGTAGTGTCTTAGTTTCCTAGAGGGTTCTCAGCGAAGACCAGATGATGTAAGTTGAGTGAATTAATGAATGAATATATGAATTAATTAGGAAGAGTAAAATCAGTATGATCTACTAATGAACGGATTAAGGAACCAACTGAAAAATGGTGAATAATCTCTGAGATTCAGCAGGCTGTCAAGTAATATTGGGGTTGGGGGATGGTAGGAAGTTAAGGTTTGGGAATAAAATTTTGGTAACCAAATATTAAGATGGTTATTAGACCTTCAATGGAGGTATCATATAGGTAGTTGGATATAGAATAATAGAATTCAGGGAGGTGATTGGGGTAGAGATCAAATATCTATAGAAATGGAGTACCTTTGCTCAGGGCATCATAAGTTGCAATAAAGGTTTTGGTCAGAACTGGGATTTCATCAGAGACCCTACTGAGGAAGTATTTACTTTAACACTCCCTTGGGCTGTTGCCAAAATTCATTTCCTTATAGATCTGGATTCATGGCAGCTTGCTTCCAAAGCCAGCAACAGAGAGAGACTCCATCAAGATGGGAATTAAAACTTTATACAATCACATAATTATAATCATGTATGTTTTATATCATTTGCTATTATTCCACTTGTTAGAAGCAATCACAGGTCCTGCTCACATTTAAAGGGAGGAGACTATATGAAGGCATGAATGGCAGGAGGTTGGGATCACAGGGGTCATCTGTTTCTGTCTACAACAAGGGCAGAGGAAGAATAAAAATAGCTGCAGAGTGCTAAAAGGAAAACTAGAATGTCACACCAGGACGTTTTATGTACTGGTAACATCACTTAGAAATGAAGATACCATGCAGACCTCTCAGATGAAAGAAAACCAAGAGAATTCATGCCAGGAGACCTACTTTAAAGAAAATCTGAAGGAAGGTTTCAGGCTGAAGGGAAATGATGTGAATGGGAAAGTTTGATCTTCAGGAATAAAGAAACAAATACAAACTGTAAACAGCTGGATAAATATAAAATATATATTTTCCCCTGCTCTAAGCTCTTTAAAATACATATGATGATTTAAGGCAAATATTCTAACATTGCCTGGTGCTTTCAGTGTATACAGATGTAATACATATGACAACCATAACATAAAAGGCAGGAGAGAATAAGAAAGGACCCACAGAATGGCAATGTTTTCTAGATTTCACAGGAAATAGTAAAAATATCAACTCTTCAGACTGTTAAAAGTTAAATATGTATATTGTAATTCCTAGAGCAACCATAAAAAAGGTAATGTAATGTGTCCATAAAGCCAATAGATAAACTAAAAGAGAATTCACATAATCCAAAATAAGACAGGACCATGAACACAGAGGAAAACAACAAAAATAAGAGGAGAGAGAACAGTAATAAAATTGTACACTTAAATTTAATTAAATCAATGATTACACTAAATATTAATCATGTAAACAATGTAATTAAAATTTAGTGAATAACACAGTGGAGAAAATAGTAAGGCTCTCCTATATGTTGCCTATGAGAGAAACACTTTAAAAATGAAGACACAGGTGAAAATAAATGGATGAAAAAAAAAAAAGACATACCATGCACGAAGTATAGAGGAGTTTGGAGTTGCTATGTTAATATCACATAAAATAGACTTGAATTCAAAGAGTGTTAGCAGAGATAAGGAGAAAATTCTATAACAAAACAAGGGAATACTTCACCAGCTATAAATAATAATTATCAGTGTGTATGTATGTAGTAACAGGACCTCAAAACATACGAGGCAAAAACAGACGTAATTAGCTGAAGAAGTAGATGATTCCACAGCTAAGAGAGCTTTAATACCCCATCTCTACAACTGATAAACTAAGCAAAAAGTTACTAAAAGCATAGAAGATCTAGCAACACTAGCAACCACTTGATCTATATGACATTTATGGCACAATACACTCAGCAAATGCAGAATGTAACTTCATTTAAAATGCACACAGAACATTCACCAATACAGTACATATGTTGGGCCATAAAATAATCTCTATAAATTTAAAATGTTCAGAATCATACAGATGGCATTCTCTTACAAAACAAATTAAAATTCAATACTACTGCTACTGGTACTCATTTTTTTTGAAGAATCCAACTAGCTGCAAAATAAACAATACATTTCTATATAATACCTGGAACAAAGACAAAATCTTGGAGAAAAATATAAGACATTTTAAGTCAGTGACAATAAAAAACATATCAAAATGTGTATGTTGAAAGTAAAGCAGCGCTTGGGGGAAATTTATATTTTTCAATGCTTATGTTAGAAAAAAGAAAATATGTCAAATAAATCACATTTTTAAAACCTAAGTAGCTATAAAAATAAAAGCAAAGTTATCCAAATGAATAAAAGAAAAAATAACAAAAAGTAGAAATTTTAAAAAATACAAAGCAGGCAATGGAGAAAATGTACAAAGCCAATAGCTAATTATTTTAAAGTATCAACCAAATTGATTAACCTCTAGTTCAACTGATCAAGGGGAGAGAGAGATAAAGAGAAAGGGAAATCATAAAGAGTGAAAAAGAAGTTATCAGATTCTAGACACTAAGAAGAGAATGCTATGAACAAATTTATGTGAACAAATTGACAACTTGGATGATTGGATAATATATAAACATTTCTTTAAAAACAAAACATAGCAAAATAGCTATATTTCCCTATTCAGAAAAGCTGAGTATATCTATACTTATTTAAAAATCAAATCTGTTATTTAAAATCTTTTCAAAAATAAATCTCCAGTCCCAGATGTTTCACTGATGAAATTTATCAAACACGCAATGAAGAAATACCAGATTTAGACAAACATCTTCAGAACATCAAGGAGAAAGGTCAATACTGAAATCATTTTATGAGGCCAATATAACCCTAATACCTGAAAAAATATATAAAAAGAAAAGACCAATATTCTTCATGAACATAGATGCAAAAGTCTTAAAAATATATGAAGTAATCAAACATAACAAAGGGAAATATGTTATGAGCAAACACAGTTTATTCCAGATAAGTGAGATTTAAAAATTAACCAATGTAATTCACCAAAAGTATATTATTTCAATTGTTTCAGAAAAATTGTTTGACAAAATTGAACATGCATTTAAGATAAAAACTATCAGCAAATCAGTTAATAGTATGGGACTTTCCAAATGACAAAGGGCATTTATAAAATTACATGGCCAATATTTTACAACCTAATAAAAGACTTAATTGCTTTTATCTGAAATAGGTGATAAAAAATAAACACTCACTATTGCCATGTCTATTCAACATTGTACTGGTTGTCTTAGGCATAGCAATAAGGCAAGAAAAAGAAATAAAAAGTGTAATGACTGAAAGAAAAGAAGTAAAACTTTTTCTATTTGTGGGTTACATGATTGTTCATACAGAAAATTCCAGGGATCCTACAAGTAACCACTAAGATAAGTACATAAATTTAGCAAATTTTCAGATACAAAGTAAATATATAATATAAAGTATATTTGCATTTACAAAAAGCAAACAATTAGAAAGTAAATTTTTAAAATCCCTTTTACAGTGGCACCAAAATCACTACATACTTAGAAATATATCTAATCAAACACAGTCAAGCCTTCCATACTGAAAACTTTAAAACATTAATAAGTCAAAAAAGAAATGAATAAATGCAAAGATATATGATACTCATGAGTTGAAGTGACCACTATTGTTAAGATGTCAAAATTTAAAATCTTTCTAAAGATTCAATAAAATGATATTAAAGTGACAAAGTTTGATTACCTATTTTTAAAAATAAATTGACAAATCTGCTTCTAAAATATGCAAAGGATTTGAAATGCAAAGGATTTGGAATCACTAGAATAATTGAAGGTCTTATCCTAACTGAGTTTAAGACTTACTACATAGGTCATTAGAAAGCACAAAAATTGGTACTGCTGAGAAGATGAAACACATGCATACATCACTGGAAGAGAATATAGAGTCCAGAATTGTGCCTACAACATAAAGAAAATGAGGCATTGCTATGAGGAAATAAACGTATTTTTAACAAAGGGTGATGGACAAATGATACAAGTAAGCAAAGGTAAAATAATAAAAATATACACTTTATTCACATTATACACAAAATTTAACTTCAAATGGATCATAGCCTTAACTGTAATTGTAAAAGATTAAAATATCTAGAAGAAAAGAAAAATCTTTACTATGCTGGCATGAGCAATGGTTTCTAGAAGAATGAATAAAGCATAAAGCATAATATAAAAAAATTAGTAAGTTGGATCTCACTAACATTTAAAAAATGTTTCCCATTAAAGTACACAATTAAGAAGATGAAAATGAAAGCTACATACTGGTAAAAGTTATTTACAACACATATATAGGGCAGAGAACTTGCTCCTGGAATATATAAAGAAACTTTACAATGCAATAATAAAGTAAATCATCCAATATAAGTTGGGCAATAGATATGGGCACTTTACAAAAGATGAGCTAGGAATGGCAACTGAGCACATGGAAAGATACTAAATATCATTAGTTATCAGAGAAATGCAAATTAAACCACAATCAGATACCACTGCACACCATGTACATCCACTGGATTTGCTAAAATAAAAAATAATGAGTGTATCAAGTATTACTGAGGATTTGGTGTAACTGGAATTCTTGTGCAGTAGTGGAGAGAAGATAAAATATAAAATGCAAATGTTTGGTGGTGTAAGACACTAAATATATATCTAGTTTGTGACCCAGCCATTCTCTTCCTAGTTATGTACCTAAGAGGAACTAAAACCATGTATGAATAATGACATATACTAATATTTATAGTGGCTTTATTTGTAGTGTCTCTTAACTAGAATAACTCAAATGTCCATGAGCAGGCAATTGGATACTTATCCATTTAAAGGCATAAACTACAGATACACAGAGCAATATGAATCTCAAAATTATTGCAATAAGTGAAAAAATGTAAGGCAAAAAAATAGTTTATACTCTATGATTTCAGAGATATACAATTCTAGACCATATACATTTAGAATATCAGAAAGCAGGTCAGTGGTTTCCTGGAGATGGGGTGGAGTGGAGAATGCATCACATATAGGCACAAGGAACTCATGAGTGATGATGGAAATGTTTATTATCTTGATTTTGAGGTTGATTTTACAGGCATATACATAGTAAAAATGATTACTATTCAAATATATGCAATTTACTTCAATTATATCTCAATAATGCCATACTTTTTTTATAAAAATATAACAACAGTAACAAACACTTGGAGAAATAGGATTATCATCCTTAGTTGCTGAGAATTTAAATAGACATACTCTGAGAGTAACTTGGCATATTCTTTTTGTTTTGTTTTGTTTTTTGAGATGAAGTCTCGCTCTTGTCCCCCAGGCTGGAGTGCAATGGCACGATCTTGGCTCACTGCAACCTCCGCCTCCCGGATTCAATCGATTCTCCTGCCTCAGCCTCCCAAATAGCTGGGATTACGGGTGCCTGCCACCACGCGTGGCTAATTTTTGTATTTTTAGTAGAGACGGGGTTTCACCATGTTGGCCAGGCTGGTCTCAAACTCCTGACCTCAGGCGATCTGCCCGGCTTGGCCTCCCAAAGTGCTGAGATTATAGGCGTGAGCCACCACGCCCAGCTGTAACTTGGCATATTCTAATAAAATTGAATATAAGTACATACAAACTCTTCTGTTGCAATTCCGCATAGAGAAACTTTCCCACATTTACCTAGAAATGTCTAAAAATTTTCTCACTAGGCTATTGTTTATAATAAGTAAGATGCTTACACTAGCAAAATACTCATCAGTAGGATTAGGAGTCAATAAAATGTAATATAGTCATAGAGTCAAAAACTATGCAATACTTCGGATACACATAAACTCGATCTCTAAATAGTGATATGGGAAGATGGCCAAAATATCACAATTGAGTGAAAAACAAAACATGATATAGAATGTTATATATAATATGATACAATTCATAAAAATTAAGCATACATGAAAACTCCATGTTTTATGTACATCTATATGTATAAATTTAGAAAAATGGACATCTACATGGTTAACATACAAACATGCATTAAATTCATTTTATATATATAATATATATATTTTTTAATTGAAGGTCCAGATAATGTATAGATAAATGAAAATGAAAGAATCTCAAACCTTAATGTGAGGCTTCATCTGTATTTGTAATGTACAATCCCTAAAAATTGTGAACAAATATTACAAAATAATAATAGCTATTAATTTTGTGTGTTTGGGATGCAAACATTTGTTACATTATTCTTAATGTTTTAAAAAATTTCTTAAACATACACACATAACACTTAGTATTTATAGATGTTTATGTATATAAATATATGTACACATATGTGTGTATGTATGTAAATGCCTAAAATGTACATCTGAAATGATACAAACAATAATTATAATAGTTGTTCCCTTAGGAAAAGAGAATGGAATTCAAGATTGGCAATCTGCCATGGCTGGGTGGCTGGTAGTTAGCCAACAGTCTTTATATTGTTTGAATTGTGACAAGAACATATTTGTGTCTTACCTGTGTATTTAAAATAAGTACTTCACAAAATTAAATTAATAATAAAATGTTAATACACTGGGCCAAGTTCTTTGACAGAGGCAAACATATGCTATCTTCGGAGTTCTGAGAAAGGGTGGTTATCCTGGCCTTCATGTGGGAGGTGGTACCAAATATTTTATAATCCGAGAAGTTGACTCCTGAATATAATGTAGAATTTAACTTGCATATTTAATTCAGGAGTTGATTCGTTTGGATGAGAAAATATACATCTTTAATTTCACTAGCATCTAACTGAAATTTAGCATTTTCATCAACTATGAAAGAGGGTCACAGACAATATTAGTGGCAGACCTGAGACTTTGTGACCAATATTTCTATTGGTCATGACTTTTTTTTGTCATATTACAGTTAAGGTCGACATATGAAAATGTCTTTTAACGCACCACTAATTTGAAATTATGGCAGTAGTTAGATATGCTTCAAGATCTTGTTATTCGAAGTATTAATAGAAAGACATAGATTACTTTATCTTAAATTTTTATTTTAAGCATTTTCAATAACTGCTTTTGTTGATAATGCTATATAGTACAGTTTTAAAACCATCATTCTGAAATGGAGTAAATGTGCTTCATCAGACTGCCAACAAGGTCTAACACACACATGTTAAGACCCTCTGATCTAGAAGAATGAATCAACTATGGCTTGGTGATTCAACCCCAGATGGCCTGGGGTTGGGTGGAGAGCAGGGCAGCCGAAGGCAGCCAGACATGGCACACGAGAACAAGAGGGGATGTGACTCTGTCGGGTGCAGCTCATAAATGACTTTATGCTTTACATACTGATTTTCTTCCATAGTTACCTAAGGAGGGGGGAATTCTCTTTTTATCAATCTAATCAGCAGGTGGTTTGGTTCAGGAAGTGAATAACTTCGAAGCATGAAAGCATATCATGAAAAAAAAATGCTTCTCAGATTCCACCCTTTGTACCACTTTACATGAGAAAGCTATTATCCTCAGAGTTTTAAACGTGAGTTCGTATTTCATAATTACTTATTAGATTCACAGTTGAAAAAAGAACCCACTAAAATCCTCATGATTCAAACTCGTGATTAGCAAATTTGGGTTTCTCCATGATTACTACCATTCAAATGAAAAATGAAAAATCCAGAGAAATACTGTGCATTTTGGCTAAATCAGTAGAAATACTGTCTTCAAACACAATTTTAGTTGGAACTATAGTATGTAAAAATAAAAGCAAAACTGTTCTGCTGTGAGCCAAAGGCAAAATAGGTCCTCTGGCTATGCATATCTACCTTGTCCATCATGGTGGCCCAGAGGCTACTTTACCTTAACTTAAGTCTCCACATATTTCAACATATAGATATCTACAAGCATCTACCTTTTTCCCTGAGATTTTTCTTTTTATGTTGTACTTTGCATGCTCTGTTCTCTTAAAATATTATCATTATGTATTACATACATATCAAAAATACGATAGATTTTACAATGCTGCCACTGTGACTTTCCATTGCTTATCTTTTGAGAGTGTAGTGACACTATTCAGAAGAGAAGGAAGGTAAAAACCCCTCTGTTTCCTCTTCTACTATTCATTTACCCGAAGGTTTTCAGGTCATAGGCTCTGAAAAAATTCTTTAGAGTTCCTTGGTAAGAACATGCTCATTCATTTCAATAATATATTGCTTAGTTTATTAGCATGTACTCTACCATAATGTAGATTTTTCTCAATTTCAATACTTTCCCCTTATGAACAATCACTTCTTTTATATATTAGAGATTGACACCTGTAAATTCACCTTCATAACTAAGTTATGACCTTGCTAATAACAGATCACAAGTGAAAATTTCAAAATATTCTGTGGTGACATTAGCTATTAGTCAATAGTTCTACTCTGACAACTTCACAAAGATATATTTAATGATGTAAATTTAATACTGATTTATTGTATTTTGCTTTATTGTTATATAAAAATGATTAGGGAGAAAAACAAAGCATGAATATTGTGTTAAAATTAAGTACAGTTATAAATCATTTGTAGGCGTGTCAAAGTCACAGCACTTATTGTTCTGGATTGTCTGGGTACCAATTAAAGATAAGCCTTTCAACTCTAGGTTCAGTTATGATAAAAAAGCACAAAGAACATTCTTATGAAATAATCAAATTAAATTATATTGTTAAAGATATTTAATCAGGAACACAAAACTTTTCCTTTTGCCCTACCCCATAGCATATAATCTATTACTCAATTTTGACAAGGTCTGCTTTTTGACAAGCTTTAGAGATAGCAATGTGAGGAAGGTTCCTGTGCAATTTCTTGCTTCCAGCAGTCTGTATACAACAATGGCCCAGCTTGCTGACAGTGCTATAAGCACTGTAACTCTGAGCAAATCACTTAAACCTTCTGAACCCATTTCCTCATTCATGAAATGGCAAGGGTTTCAGGACTAGATGATCTCTAAAGTCCCTTCCAGAGCCATTGTTATAAGACTTAATATTTACTGGATTGAGGCAAGATACAGTCTTGGCTCTCTCTCAGCCATCACACAAATCTAGAATTAACCCACACCTCCCACCAGCCATCTGTGACATCTCGTACAACATATTTTATTGTATTGATTGGGTGATAACCTTTTCAAAACAAGACATGTAGTGGGATGCTCTTTTATATCACAAATTGCCTTTATTTTGATGCTTTCAAAGGCATGCCTTCTCTTTAGATAAAGTATAAACTTATTTTATTATATCTGAGAAATTCTGACATGAAAGTAAAAGGATTCCAGAGTAAAATCAATAAACATCAACTTTCCTTCAACATGTTGCTGTAAAATTAAATGCCAACTGGTAATTTAGTCCAAGATATGTTCATGACTTTACTGTAACTGAAAGTAGCTTCAGATAATTTTTTTCTAGCTAGAAAATTGATTTCATACATTACATCTAAACAGTTTAAATCCATGCACTATTAGTAAACTGGCAAAGGGGGTCTCCAGTGTATGTAGTATTAATTCAGATAGCTTGTGATTTGTTAGCATAATAATGAGGTAATAGTTTGGCTAATTTAATCTTGACACAGTGGTATGTGACACTTCAATAATAGCTGATGGGACCTTAAAGGTTAATGATGGCATTGCTCATCTGAAGTGACAGACTACTTCAGGTTCTCTTGCCATTGATCTTAATTCTTTCTTTGCTTTTTTTTTTTCTTCCCATTAGGTTACTAGTGCAGTAATGAACTTTTTTTTTATTAGGTTACTCATGCAGTGAACTGTTATCTGGAATTGCAAACTCAGGCAAATTACTTCCAGAGGTCATATGATGAGACATTCCATTCTAAAAGTACTGTTCCATTCTAACAGTACTGGCAGTACTGTTATGATAGTGGACAGGAGGGGGTAGAAATATTTTTATGTAGGTAATAAAATGCAGGAACTCTTCAGAGATGCTTCGGCATATTTATGGAACTTTTTCAACTACCAAGATAAAGTTTTCTCAGGCTATTGTAATTATATTGTAAAGCCCCACAACTTTGTGCAACAATCATATATGTCGCCGCTATCCTGTATAAAACATGGTGTTTGGCTATGCGAAAAAAACTGAAACAAATCAAAATATAATCCAAATTATAAGGAGTTTATAATCTACTAAAGGAAAGGCAACAAGAAGGTAAATCACTGTAATAGAAGATAATGAGCACAATTGCCTTTGAGGAAAAAAAATGCTTTTGGATTCACAGGGCGGGACAGATTTCTCTCAATGAGAGAGAGAAAGCCAGTGAAGCCTAAGGAAGGCCATTTACTGGACCTTTCTCAAAAGCGGGAGAATTCAGAAATGCTCTGATTAAAATACACCTTACTCTTTCTTCAGTCTCCCTCATGCATTGCATCTTGTGTTGCTCTTCTGTGTCTGATGACAGAGCAAACAGGTGAGAGAATGGTGGATGTAGATATATAGGTGGATTGGATGAGGCAGGGAAAGATTGTTTTTGACCATCAAGATACAGAAGGACTAGCTTCAAAATATTGCTATTTAAGGCAACTTGAAAAACAGAACTTAACAGAATTACCTTGAATGTGGAGGGATGTGAATTGCTTTCTTTGATCTATATACGGGAATGTGAAGATGAGACGGAAGATTTAGAAGCTCTTCCACTTGGGAAGTTTAGAAACCCATGAAAAGTCAGATTAATTTTATGCTATGAATTATCTCTGAAGGGATCTTCTTTTTGACCTTTCTTAGTTTAGTTTGTGATAGTTTGAGCTTGTTTCTTCAATATTAAGAAAGTCAGAGAAGAATTTGTTTTGGTTCAGGAAATAATATACGGTAAATATCCCACTCTGTTTTATGTCAGGCTTGGGAAATCCCTGCCTTGAAGGATGAAGAACTGGACTTGGTGATTTTTGAATTTCCCTCACACACACACACACACACACACCCTCCCTTGTGTATGGTTCCTGAATAACTGAAAACATTCACTAAAGTGCTCATTAAAAAGAAATGAATTAATGGGAATGAAATATTTCACGTGGCTGGCATGTGACCTTCAAGCCACTGCTGAATTTTCGTAGGAAACTCATTTATATATTGTATCAGCTCCCCCTTGTGTCTATCCAGCAGTCGATTCAGCAAACAGGAAATAAAGGTATCTCCTCTTTATCTACTTCCTTCCCCTTAGTAGAGTGTTTAGGACAGAGTTGCTGATCAGGGATAATTACACTCTCAAGTGAAGAAAAACCCAAGTCATTAAAATTAGTGAAACTAAGACCCTTTGTGCTCTAACTCCAATGACGTATTCTCACTCACATGATTCATTCTCTAAAGACCCTGTATAACTGTCCATAGAGTGAATGCCTCACCAACCTGCAGACATGAGTATGATGTAGTACAGATTATGACAGGTGACATCAAACAAGAAGTCAAGAATGCTATGGTACACCATTAATTTTCCAGTGCTATTATTTTCCATAGCCCATTAAGACCAACTGAAGGCATTTCCTCTAAACACCAAAAATAAAGTGAAATACAAATAATAGACAACTTGTTCCAGTCATCAACTCTTAATCCTGTTTGCTTATCACCTGGATATGTATTTTAAATCATCTATTTCATCTTAATGGAATTTTGTCCACTCTGTTTTGTTAAATAACAACAGCTGACTTTTCTGTTTGGGGATTGTTTTCTTATGCCTGTCTCAATCCACTCTTACTGTGTTTAGCCTGAGAGACTAATGCTAAATGCTGTTGTCATTCACCTTCATCACAGGCAGGGGTTGTGGAGGTGGGAATCTCAGTCCAGTTCATTCTCAACCAGCAAATAGTGGAAATGAACTGGATTCCCAGCCATGAACCCTTGTTTTCTGACTCTAGGACTGGCTTTTGTTGTTTACAAGTGTTTTTCAAAGAATTTAAAGGGCTACCTGCTACCAAGGTCAGCTGGGCGCTTGTAAATTGCAGAATCAGGTGCTCCCACCAACCTTATGGAATCAGAACCTTTGGCTTCTCATATCGTCTCTTCCTGTTTGCTTTCTGTATATATTTCTTTTAAAAAAATCACTGTTTTTTATCTCTGCCATCTTGTTTTTAAAAATAATCCTTAAGCTAAGTTTACAATTATTATTAAATATTCATCCATATTGCCATGTAATAAATATTTGCCAAGCTCCCACTATGTGCCACATGCAGATGCCTATGATGCAGAGACTCGTAAGAATGATGTCTTATAAATAAGACATAAATACAACAGGACAGCGTTGACATCCTAGCTTGCTTTCTGTCCATGGGAAACCAGTCATCAGCTGGTTAGTCCTACCATTGGATTTCAGACTTGCAGGGGCATTCAGATTGAGATCAATGATTCAATTCTCTTCAAAATGGACAGTCTCTTAAAAGGAAGTAAAAGGAACAAAGGAAACAACTTGTCAGAAGTTCAAGAAAGAAGACCTCAGGTAGTCCTGATATAACAGTTAGGGAGGTGTAAGCTAAAAGATGACAGGCCAAAAATCCAGCTAAACCCATCTCACCATGTATCCAACTACCCAGCCCACTTCCTGCAGCCCCCAGTGGTTCCCTTTGAAAGGAACTCACCGTGTAAGCAGGTGAGGGAATTCGTAACAGGGCACGATCAAAAGTGAACTGGGTAAGCGAGGGAAAGCAATTACACAAGGAGATCATTAATTGGAAGGCTTATCTCTTCAGTGAGTTTGGAATGTGTAAGCTGTAGTGTTGTGAATTGAATTTCATGCACTCCTATTGTGTGTGAAGAGCTGGCTGTGTGTGGGAGGTGCTGAATGATTTGCCAAAAGTGTTGTAAGAACACCAGCAATCAAAAAGCCACTGGGCTCTGAAAAGCCGGGAATTGAGTGATAGTGCAGAAGCATGAAGGCTGAAGCAAATTGAGACTTTGCACTGAAATGTAGCTTGAAGCGGAGGGAGTGCAATCAGTCATGAAAGGCTGTGAAGAGAAAGGCAGGGCGGAGGGGACTGGCCAAGGTCTTGCTAAGATCTCATTTCATCAATCAGTCCCCTGCTGAGACAAGGTCTACCTGGGCCTGGGGTAAAAGGCTCCTTGAAGTTCATAAAACTTATAAACAAGGGCCTGTTAGGAATCATCGACCTCTGTTGAGAGGAAATAAAAAGTCATTTTAAACCATTCACATATTTAGCCAGGACACAAAGAAACATGAGGAAGAGGAAGACCAGTTTCTTCCCATTTTTAAAATTTATTTATTTATTTTTTATTTTACTTTAAGTTCTGGGATACATGTGCCGAACATGCAGATTTGTTACATAGGTATACATGTACCATGGTGGTTTGCTGCACCTATCAACCCATCATCTATCTAGGTTTTAAGCCCCCCGGTACCAGACACTACAAAAACACACCAAAATATAAAGACCAATGACACTAAGAAGAAACTGCTTCAACTAATATGAAAAATAACCAGCTAGCATCATGATAACGGGATCGAATTCACACATGACAATATTAACCTTAACCTTAAATGTAAGTGGGCTAAATGCCCCAATTAAAAGACACAGACTGGCAAATTGGATAGAGCCAAGACCCATCGGTGTGCTGTATTCAGGAGACCCATCTCATGTGCAAAGACACACATAGCACACATAGGCTCAAAATAAAGGGATAAAGGAATATTTACCAAGACAATGGAAAGCAAAAAAAAAAAAAAAAGCAGGGTTTGCAATCCTAGTCTCTTCCCTTTCTTATATCCTTTTCCTCTAACCCATGCACTTACCCACTCAGACTTTCAAACTCTTTACCATTCTTCCAACAGGCCATGCTACCTCTAACCCTGATTCCTTTGCCGGGAATACCTCTTGTAATTTTTTTCTCCCTAATCGCTACAACCCAACTTTTAAGTCCTAGCTCTAATTCCTCTTTGAAATGAGTCCAAGTTAAGAATATTTGTTATATTTGTTCTATAACCACAGAGTAGCTTTTATCACAACACTTCACATCTGACCCCTGCCTAATCTCAGTAGGTAAACATGCTTTTCTACCTTTCCTTCAATTTCCTCAGCTTATGCACCTGCACGCGTACTAGGATGTCCTTTTCAAAGCTTCTGAATTTCTCTTCATCCTTTAGAACTTCCTTCAAATGTCATTTCCTCAGTGTAGCCTTTTGGGATCCTCAAGTCAAATAGTCTAACAGCAGTCTGCACCTCAACTTTGGAACACTGATTATTTGACTTCTGTCTTCCTCACTAAACTGTAAGCTCACTGAGGTCAGGACTCTATCTGTGTTGGTCTCCATAGTATTCCTGCTTTCTAGTACACTGCCTGGCATTCCTGATGCCCCGACAATTACGTATTGTCTTTATTCTGTCTTCTGAGTGGGTTGTGAGATCCTTGAGGTTAAGGGCTCTGTCTTAGATTTGTTTCCTCAGATTGTAACAAAATGCTTGGTGCATAATCGGTCTTAAATAAATGCCTATTAAATGAATAAGTGCTAGAAGAAAATACCTAGAGCAGGGCTTCTCCTCCTAGGCAATATTGATTGACATTTTGGGCTGGACAATATTTGTTGTGCGGGTCTGCCTCGTGCACTGTAGGATGTTTAGCAGTGCCCCTGGCCTCCACCCGCCAGATGCCAGTAGCATCCCACAATTGTGAAATGTCTCCAAACATTGCCCAATATTCCCAGTGGGAGTGGGAGACTGGGCTGAGAATCAGCCAAAATCACCCCAGGCTGAGAATCGCAGATCTAAGATAAACACTTTTAAATCACCCAAACAGATAAATACACATTTCTAGTTTTTATAGAAAAATTGACTTACAAATAATGGATAAAAATTATAATAATATATTTATTCAGGATTATTTAAAGATTCATTGCATTGATAAAGGCTACATTCCAACATTCTTCAAGAAGTTCATTTTTATGAGGTAGATAGAGGAGTTAATAAATTTTCTGAGAACATTCTACTAAGGGATATATTAGATAACATAGCTAGACGCATTCTAGCTCAGCGCCCAGCTCATAGTCGCATTTCAGTTAATGCTATTTCTCTTTTCCTGATCTAATCAAAGCATTTGATGTCAAATGGTCACAGCTAACAATGAAAAACTGGGAAGAGTTTAGTCATATGAACACACACACACACATACACACAGAGTCTATTTAGTTAATTTTTTTTAAAGGCAAAATTTTGATTGACCAAGTTCTTTGTTAGGGGGTTGCTATGTTGACACAGAGGGCTGGTTAAATTTCTTTCCTGCTGGGGAACACTAAATTACATCCCACCAACTTAAGTTCCCCTGGAGTGAATCACAGAGTGGTTGACTTTAGAGTTCATTGAAGGTGAGAGTTTGAGTTCTATGAGGTCAGATTTTCTCCATGAAGCAGAACAAACAAAAATGTATAATACTGGGCTTCTTGATATAATTTTTAAAAGTAGAGGGCCCCACTGGTTTCCTTCCACCCCCACCTTCCACCACCAACTCTTTCCTTGAAAGAAAGTGTAAGAATGATCTCCCGAGGCTACTGGCAGATGGAGAGTTTCTGGGTAAGTAGGTTTTTTTTCTTCCACACTCAGGGGGATTCATGGCTGACTGAGTAGTAAATTCACTCTCAGTGTTTCAGTTCACAAATATAGAAGTAATAAGAGAAGCTCTGCATGTGTATTGGGCCGAAATGGAAAAGGGACAATACACAACAGGGGTTTGTAAGAAAACACATCCTGTCAGAAAAATATGATTGCTATTTTAGAAAGAATTGCCAAATTGGAAAGTACAGGAAAGTGTAGAGGTCGTGCACTTTAAATTGAGGCAAATCTTAGATATGACAATTTATGAAATAAGATTTGCAAGCATAAACCGTCCATTTAGACTGCAATGTGGTTACAAGCCTGGGAGGGAGTGCATGAGGAGATTGGGACTAGGGAAGACAGGCTTGTAGGAATGTCTGCAGAACACCTAGGATTATTACTGCTGCAATTCATTGAGCTCTATTTTCACATTTGGGATTAGACTAAAACTGTTTGGCTATAGGTTCCCTAATGTCAAATATTTTGTGGGGTATATAGAAAACTCTCAATACATTTCTGGTTTCTGTGAGCCATCCACAAAATTTTCTTCAAAATTTCTGAATTAAAAACTAAGAAAAGTTTTGTACCTCCTTCTTTTCTTCAACTTAATATTTCTTTCCTGTAAGACACTTGCACATAAATTTAATGTCTTTAAGTAGCTATGTGATTCTGCGAGAGTCATATAACCTTTCTGGCCTCAGTTTCTACATTTGAAGAAGGAAAGATTTGGCAGCTTCTATAAAGTATTAATTCTTCTATCTGACTCTTTTCTGCTTGGATTCTATTTTGTTTTCCCTGATTAGTTTAAGATGAACTCAGGCTGAATAACAAGGGTTTGAGCTTCCTTGGAATAACCTTTATTTGGTTATGACGTGAAATCTACTGCAAAAAGATTCATTATATTCATAGAGTTTTCTACAGGTAGTGAGAAATATTAGAGAACAATGTTGACCCACAGCTAGAGTTTATGAACCAACATCAGAGATACATAGAAAGGATCCAACAGGCTAGGAAATGAATGGAAATAAGTTAAGGGGTATTTACTACCTATTGGATCCATAACCTTGGACGGCTTGCTCCCCCTCTTCAACTTCTTCATTTGTACAATAGAGTTAGCCATTCTTTCTGTGAACGTTTTCTAGGACGACTTAAGAACCTGAGTTAGAGAGGAGAAGCAGTGTTCACAGTGGCCTCAGATCAAGAAAAAGGGCAGGAGACCAGGAGAGGACTCATAATTGAATGTTAGGTTGCTCAGAATCATATCTCTCCTGTATCTTGGAACCTCTTGTGGATTTATTCCATTGCAGTCCATCTGGTCCATTGCCCAGGTGTTTAATTTGTGGGTGCACCAATATTATCATGGGGTATTTCAGTAGCCTCTTTGTGACTTGACTTTTGAATTACACACAAACCAATCACCACCAACAACCTCTTCATCTATTAATCTATTAGGTTGGTGCAAAAGTAATTGCAGTTTTTGCCATTACTTTTCATGGTTAAAAAAAACAAAATGCAATTACTTTTGCACCAACCTAATAGATTAATAGATTAATACTTGGGCTCCTGTGACAAACTACCAGACTGTGTGCCTTAAACAATAGAAACTTATTTTCTCAGAGTTCTGGAGGGTGGAAGTCCAAGATCAGGGTGCTGGCAAGGTTGGTACTTGTAGAGGCCTCTTTTTGGGGGTTGCACATTGCCACCTTTTTGCTGTTTCCTCACATAGTCTTTCCTCTCATTAGTGTCTTTTCTTTTTCTTATAAGGAAACCAATTCTATTGGATTGCAGCCTTACCCTATGACCTCATTTAACTATACTTCCCTCCGTAAAGGCTCTACCTCCAAATACAGTCACATTTGGTTTTAGGATTTCAACATGCAAATTTGGGTGAAGGAGGACACAGTTTAGTTCGTAATACTGATCATCTATTCAGTTTCCTTGTTTCCTATGGGTTTCACGGGAAAAGTGCTGAGGAAAGGCAGAATTGCAGGCACATATTGAATAAGTTATTTATAGATCCCAAGACAGTTTGGATCTATGGTTTGGAACTGTCATTTGCTGATTCCTACACATGATTTTTACCTACCCAGAGGGCTGCACTGGAAATTCACAAACAATCATATGGAAGTAACACTGGACTTTGTGTTACACAATGTAAATTTGTTCTGTAGTCACTCTGTGGCCTTGAAAAAACATCACTTTTGACCTATCTGAGCCTCGATTTTCCCATACATAAATAAGAATAATAAGATACTATCCCTCTTTGAATGTAGACAAATTGCTAAATTAACTATTTACTATTTTTAGATATGATCTATGTCTTCCTGTTACTCTTTGCTGTTTCTAGTATTCCTTCCCCTATTAAAAATGGACCCATATTCCACCTCTTTCATGAAGTTTTCCATGGTATCCATGAATATCCCCTCATATTAGTACTTGTGATGGTTAATATTGAGTGTCAATTTGATTAGATTGAAGGAGGCAAAGTATTGTTCCCGGGTGTGTCTGTGAGGGTGTTGCCAAAAACTATTAATATTTGAGTCAGTGGACTGGCAGAGGCAGATCCACCCTCAATCTGGGGAGGCACCATCTAGTCAGCTGCCAGCATGGCTAGAATAAAAGCAGGAAGAAGTTGGAAGTACTTGAATTGCTGAGTCTTCTAGCCTCCATCTTTCCCCCATGCTGGATGCTTCCTGCCCTCAACTATAGGACTCCAAGTTCTTCAGCTTTTGGACTCTTGGACCTACACCAGTGGGTTGCCAGGGGCTCTTGGGCCTTCGGCCACAGACTGAGGGCTGCATTGTCAGCTTCCCTGTTTCTGAGGTTTGGGGACTCGAACTGGCTTCCTTGCTCCTCAGCTTGCAGATGTCCTATTGTGGGACTTCACTTTGTGATCGTGTGAGTCGATACTCCTTAATAAACTCCCCTTTATGTACACGTCTATCCTATTAGTTCTGCTCCTCTGGAGAACCCTAATACAGTATTCCAATACAATTTTCAAGATGCTTTGAATTAATATCTTGTTCTAGGATTCTTTATGGATGTCTTCAAAATATTTTAAGGGTGAAAGTCCTGTATTTTTAAATTGTATTCCCATTATTTTCTCCAGCAATCATCTGCACGCTGTACAGATGCAGCCACTGTTTCTTGAGCTATCTCTAGTTTCAAAACATAAATATTGATTATAGAAAAAAGTAAAAACCACACTCAGAAAGCCTTCACAGATACCCTTGTGTGACTTGTATGCTTGTCACCTTGTCATAAAACCTAAAACAAACTTCTCTATCTGTTCATTTACTTATTCTGCTTCCCACTATGTTCTGAGATCATATAAAGTAGGCACACTGTATAATTCTTCTCTCTGTCCCTAGGACCATTATGCTGCCTGTTAGATAAAAGGTTTTTAATATACTGGATGAAAGAAGTATATAACTGAAAGACAGTGGTTTAACTCAACTTATATATTTTTCCACCAGTTAAATATTTATTCTTCTAGTATCTTACACCAGGGGCTAGTGTCCCTTTACCCATTGAATAAGCATTATGGAATACCTACAGTATTTTAGGATCTGTAATAGGCAACATGAATTTACAGAAATGAAAGTCCCAGCCCCTGACATCAGCCCTAGAGAAGAAGCACATCAGCAAACAGACAATCATATGGTGGTCTAAGACACAGTAAGAGAGAAAGAAGCACAGAGGATTCAGCCCCCAGAGGAAGCCCAACAAATTCAGCCCTAACTGTTCCCATGCACTTGGCTCTCTCCTCTCCCATAGGTACCAGGCTTTTTTGCACCTTGCAGCCTCCACACCTATTCTTTCCTATGCCTTGAACATGGTTTTCCCACATGTGCACATGATAGGCTCCTATTAGTTGCTCATGTTCCAGCTTCAATGTCACCTCAAAAGAAAGACTTTCCTGATATTCTAATATTAAGGCCAACCACTAATATTCTTTCTTGCATTACCTCTTTGTTTTTGGGATATGGTCTCACTTTGTTGCCCAGGCTGGAGTGCAGTGACATGACCACAGCTCACTGCAGCATTGTTTGTTTGTTTATTTTTACAAAAAGTATGAAATTCCACATTGGAATTATGTAATTTGATTTTTTAATCATTGAATGTTTTTCTTCCCCCTTAGACCATGAGTGAAGGGAGAAACTGTGTCTCTTAATTAAACACTCCATTTGAAGTGCAGAGAACAGTCTCTAGAATAATGTAAGAGCTCAATAAACATCATTGCATAAGTGCAAGAATGAATGAGCAGAGAGTAGCCCCAAAGAAACCAATGAGATGAAGGCACAAGAACAGCTAACAAGTAATATTTGTTTAGGATTACTTTATGATTCAAAGTGCTTTGTTATTCTTCTCTGCCCATTTGTTATAAGCAACAATTTGTAGATGAGAAAACACAAAACACAAAGCTAAGTCTCCCTCCCAGAAATAAAGTAATACATTGTGGAATTAGAACTGATAGTCAATTTTTTTTTTTTTTTTTTTACTAAATCCTTGAATTATAACAGTACCTCAAGCAGCTTCTAGAATTGCTGAATGCACTATCCATCTTATTCTGGGGAAGCAAATATTTTACTACTCCAATGTATCTTACAAACACAAATATTCAAGATTCTTTTGCTTCCTTAAAAGTCCTCAGACTTTTCCATTTCTGCCTCTGAAATCTTTCCTTTTATTATAATGTTCATGATGCTCTGTTTTATATTACTTTGGCCCTGTTGTTACTCTGATAAGAAAGATTAAATTTATGGTAATATCTTGCATCTCCATGTACTTTGCATATTCTGCAGCAATTGCTCTGTTCACTGTTAATTCTTTGCCTCACCAAAGTTAATTCTTTTATTAACAATCACATGTTTTCAGTGCTCTGTCTAGCCAATATCTTCTAATTTCTTTTTCCCATTCCCTTTATGTATTATTGAATTCTCTAAGTGAATTATTTAACTCTGCACAGCATTTTGGAATATGATTTGCATGAAACAACTTTTACAAACTAAAAGCATATCATATTAAAATGTCTATAATTGCTTGAAGGAAATACCCTCAGGAGTGTTTTAGGCTATGTACAATGGCTGTGAAGAAGTTTTGAGTTCCAATGTGACAATAATATGAAACAAACAAAAACTACTTTCACAGATTTGACTTACACTTAAGTAGATGAATTGTGTTTATGTGCCACCTGGTTTTTTGTTGTTTTCAACTTTCTTTTTCCTTTTGACCTCAAAGGTAATGGAAAAAGAAGAAAGAGAATTTCTCCCTTAATTAATCCCCACAACAATTTTTTGGAGTGGGTATTATTATCCCCATATTACAGTTAAGTCAAAAATGTATCTGTAACAGTAAGTCAAAGAGGTTAGTTGCCTTACACGTCTTTCTGATTCCAAAGTCTCTTGCCTTTTTCTAGATGTTATCTGCCGAGAGAGTATGTGATAGAATAGTGTGACTAAATAGATTGCGCTCTGATCCCCATGCTTTTGTCACAGAACTGAGCAAAGGTAGGCTAGGGGCTTTTGAGGGAGCGACTTGTTGGTAGGTCTTCCAGAACTTGAACCTGGAAGTTAGGACCTCCTAACTAATACCATTGCTCTTAAAGTGGTACCAGCTCTGGCTGTTGCCCCCATGCTTATATTCAAACTCTTTTGCTTAACTACAAAAGCCCTTGGTTATCTAGACTTATCTATGGCTTCGACCGAACTCATTGTTTTCTCACTTTTCTCCAGTAAGATGATATATTGCTATCTTTGCAACACTTTCCTTTCAGCTCCACAAACATGTGTTTCTGAATGGTGGAGTGAATTAGCAAGTAATTTCACATTCCATTTTCTCAGAAGGAGATGGAGCTAGGAAAAATAACAAAACCTCATCTAATAAAGATGATGCTACTCTTCCAGAGGGGCAAAGAGGCAACCTGGATGGCAAATGTAGGTTGTTTTTTATTGCCTCTCAGCTACATTATAAATCTCAGCTAACAGAATAAGTGCCCTTTCATCAATATGGGGTTGGACTGTGGCTCAGAGAAAAATGCATGTTTATATAAACAAAGTTTGCTCATTTCATGGCAGACATGGTCAATAGGTGTTGAGGGGCCCATGTTCAGATAACTTCATGTTATTAGAACATGCTCCTTCTCTATAAGCAGGCCTTTATAAAGACTTATGTGAGGCAGACCCTAATTCCAACACACACGGGCACTCACGCACTGATAGTGTTGATCTGAGATTTGTTTGGTCCTCTGTGAATCTATATGATAAAGAACTTGTACACATGCATCTTAAATTAGAGTGTTGGATCTGATGGAAACAGTTGGCAGAAGTAAAACTTTTTCAATCTAGGTGGCTCATAGAAGACTCCCATTATCTATAAAGGGCAAAATTGACATTTTAATCACTCTTCATAGTTTCATGATGTATATCAGAGACCAAAATGGAGAGGATTATATTACCTTTAAAAATATCCCATGTAAGTTATGTTAACTTTTAAAGCCTATGTCAGTGTTGATTCTTCTTGAAGTGGTTCTAAGTATCTCTAGCTAGGAATGAGTTTACCCTTAAGAGCATTTCGATGTTTTTGAACTTTGCCATTGATTCACAACAAAGCTTATTGAAGATGTAGCGTGTGCCAGGAAATGTGTGCAGCTTTAAAGATGCTGAAACTAGCAAGTTGACATAAGTGCATACATCAAGTTTCCCCATAGGAGCATGAATTGCCTAAGCTTGAAAGTAAAAGACCTCTCTTTTGAATAGGCACCAGTAAATTTCCCAATTCTAGCTTCTTGAAACTTAGCACACCAAATAAGCTGAGTTTGCTAAATGCAATGTATAATGTTCTCTTTTTTCAAAAATTACGCTATACTCAAAGAATAAATTTGCAAAATTGAATTTGCCCAACCCAGGGAACTACTACTAGGTATTACTAGGAATTAAATCAGTTTTGCATATCTTGGCCTTCTAATCCCTACTGTGATAGTCATGGATGTTAATGTTCAAATACTAATATAAAAATGACACTTAGGTACCAGTTGGTTCTGTTCTTAACAAACTTTGTATTATAAAAATTGCATTATAAAAGCAAAATTTTTTTCAATGTGGGAGTATGGTTTGAGGAGTTTAGATTCCTATTTAAAATTACAAACTTTCTGCAGAGATTTAAATGGCAAAATGTTTAAACAAACAGAACATAAATGCTTAGGTATACAGTCTTGAAATCACCAAGAAAATCCAAAATTTGGTTATATCTTGTTCTTGACCAATAATAATATGTGACTAATAATCTCACAATATTTATAATCACTAGCACCATTATTTGCATATTACTGCTATCCATTCATATACTTCTGTCATCTTTATCTTCCTTTGTTACAATAAAAAAGGCACAAAGTCAATGAATTAAAGCAACAATGCTCATGAGGAATAATTTCCTGATCATGTCACTAGTCTGTGACCTCAGCACAATGCCACACATGTTCTCAAAAACAGCAACCATTTGTTAAATTCTTACTATTTTCTACATATAAGCACTTCTGTGTACACTATTTAATTTACCCTTACTTCAGCTGTGTGAGATTGGTACTGATTGTAGTCCCACATTAGCAGGAATAAAGTGGCTTCTAAACTACTAAATAGCCACACTGGGATTTGAATCCCAGTAATGGTGTCTCCACAGACCATCTTCTTATACAGCCCACCTTGATGGTTCCTCTCATTAATTAGCTGTCATTATGAAAATGAGAGCTGTAGAAATGCCTTGCTTTATCGACACAAGTCAGGTTGTAAGGAAGAATTAGTACATTTTGCTGTATAAAAAATTTGAACATAATACACAAGAAAGGAACATATGTTAATGGGGTCCGTTATAAACTTTCAGTTATTCCTTACTCAAGCAGTAACAACCATTCTGACCCACTGTGCTTAAAAGGTACATCTTTTTGTGATTTAAATTATGTTTCTCTTCACCGATTCTGATGATTTTCTCTAGTTTGTTTTATAATATTCATGCTGCATTTTCTACTCCTTGCTTTGGTACTCCTTTTATCAGCAATAGAAAAAATGCATTTCATTTATATGCTAGGCAAAATTGTAGTCTTTAAGCAGCATTTCTTTATTAGTTCATAGTTGTTTTCTAAGAATAACTTTGCTTCATAAGAATGGGTCATGCCATCTATTGTTCAACATGTGCAATAGATAAATATAAGACCTCTGAAATCACACTGTTTTAATACAGCTGTATTCCTGTAAATAAGTTACTTAACTTTATATTTCTGTTTTGTTTCTCTTTCTTTTCTTTTTTTTTTTTTTTTTTTTTTGAGATGGAGTATTGCTCTGTGGCCCAGGCTGGAGTGCAGTGGCACGATCTCGGCTTACTGCAAGCTCCGCCTCCTGGGTTCACGCCATTCTCCTACCTCAGCCTCCCGAGTAGCTGGGACTACAGGCACATGCGAAAATGCCCCGTTAATTTTTTTATATTTTTAGTAGAGACGGGGTTTCACCGTGTGAGCCAGGATGATCTCAGTCTCCTGACCTTGTGATCCACCTGCCTCAGCCTCCCAAAGTGCTGGGATTACAGGCGTGAGCCACCGCACCCAGCCATGTTTTGTTTTTCTTAAATTTTAGTTTCGGGGTCCATGGTTTGTTACATGGATATATTGTGTGATGCTGAGGTTTGGGCGTCTAATGATCCTGTCACCCAAAGAGTGAAGATAGTACCCAACAAGTAGTTTTTCAACCCATCCCCTCTCTCCCTCCTTACCTGTTTTGGAATCTCCAGTGTTTATTGATCCCATCTTTTTGTTCATGTGTACCCAATGTTTAACTGCCACTTATAAGTGAGAATATGCAGTCTTGGTTTTTCTGTTTCTGCATTAATTCACTTAGGATAGTGGCCTCCGGCTCCATTTCTGTTGCTGCAAAGGGCATGATTTCTTTCTTTTTTATGGCTGCATAGTATTCCATGGTATGTGTATCACATTTTCTTTCTCCAGTCCACTACTGATGGGCACCTGGGTTGATTCTATGCCTTTGCTATTGTGAATAATGCTGCAATAACATATGAGTGCAGGTGTCTTTTTAGTCAAATGATTTATTTTTATTTGGGTATATATCCAGTAATGGTGCTGAGTCAAATGGTAATTCTAGTTTTAGTTCTTTGAAAAATCTCCACATTGCTTTCTGCAGGGGCTGAGCTCATTTTCATTCCCACCAACAATGTATAAGCATTCCCTTTTCTCTGTAACCTTGCTAACATCAGTTATTTTCTGATTTTTAAACAATAGCCATCCTGACTGGCGTCAGATGCTAGGTATCTCACTGTATTTTTGATTTGTGTCTCTGACGATTAGTGATGTTGAGCATTTTTTCATGTTTCTTTGCCACTTGTCTGTCTTCTTTTGAGAAATGTCTGTTCATATCCTTTGCCCACTTTTTAATGGGGTTATTTGTGTTTAACCTCTTTAAATCTTAGTTTAGTAATCTGTAAGGTGTAAATAATAGTTAACTTACAGTGAAGTATTTGCAACAGTGTAAAAGCCCTATAAATATTAGATGTTTCTTACCAGGTTAAGGATGTTTCCTTGTCTTTCTGATTTATTGAATCTTTTCATCATGAATGGATGACGAATTTGTCATAGGCATTTTCTATATCAATTGACATAATCATATGGCTTATCTTCTTTAGATTGTTAGTATGTTGAACTACCTGATGTCCTATATTATCTACTTTCCAGCTAGCTCTCTGATATTATTCTTTTTCTCTGTCTCTACTTCAGGTGTATCACCTCCTTTCTGTTTCTTCGTAACTTCGTGTTCCCTCTAGATTTCCCCCAAGATATCACCATGGCTAGTATCTTTACTTCCCTCAAGTCTTTGCTCATATTTTATCTTCTTTTTGAGTCATACCTTAACTATTCATTCAATAATGTAACCTGAACCTAGTACTTCTGGTTCTTCTTAATTAGAACCAATTTTTAGTAGTATTTATTTCCTTCCAATCTATTATATAACTTACTTTTCATTGTATTTACTGAATATTTTTCCTGTTTCTCTATCCCAATTCCTCCTCTCTCCCTTTAGCCCTATCCCCACAAAAATATAAGCTCCATGAAGGCAAGGGTTTTTATTTCTTTTGTTTTTTGATGTATCCTAAGTACCTAGAATTGGCTCATGGTAGATGCTACATCCATGTTAGTTGAATGAATGACTGATTAACAAAAGAAAATTTTCTTTTGTTAGCCTCATTCTTACCATTGCAGGTGAATTCCACAAGAAGAAGTGGGGCATGGAAACAGGGAGCATCATATTATCTTTGAGACTTCAGAGGAAATAGAAATATACCATAGTAAGAAATACACTTGTCTTGATAAAGCAAGGTATGCCATAATATACCAAAAGAAAGAGAAATATACCATATGATTCAATAAGAAATATACCATAGAGACACACACACACACACACACACACACACACACAGAGAGAGAGAGAGAGAGAGAGAGAGAGAGAGAGAGAGAGAAACAGGAAGGATCTATGATTGGCCAAATTTTGGTAGTATTTCTAAAGCTGTTGTCAGGGATAGTACAAAGAAAGGGGTCTTTCTCATGAATTAGACCATGTGGATCTTGGGTTAGGGTAAACTAAGGCCATTTACCCAAATAAAGTATTGTGTCTTACTAGAAGAAAAAGGTGAGGAGATGTTGGACAAACAAAATCTGTAGATGTTTATCTACGTTGTCTATGTTAATGTGACACCTCTAAGACACATCTTTACTTGAGTAAAGAGCCAAAATGATCAGATATGTCAGTCCACTTTAAATCTCCTCAAAACAGGAGTCATTCAAAAAGCTGGCACAGCTAGCTCTTATAAGTTCCTTTTTTAAGCATGGAAAAACTCAGAAAATTTAGTTGATATTGTTTTTTTGCTCCCAGACCTTTTCAACTAATCACACTGTTAGCTCTTTTTAAATGTACATTAAGAGGGTTCTTGGGTAGCTAGAAAGTTTATGTTTATTTTAAACATAAAAATATTTATGTTTAGTCAGCAAAGAGAACTTTTTCATTTTGGCAAAACTGTCCCCAACTTATAGCAATTAAGGAAACATACAGAATTGAGATGTGATAGTACAAATGAAAACAAACAAGATTTTACAATGAATGTAAATAGCAATGTCAAGAACGCAGTTTAAAAAGGGAAGTTATTCAAAATACCAAGTTCTCTCTAGCATCAGTATTTACCTGTATCTGAAATAAAATTATAGAGACTGAAAAAATACCAATTACATTTACATTATATTATTTAATTAATAGTATATTTCATTCATTTAATTTGTAAATCACATTTAAATATTATTTCCTGTTTAACAGATTATTTGATAATCTTAATAAAATTAAGGGATAGAAATTGTTATCGCATCTTACATATGAGGACACTAAATTCTTAATAGTTTCATTTTCTCAATATCATTCAGCTGGTACATGGTCAGGTGGGGTATCACACTAACTTAGGATTCTCTGATTCTAAATGTGATTTTCCTACATTAGACAACAATAATTTTCTCCTAAGAGACTTGAGACTATTTTCTTCTAAATCACAATATCATAAACGTCACCAAACTGTTATAAGTAAGGCTGACTACACGGCAGCCCGACTGATCCAGGTTCATTAGGTTCAAAAGCTCTTCCTGTTATCTTTGTATGAATCCAAGATCTAAACCATTGAAGGCTCATACACTGATTCTTTTACTTATTACTAATACAAGACCAGGGTTAAAAATAAAAATCAATTAGTGAAATGCAGAAATGAAAATGCATATTTAAATCAATCTTTATTATTGGAAAGTTGATCCTTAGAGTAAGAATGATTAACTCTACCCAAGAAAGCATTCCAGATGAAAAGTATGTTATTGGCTATACTGTAACTATAACATCATGTAATGAAACATCATGTAATGAATCTGTGAACTTCTATTATGTCATTATCTGTAGCAAAGATTTCAAGTAATTAAAAACTGAGTTCATTCTTATAACCATAAAATATTTCAGAAAAGTGTTATTATTTTCATTAACTTGAGCTAAAAACAACATTAGAACCCATGAGACTGAATAAAGTAAATGGAAACAAGCAGGCTACTGTTTTAAAGAATGCAAATATTGTTAACCAAAGAGAACAATGCTATCTGTCTATATTGTGATATCAATTAACTTCCACTTGTGGTAGTAAACAGCATTGGAATTCCAGTTAGACTATTGATGACAGGTTCTATTAGCTGAGAATTCTATTACCTTGTTGGATAAAGTTGAGCAAGTCACTTAATTCTCTGGGTCACTCTGCATTCATCCATTAAATATGGATACTCTTGCCAGTTTATAAATAATTTATTAAGGTACAGTAGGAACACATATGCACAAATACACAGTAAACCATAAAGTCCTCAACATATATAAGATGTTGCTCTTAAATGCATTATTATTTTATTTTTATTTTATTTTTTTTTGAGGCAGAGTCTAGCTCTGTCACCCAGGCTGGAGTGCAGTGGCATGATCTCGGCTCACTGCAACCTCCACCTCCTAGGTTCAAGTGATTCTCCTGCCTCAGCCTCCCAAGCAGCTAGGATTACAGGCGCTTACCACCACGCCCAGCTAATTTTTGTATTTTTAGTAGAGACGGGGTTTCACTGTGTTGGCCAGGCTGGTCTCGAACCTTAAATGCATTATTAATCACTCTAAAAATACCCTTTCAATGGTTTTGTCACTGCTGTCATTGACCAGAGTATCTTCTAACCAAAACTTGTTTTACTTAACAGAGAGGTAATGGGGGTGGGTGGGGGATTATTGATATTATGAGATGCTTTTGCTTCTTGTAAACCTGAACACTTAACTTTATAGATGTAGCCATTAATGGGAATATTCTATGTCTCTCTGTGTGTTGTGAGTGTGAGTGTACTTTAAGGAAAGGGTTTGTAATGCTAAGAAACATGTAGCTGTAGCATTGAGAATTTTACTACAAAATTACTAACCAGAAAATATGCAACAGTAATGTATTTTCTAAGTAACCCTTGAATAGTATGTTCAAAATTTATATAAAGAAATGGTTACCATGGCATCCTTGCAGTACCTGAAATCAAAAATAGCAATTTTAGTATTGTTCCTCAGACTGAAAAATATACATGTGTAGAAAGATCACTTGGGGTTAATAGCATAAAAGCATGTCCATGGAGGCATTATAACATATATTCCAATGAGGATTCTTTTTCAGGGAGGAAAATGAGTTAAAAGAATTTAAAATAAAACATATATAACTTGTATTTGTGTAACTATACAATAATTACATTTATGCAAATAAAGATTAGAAAATGTTTTAAAAACATCCAATTTCATGTCCTTTGATGAACTACCTGCATTTACCTTTACTCTTATGATTCCCTGATAGGCATTTTGGCCTCTAACTTGCCATATTACTAGTATTCCTCAGAATGTGTTTCCTACACGAGCAAAGTTCTTTCATGGCTTTTTGTTTTATAGGATGACTCCACTTGACTTCCATGCCCTTTTCACATCTCACAACATCTCTTCTTGGTGACTCTGCTCCATTCTTAAAGATTAAACTGAAAAGATTCATACTTTGAACTTTCCTCTACTACCTAGTGCTATTAGGAGCTTCTCTGTGCCTGATGTAATTATTTTGGTTACTTCTGTAATAATGCGATGTAACAATAGCTTACAAGTCAGACTCACCAACATAACATGAGATCCTTAAGAGAAAGGTTCACAAAGCAAAGTATTACTATATTCAGGTTTATTTATTTATTCATTCTCCATCTCAACAAGCATTTAAGGAACACTTACCATAGGTTAAACCACCATCAATAAAATTTACACAATCTCAACTCCTAGTAGGGAGGTAAATACGTATTGAAGAATCTTAGAAGCAATTTTTAAAATGATAACCATGATAAATTCTGTGAAGGTGAGGGAAATGGTACTAGAGTTCCTGTGATAAGGGAATCTGGCTTAATGCAGCAGATCAGAAAAGGTCACCTTGTGACAGGTTTTGGAACCCAAATAAAGCTGATATGGCTGGAGCAGAACCTTACGGGAAAATGAGCCGAAATAACGGTGAGGATCAGACCTGTTTGGAGTTCTGCCTCTGTACTAAGAAAAATGGAAAGTTGCTAGAAGCTGTAATGGAAGATGACAACATCAACAAAGAACAAGATCATACTGTCTTCAGTATGTGTGAATCAAATGGCAAACGTCTCATGATGTCCAGATAGAGATGATGGCAATTTGAATCAGATGGAGAGTACCAGTCAGATTTATGATATCGTTAGCAGTTGACATTAATACATTTTTGGTGTATAGAGGAGTTGGCAGATTGAGAGTTCGCCAAGTGCCAAGGATGCTGTCCAGGTTTCTGGCTTGAGCTAGGCAAGCTGACAATTAGATTAGGAGCTCCTAGAGGAAAAAAGTGGCTCTGGTTCAGCCTATGGCTTCTTCAAAGTCCTGGTTCTTTCTCAGTGCATTGGACAGCATATTAAGTCAGTGTTTGCTAACTAAGGTTATTAATTGTTTGTATTTAAAAACAATTATTATATTTATGGCACTGTATTTAGTAGTTATTTCACTTTTTCTTTCTTCTAAAGTTAAATGTAAGGTGAAATTCCTTCCCTTAAGACGCTTATTATGGTTCAATTAGAGATACAAGTACATATTCTCTTATTTTGTCATGATGTAGTGTTCTAGGTATTTTAAAATCTATGATTTTAAAGGGTGTATTTTAAAATCTATGATTTTAAAAGGTCTATTAGGATCACAAGGACATAAGAAACTTACTAGAGTTAAAAAGATGTGAGATAAAAATATAATGCAAATAATGAAATTTAAATATGGCCTTAAGAGATGGGCATAATTTTGAAAGGCAACTGTTGGTATTTTGGCAGAGTAAATTTATTTATTTATTTATTTATTTATTTATTTATTTATTTATTTATTTTAGAGAAAGGGTCTCACTGTTCTGCTCAGGCTGGACTAGAACTCCTGGGTTCAAGTGATGTTCCTGCTGCAGCTTCTTCAGTAGCTGTGACTACAGGTGCATACCACCACCCCTCTCAAATAATGGCATGGACATAAGAATGTGGCAGGGTGATACATGGAGAGGATGAGGTCGAATTTGGTGGGATACATGTTTGAGATAAAAAAACAAAGTCAGCTAGAAAGGCTGATTTGAGTTTTGATTGATAGAACGAGGATTATTTGCTTGATTTAATAAGTGGAAAGTTTTTTTGAGTTAAAAACAATAGCAATGGAAAGCCTTTTTTTGTTGTTGTTAGATACAATACTTGATAAGAATTGGAGTGGAGGAGTGCTAGGATACTGGAAGATGCTAGATAAGTATAAAAGGTTGATAAAATAGACACAAAGTATTGTATCTTTCCAAAATGTGGAGAAGTTAAGCATAACAAGGGGGCAATATTCACATTTTAAAACCTAAATATAAATTGTTTAGGCCATACAGGTAAAGATATTTGAAATAAAAAGAAATAGAAAGCATTCATGATCAGCTCAATTTCATATTTATGCATAATACATAAAAAGCAAATCTTATTTTAGACTTTTTTTGGTTAATCACACTTGGGTCTCCTGTTATTTTTATTAAAGTAAAAAGTACAGAAAATCTAAAATTCTGTGATTTTTAACACATATGTGACCTAGAGAGACTACATTTTGATTTAAGCTTGAATAAGCATATTTTATGTTGTTTCAATAAGTTAGTAAACACTGCTTTTCATTTAGAAGATAAGTACTTTGTTGTAAAACTACTGAATCCAGTTCAACAAAAATGTTTCAGTACTTACGAGGGGAATGAGTTTGCTGCTGAGTAAATATGAACTTGAAAGTTAATGATTAATCTTTCTCCTCAAGGAATTCAGCTAAGCTTTAAGAACTTGTAAAGATTTGGAGATTTAATTAAATACGAAGTTATTTGAGGACAGGAAAATGCCTTTTGGATTTATGCCAGAGCTTTATAAATGTATATAGTTAAAATATTGTCTGTGTTGACAGATTTCTTCTAGTAATTATATTATTAATGGCAGGGGTATTTTAATGAACCCTTACTATGTAAATATGTTGTTAAGCACTTACACATTTTTGTTTACTTAATTTCACTGAACTCTTATTTTCCAGAGGGAAAATTAGCATTTCACAACCTAGCTGAAAAATACCTGCCATTATTTATTCATTTATTTGATGAAATTTATTCATAATCTACTACATTTCAGTCTGATAAAGATATAACCTAGACAGGGGAGGCCAGAGGGGAATTCTCAGTTAATGTTGAAGGTAAATTGAAAGTGTGATTAAGTCCCATTCATGCAAGAGGACGGGCAAACATTCTAGAATCAGAAAGCATAAGAATATCACAGAGGTGAGAAGCAGCAGTGGTAGAAGGGATAAGATATGTAAATGAATGCAAATGTATTATTTTTTTTCCTTTTGAGATAGGGTCTCACTCTGTCACCCAGGCTGGAGTGCAGTGGTGTGATTACAGTTCATTACAGTCTCGAACTCCTGGGCTCAAGTGATCCTCCTGCCTTGGCCTCCCAAAGTGCTGGGATTACAGGTGTGAGCCACTGTGCCCAGCCTACGAATGTAATTTTTGAGAGTCATACTTAGAAACTCAAATTTCAAAGCGAAAAATGGAGAGCCATCAGTGACTAGTTTGGATTCATGTTTCAGACGAACCACATTGGTCTCTGAAAGGAGAATGGACCTGGAGAACAAGACAGGAAGACAATATCAGGTAGGAGGCTCTGGGATCAGTTAAGACAACTGGCCATGAAGACTTCAATGAAGGGGGCAGTAGTGGGAAGGAATTGTATTTAAGGAACATTTACTTGATGTACAGTCTGCATAACTTTCGTTTGACTAAATTTGAAGCATGAGAGTAAAAGAGGAAGAAATGTGGATATATTTGTAAAAATGATACTGGATTGTATAATAAATAAATTATAAATTTCCATGGCTTGATAAAATAGAGCTTTATTTCTCAGAGACTTTCCAGAACAGATGTTCCTGACAGATGACTGTCTTTCTTCCATGTGGTGACTTAGGGAACCCAAATGTATCACCCTGTGACTCTGTCATGCCCTCATGCCTTGGAATTCTTTTCATACAACTAGTAGAGAGGGAAATAGAGTACCAGGAAGAAGAGATACTTCCTCGAAGCTCCAGACTGACAATTACATATATAACTTCCACTTATATTGCACTGTCTATTAGTCACATGGCTAGGTCTGAATATAGTACTCCCCACCTATGTATGAGGGGCATGTTCCAAGACCCCCAGTGAACTCCTGAAACCTCAATAGCACCAAACCCTGCATATACTATGTTTTTTCAATCTGATAATTGAGATATCTACTAAGTGACTAATTGGTAGGTAGTACATACAGTATGGAAATGCTGAACAGATGGATGTTTCACATACTAGGTGGGTCAGATCACATAGGTGTGAGGTTTCATTGCATCATTCAAAACAGCACACAATTTAAAACTTATGAATCCAATATTTTTGGTTTAATATTTTGAAATCACATTTGACCATGGATAACTGAAATCATGGAAAGCGGAACCACAGATCAGCAAAGACTACTGTACAAAGAAGGCAGGGGAACACAGTTTAGCCATGTACCTAGGCAAACAAGAGGGCAACAGATTCTAGGAGACAACTATATCTGTTGCCTACAGATAGCTTCAAGGAGGCCAGCATGTGACCATGTATGAGTGCTGGTGTCACTTGTTAATATGAACAATAAACAATAAAGAGAATAATGCTAGGATATTCTGAATATGTTTACTGTGTTTTATGGACCATCTTATTGGAGATATCCAGGAGAAATTTGGTTTGTAGATTTGAAACTTGGAGAAAATATTTGGGTTACCTTTTAAATATGGGAGAAAACTCATAGGCTCAGCTGACTGTTGTAGAATTTATTCAATAAATAAAAATACGGTGCTAGAAATAAAATGATGGTTGAAATAGATGTATTCTCTCTATTCAGGGTAAGAGAGGATAGTGCTGGTTAAAATGAGGGAATTAGAAAATTGGAAAGAGAATATTTTTGATTGACACTGTCTTCTATAAGGCCGTGTGGTGATGGATATGTTCTATGTCTATTCTGTTCAATACGATAGCCAATAGATATATGTGGCTATTGAGCACTTGGCATGTAGCCAGCATGACTAAGTAACCAGATTTTAAATTTTATTTAATTTTAAGAAATCTAAATTTAAATCTAAATAGATTGAAATTTCTTAAGACAAGGGCTAGGTTTTAACTTATTTAAACAATAACAATCAACAGCAATGATGACAAATGCCTCTGGAGTGCTTACTGTATGCCAAGCAAACTTGAAAGCACTTTGCAGGTATTCACCAGCTTAGCCTTCATAAATACTTTGTAAGGTTAGTAATTCTATTATGATATTTGTTTATTTCTGACAAGGAAACTAAGGCAGATATATTTCCTACCTTTTGGAAACATACAGTGCAATACATGAAATAAGCAAGCATATAATTGTATGGCAATGGTGGTGAAGCTATAGAGACAACCAGAAGGCACTTGCAATAAACCAGGAAGGAAAAATAGAAATTCCCCTGATAAAGGAAACGGAGAGGCTAAGATGGACAATGGAATATTCTAGATATGAACTAGGACAGGGTGGTAAAGCTGGCTACATGAAATCTCCTTTATAAAATCCTAGTGTTCTTCATTTCTTCTTTTCTCTATCCTAGAATTATACAAGGTTCAAGTTACTCCTTTACCCACGTGGCAAATATCCAATTTAAAAAATATACTTTAATCCTACCTTGGTTTAAAGCACGTGGAGCCACCAACAATATAGAAATATCGAAGTATCAAAACTGAAATGAGCCATTTTCCTTCCAGGCCCACTATGTGCCGTTGGTCTGAGTCTCATCTGCCAAAAGCCATGGCCTGGCTGCCCTTTCCTTGGGATAGGTCAGTCTGCCTGAAGCTGAGCTCAGCCCATTTCCATGCATCATTAAGGCTAGATAATGATTAGCTAAGTTATTCCTTCTCTAAGCCTAATGAGCTGTGAGGTGATTCGTTTGTAGTTCAGTCTAAAAAATATAAAAGTAGATAACGTTTTTATCCTGAAAATCTTACTCTAGAAACCATTCACTTAATCCAACATGGTTCCTCCCTTTTAGACTTAGATAAACATGGCCGACATGGTAACCCAAATTGTTTATAAACTATTATCAGCTTTGAGATGACAGCAGATACTTTTTCTTAATTTATGTTACACGTGTGCGTGCATGTGTATGCATTTATTTTTGTGAAAACATGAGAATGTAAAATCCTGGAGGTTTTCCCAACTGGAGTGATAATAAATATCTTCCTGCTTTTTAAAAACTTTTTCTTTAAATTAGTTTCTTGTTTATTCCTTGCTGATATATCTAATATAGATTTTCTTCTATCTCACTTTATGCAATACAATAGTGTTTCTGAAGTTAGCCTTTCAACTTGTCTTTGCAAAAGAAGTGAAGACACTTCATGTTTAAATGAATTGAATGGTGCATGATCACGTATGACTGTGTGTGTTTAAATCTGCATAACAGAGTTTGGCATTATTTAAAGAAAGTTGGAATTGCATTTACTGATGTCTTATTTTGTGCCAGAAACTCTATGTGCTTCTTATGGCAGGCTTAGCTGAGGAAACAAACGTGTCAGTGGCTTGACAAAATAGAAGCTGATTTCTTCCTCATGTAACTGTGTGGGAGTTTGTTCAGATAGGCAGAGCAACTCACCTCATCTAGGTCATTCTGGGACCGGTCTCCCTGTAGCTTGTGGCTCTGCCATCCCTCAGAAAAGAAAGAGAAAGGGAAGAGAAAAGAAGAGAAAAGGAAGCATGGAGGTTCTATACCAACTCTCTTAAGAATTCTGAACAAAAATTTTCCCACATTTTTTCTGCACACATTCTATTGGAGAGAGCCTAGTCACATGATCTAACTGCAAAGGAGGCTGGAAAACAGTAGTATAGATTTCTATCCAGCAATGATCCCCATTTTGATGAAAGGAGAAAATTTATTTTGGTGAGCAGGTAACAGTTTCTGCACCACTCCTGTTATGTAAAATATCGTATAGATCCAATTGACATATTTTCTATCTTTCTAATATAAAAAAACCATAATCTTCTGTTTTTCAAGTGTCAAAACTTATGCCACCTTACTGTCTCCTCCATTCCCCTGGCTTCTTTTGATTTCTTTATAATATACGTATTTGTTTTCATTTATCTGCGCTTGAGATGCTTTGATTCATTCCAAGTCATCCCAGGCTCAAAACTCCACACACAGTTGTAGGTCAGTCTTTGAGATGTCGGCCAAATCCTTCCCTTCTGTATTCATCCATTTTCACACTGCTGATAAAGACATACCCACGACTGGGTAATTTATAAAGAAAAAGAGGTTTAATGGACTCATGGTTCCATGTAACTAACTGGCCTCACAATCATGGTGGAGGGTGAAAGGCACATCTTACATGGTGACAGACAAGAAAGAATGATAGCCAAGAAAAAGGGGAAACCCGTTATAAAACCATCAGATCTCGTGAGACTTATTCACTACCATGTGAACATTATGGGGGGAACCACCCCCCTGATTCCATTATCTCCCACTTGGTCCCTCCCACAACATGTGGGAATTATGGGAACTACAATTCAAGATGAGATTCGGGTGGGGACACAGCCAAATCATATCACCTTCCTAACTATTCTTGCTGTGGTCACCTTTCAGACCTTGACAACATTTTCACTGAACTTTCCTATTAGTTTTCAGTGAGACTTCCTGTCTCCTCTTTTTCTCTCCTCCAATCCGTTCTATACACTGTTTCTAGTTAAAATCCATACAACCCCCCGCCCCCACCCAAAGAAATTCCCAGCTTGACATTTGTGATAATTTCACATATATTTTAAAATTTAGACTTGTCTTACCCTGAGGGTAAAGATGCTTCTTACAGTGGTAATAATCTACATTCCTTATATCGCCATAAATTTTATAGAATGCACTGTAGTTTGGTTCTCACAATCCAAATCCATTTTCCAAAAACATTTATTACATTTTTATCCCTGCTCTAGCAAATTACCATGGATTTAGTAACTTAAAACTATACAAATTGTGGGCTGGACGCAGTGGCTCAGGCCTGTAATCCCAGCTCTTTGGGAGGCTGAGGCGGGTGGATCACCTGAGGTCAGAAGTTCAAGACCAGCCTGGCCAACATGGTGAAACCCCATCTCTACTAAAAATACAAAAAATTAACCAGGCGTGGTGGCACATGCTTATAGTCCCAGCTACTCGGGAGGCTGAGGCATGAGAATCGCTTGAACCAGGGAGGCCAAGGTTGTGGTGAGCTGAAATTCCACCACTACACTCTAGCCTGGGTGACAGAGTGAGGCTCTGTCTCAAAACAAACAAAACAAACAAACAAAACTATACAAATGTATTGCCCTATCATTTTGGAGGTCAGGACTTCAAATAGATCTCGAGGGACTACAGTCAAGGTGTCAGCATATCTGTGATTCTTTCTGGAGGCTACTGGGGACCCTATAAATACAAGAGGCTACATTTTCCTGCCTTTCCAGCTCTAGAAGCTACTTACTTCTAGAGGCTATTCCTTGGTTCATGGCCCCTTTCTTCCTTCTTTAAAAGCCACCAACTGCATCAATCTAACCTTGCTTCCGTCTTTATGGGTCTTTCTCTGAGTCTTTCTTGTGATTACATCATGCTTACCCAGATAATCTGGGATAATCTCCCTATTTTGGAGTCAGGTGATTGGAAGCATTAATATTACCTGCATCCCTAACTCCCCTTTAACCTAACATATTTATTAATTCCGTGGAATAACATGTGTATATCTTTGGGATTATTATTGGGATTATTATTCTGTCTACCACACCTTGTTTTCCTCTCTCTTCATTACTGCTCATCCTTTCCCTCTTTCTTCCCTTACCCAACTTCATAAGTTTCTCTTTATGCCACTTTACCCTTTTGAAACCTTATCCATCCTCTGTATTCAAAGTCCATCTCTTATACAGCTTCCTCTTCAGATTCTGCTCACAGGGAGAAAACATGTCCTTTTCCTGCATTTTGTTACTTTTTATACACATTGCCTGATTTACTTAGAATTTTAACTTAAAAAAACATGAATTGCTTATTGAGTTATATTTGTGGCTCCATTGCAGACTTCTTGGAGGGAAGGCACTGTACTTTTTATTCACTTTTTACAGCCTTTGTGGCCTCTAAGAATGTCCTTTTACATCTTAAGCACAAGTATAATTTTTGTTACATTTAATAGAATGTACTAATTTACCACTGGCAACCAAGGGGCACAGTAGCATAAATAATCCTTTAAGAGCAGATGACCGAAAACTAACTTGCATGCGTTTTATGAATACTTCTTATGTGGCTTTTGCAAGAGATGTCTGGTTACATTTTCCTCCTCATACTGATTTTATTTCATATGGCTTCTCTCCTGTACAGTCTCATGAGTAAACGTGACGATATCATCTTTGACAGCATGCTTACCCACACTGATCACATTTATTGGCTTTATCCCCAAAATGGATTCCCCCGAGAAATGGGATTTAGACATTCGTCTGAAGATTTTCTCAGAACAGAAACTCTTACACATAGTTCCTCCCTGTGTGAGTTCTCTGATGAATGACAATGTTGATTTCCAAACTCATTTTTTTCTCTAAGTACCCGAAGTATAAATTTTCTTCCCATGACGACCCTTTGGTTGATCTTTTGGCAAAGTAGTTTTCTCAACCTTTCACCCTGATCTGGATATTGTCTTACACTTTGATCAAATGTTGATCTTGGAGCTTACTTAAATCTCCTTTTTGATAGTCTTTAATTATTTTTCTTTGCTTTTGGCTTTTCTGTAAATACTGGGTTATCTGTGTCTTTCAGATTTTGAGATTATGTGTCATTCACTTCTTTTGCTGAAGTTTTCCTGAAACTGTTCTTAAACTTTGTTTTTTTTTTAAAAATCTCACATTGACATATAATCTCTTTATAGCATGTATTTTGTGAACCCAGGTGCTTCCTCTTGTTTCACTGGGATGCAACCATGGAATGCATAGTTCTAGGTAATGTGAGTCAGGCCATATAATTGGTTTGCAAACATGAGCATGCCTTATGTGCATTAGAATCACCTGGATAACTTGTTAAAATAAACTTTGTAGCTTCCTCACAGAGTTCCTGCTGAGAATCTGCATTTCTATCAAGCTCTCAGGTGAGGTTGATGCTGCTGGCTGGGGAATAACTGCTTCTTAAATTATGGTACTACTCAACAGAAGCATAGATAATATTCCCTAGAAAAAGGCAACCTAAATGAGAGTAAGAAAATGTATTCATTTGGTCACTAACTTATTCATTCATTTATTTAATAAATATTTATTGTGTGCCTATATCAGATTCCTAAGTTTATTATTTTCTTTTTATATTTTCCAGTTACTCAGAAGGAAATATGAAAGTGGCTTGAATTTTACATAAATTAACATTTAACATAATTTCTGAAAATGCATTCATATATTAACATCTAGTTTATGATAGGTTTCTTACAAATCATAACTCAATTGAGTAATTATTTATTGAATGCCTACATTATACAACGTATTGTACTAGCAAAAGAGAACAAAACAAGAATAAGATTTTTTCTCAAAAAAAAAAAATGAAATATATGAAAGCACACCTCCATTCTTCATGCTCCCATGCATGGTGTGTGGATTTGTAAATTTTACATCTGACCTTATTACAATAAAATCTGTTAATTAGTGTAAACTCGTTTGCTGTTGTCGTGCATTATGCTAGCCAAGTTTAATTTTGTTTTTCTTTTCATTTTAGCTTCTTTTGTTGGGTTGTTATTTGAGCTAAATTGGAGAGAAACATTGTTCAAAAATATAAAGTGTATAAAAATTCAATATTAAACCTAAATTTATTTGTATTTATTTTGATTCTATTTATTTCCACAGGTTTTTACTATTTTTAAAAATATAACAGTGTGTTAATATTAATTTTTTATGTTTAATTTATTTGTATTAAGGTATCTATGTTTACCATTTTTAAGTATACAATTCAGTGATAATAAAACTATATTTACATTCTTCTTTTTTCCTTTTCTCTGACTATCCTTCCTAGCCTTCAGTAACTTCCAGTCTATTCTCTATCTTCACGAAATGGATCTTTTTAGCTTCCACATAAGGATGAGAGCATGTTACATTTGTCTTTCTGTGCTTGGCTTATTTCATTCAACAAAATGGGCTCTAGTTCCATCCATATTGCTCCAAATGACAGGATTTCATCTTTTTTATGGCTTAATAATGTTCCATTTTGTATATATACCATATTTTCTTTATCCATTTATCCATTGATGGGCACTTAGGTTGACTCTATAGTTTCGTTATTGTAAATAGTCCTGGAATACACAAGAAAGTGGAGATATCTCCTCAATGTATTGAGTTCCTTTCTTTTGGATATATACCTAATTGCAGAATTATGGGAGCATATAATTCTATCTTTACTTTTTAGAGGAAGCTTCAAACTGTTCTCCACAGTGGTTGTACTAATTTACATTCCCACTAACAGTATATGAAGGTTCCTCTCTCTCCACATCCTCACCAGTATCTGTTATTACATACCTCAAAAGCACAGGCAATCAAAGCAAAAATAGACCATTGGGATTACATCAAGCTAAAAAGCTTCTGCACAGCAAAAGAAACAATCAACAAAGTAAAGAGACAACCCATGGAATGGGAGAAAATATTTCCAAACTATCAGAATATATGAGAGCAAATAAACTCAATAGCAAAAAAACAAATAACCTCATTAAAAATTGGCTAAACATCTGAATAGACACTTCCCAAAAGCAGATACACAAATGATCAACTGGTATGTGAAAAAAAATGCTCAACATCACTAATCATCAGAGAAATGCGAGTAAAAAGCACAATGCAATAATATCTTACTCCAGTTAAAATGGCTTGCATCAAAAAGGCTTTTACTTATTATTCAAAGATTACAGTCAAATATAAAGAAAGAATCTTTGGAAAGAAGATAGAAGACTCATAATCCAAAACCCCAAGCTCATTAGCAGCTGTGTGAGTGTGCATGTGTGTGCATGTGTCCTTGTACATGTATGTGTTCATGCCTGTTTCTGTGTGTGCACACATGAATGTTAATTGCTGACTCTTTTCTTTATGCATATTTTTTCTTATAATCTTGAAGTATTTATTCATAAGTTTGAATTTTACTAACTTATTGTATTATAAACTATTTCTTTTCTCTATAGTCTTCATAATTATTTAAATAGCTCCATAAATTTTTATTTAGACAAAATACACTGAAATTCCCTTTATTTTTATCATATCAATACTTCTGTTCCTCTAATTTAGAAATTTTATTGAATAATATTCTTATGAAATAGTCCTAGTAGAGATGTTTTATGGTCAAAGCTATGTTTTTTTATGAATTTGTATGAATCTTATTAATTTATAATGTAAACAACAGTGTATAAAGATAATGATATTAAAAGTTTATCAATACTAGAAATGATTTTTAGTCACCTGATAGATATTAAAAGGGTTTTTAATTTTAATTCACATGCATTTCATTACCAAGCAATTTAGTCACTTTGTTATATTGATTTACACTTTTTATTTTTATAATTGGATACAGGTCATTTGAGTGAATAAAATATGCTTTATTTTTCTTTTTTAGTGGAAAAGATCAATTTTATAACTGTGGGCACTGAGCACAAAATATACTCTTATTGCAAGTTTATACAAACAGTAAATAGAAAGTGGACATTTAACTATATAAATAAATAACTGAAACTATGTTTTTGAATGAAAATGAACATTTTCTAATTAATTTTTGAATTAAAAAAAACAGCAACAATAGCCATAATTTTAACACTACAAAAAGATTTCACTTTATCAGCAATATAAGAATTTTATAAAGTAAAACTGCATGTAAAATAGCATTACCACAAAATATTTTATTGTCTTTTAGAAAATTTGATAAACCTACAGAAAAAATTCTCGGAAAATGAATTTTTTTTCATCAAATTAATGCTGTGGACTGAATTGTGTCCCCACCAAATTCATATGTTGAAGCCTTACCCTCTATTGTGACTGTATTTGCAGATAGGTTTGCTAGGAGCTAATTAAGGATAATTGAGGTCGTAAGGGTGGGATCCTAATCTCATAGGATTGGTGGCCTTATAAGAAGAAGAAGAGAGAGAATGATATCTCTCTTTCTCCAGGTACACACATGCAAGAAAGACCATGTGAACACATAGCGATAAGGCAGTTGCTTACAAGCTTGGAAGAGATCCCTCACCAGAAACCAACCAGAATGGTGCCCTGATCTTGGATTTCTAGGCTTCTGAACTGAGAAAATTAGTTCCTTGGTTTAAGTCACCTTGTCTGTGGTATTTTGTTTTGGCAACCCAAGCAGGCTAAGAAAATTAATAATTATGCATGTATTTATGAACACTTCTTTTCTTTTCCCTTAAAGAAAATATATTTATTTGAGACTAATGCAGAACTTTGTGTTGGAACAGCCAGAAAATATGATTTCTAAGTCTGCCAGTATTTTCCCAATTGCATAATAGAAATGATAATATCTGTGCTATTTTTTCTCCTTTTCCCACAAAAAGTCATTGTATTATTATATATGAAAGTGGTTTGTAATGGGAGAAAATTTTTGCAACCTACTCATCTGACAAAGGGCTAATATCCAGAATCTACAATGAACTCAAACAAATTTACAAGAAAAAAACAAACAACTCCATCAAAAAATGGGCGAAGGACATGAACAGACACTTCTCAAAAGAAGACATTTATGCAGCCAAAAAACACATGAAAAAATGCTCATCATCACTGGCCATCAGAGAAATGCAAATCAAAACCACAATGAGATACCATCTCACACCAGTTAGAATGGCGATCATTAAAAAGTCAGGAAACAACAGGTGCTGGAGAGGATGTGGAGAAATAGGAACACTTTTACCCTGTTGGTGGGACTGTAAACTAGTTCAACCATTGTGGAAGTCAGTGTGGCGATTCCTCAGGGATCTAGAACTAGAAATACCATTTGACCCAGCCATCCCATTACTGGGTATATACCCAAAGGACTATAAATCATGCTGCTGTAAAGACACATGCACACGTATGTTTATTGCGGCACTATTCACAATAGCAAAGACTTGGAACCAACCCAAATGTCCAACAATGATAGACTGGATTAAGAAAATGTGGCACATATACACCATGGAATACTATGCAGCCATAAAAAATGATGAGTTCATGTCCTTTGTAGGGACATGGATGAAATTGGAAATCATCATTCTCAGTAAACTATCACAAGGACAAAAAACCAAACACCACATGTTCTCACTCATAGGTGGGAATTGAACAATGAGAACACATGGACACAGGAAGGGGAACATCACACTCTGGGGACTGTTGTGGGGTTGGGGAAGGGGGGAGGGATAGCATTGGGAGATATACCTAATGCTAGATGACGAGTTAGTGGGTGCAGCGCACCAGCGTGGCACATGTATACATATGTAACTAACCTGCACAATGTGCACATGTACCCTAAAACTTAAAGTATAATAATAAAAGAAAAAAAAGAAAGAAAGTGGTTTGTAAACAGAAATACACTGTGGAAATAAAAGAGAATACCAAATGATAAAGTTTGTGGGTGTTTACTGACCATCTATTATATTGCCTGAACTATATTCTTTCGATCACAGTCAACATTATCAGAATCATTGGCTCCCATACAAGTTACAAGACAATTAGAAAAATAAACTAAATGGATTTTGGATACATCCATGAGCAGAAACATTATTGTCAGAAGTTCTGATCTGGCTCTTAAATTAATGAATCTTGTATTTTTAACATGACTTTTCTTCATAATATACTTATACATGCTCCATTACCCTCACCCCTCAGTGTAGGGGGAATATTTTCAAGAAGCACATTTTGGAAAATAATGACTCGTTTGTAACTTGTTTTATTTGTAGGAAGAAAGAGGGAGGTGGATAGTTAATCTGAATCAACACTTTGCTTTATGCTTGACGTGGAACCATTAGAACCTTGAAACGTAGATGAATTTTTCACCTTTCCAAACTGCTCAGTCTCTCAGTACATACTGTCAATTTTGTTATATAAAAAACTTAGCAATGTATATAATTACTGGGCAAAGCTATTATTTAATATGAAGAAAAAATTGTCAGCTAACCTAAGGACAAAAAATATATAGCTTCCAATCCCAGATTTATTACCTGGAATCACAATCAAAATTTATTTCACTGCATTAGCAAGACTTTGTACTCCTGGAAGTAAAAGGCTACAGTGAATATTTCTTCTGGCCAAGAGTCTTGTTCCCATTTTTTACTCCTGCTGGTTTTGTTCCTCTTATGTAACTGGGGAAGTTGGCTATGATAAACAGAGCCAGGTCACAATATCAGCATATGGTGGGCTCTTAAGACATATTTGTTAGAATGAATGTGTTTACTTATTGCCAAAGCCAGATGAAATCCTGGATTTAGTTATTAGCTAACACTGTAGCCTCATGTCAATTACTTTTATTCTCTGAATCAGAGTTTTATCACCAAGCATAATAATAGCTACACAGGTTTGATGTGAATATTGTGTAAATATAATAAATATAAAGTAATATTTATAAGATGGATGATCTGAGTCTGAAGCATATTAATTATTCCCTTGATGTTACATATCCTATCCTACCCCCTCCTATTTTAAAAAGAGAATTAAATAATGTTCTATTGCACTTCAGGTAAATAATCTCATTTAAGAAGCTCTCAAGAGCCAAAGATAAATTTCCACAAAAGTAAAAATGGGGGAGGTTTGTGATGTCTGCTATGGACTAAATATTTGTGCTATGGTTTGAATATTTATCCCCTCCAAAACTCATGTTGAAATGTAATTGCTGTTGTGACAGTATTAATGGTAAGTCCTTTGAGAGGTGTTAGGCCATGAGGGCTAAGCCCTCATGGGTGGGATGAATGCCATTATAAAATGGTGAGTTTGGCCCCCTTTTTCCTCTTTGCCCTTCCACCACATGACGATGAAGCAGCAAGGCCTTTGCTAGTTGCTGGCACCTTGATCTTGAACTTCCTTGCCTCCACAATTGAGAGAAAATAAGTTTCTGTTCATTATTAATTACCTGGTGTCAGGTATATTATTAAAACAGCAAAACTGGACTAAGACAATCTGTGTCCCCCAAAATTCATAGGTTGAAATCCTCACCCATAATGTAATGGAATTAGGGGATGGGAGCTTTGAGGGGATTAGGTCATGAGAAAAGAACCCTCATAAACGGGATTAGTGCCTTTAGAAAAGAGACCCTAGAGAGCGCCCATGCCGCTGTCCATGTGAGTACACATCAAAAAGACAGTCATCTAGGAACCAGGAAATGGGCTTTCACTAGACCTCAAATCTGCCAGCATCTTGATCTTGGACTTTGCAGCCTCCAGAACTTCAAGAAACAAATTTCTGCTGTTTATAAGCCACTCAGTCTATGGTGTTTGTTATAGCAGCCCAAATAGACTAAGACAATGTCTAACATCTATGGATAATTCAGAAAAGATAGAATTATTTTTATCTTTCTCTTACCTGGGTAATTGCTTTCTTTAAACCTTTTTACTTTCAGAAGTTTTCATGCTTTTCAAAGACTTTTTTTTTCCATAGAATATCTTACTTGTTCTTTATGGCAAAACCTGAAGGATAGAGCAGTTATCAGTCTTGTTCTGCAAATTTTAAAATACAATCAAGATAACACTTACCTGTATTTAAACAGCTTTTGTCTCATTCCCCAAAACCTGTTCCTTCACGGTGTTTACCATCTTAATTAATTATAATTATCTAATTAATCAACATTACAGCCAAAAAGGTATCTTTTCCATCACACTCAATACTTCTGCCAGTGCCATTGCCTCTACTTCTAAGATTTATTCTGAATCTATCAGTATTTCACCATTGATTAGGGGGTTTCACCCCCACTTATCATTGCTATGATTGCATATGTTGTCTAGTATTGTTGTGAAGATAACATGAAAATGAAAAAAAAATTAACTAAAAAGTTAAGAATGAACATAAATTATTATTGGAATTCTAGGAGCCCAATAAAAAGTACCCCTTTTCTGTACTTGAATCCTTAATCACTAGAAGGAGATAGACATGGAATTAGGCAGATAGAGATAAAATATCACCTTTATCACTTCCCTGCATGCAGTTCAATGCTTGCATTTGCTTATTAATAAAACTTATGACCCTTTTATGTATCAATTAATGATTTGATTTTGTGAAATCTCTTATTTTATCCATATACCTGGATCTTCCACATCTTCCTATTAGATTATTCCTTAAGTCATGCACAACCAGTTAGAGTTATGATGCTTTATGTTAGTTGCAGGGTTGGAGGCAAAATTAGCTGCCAAACCAAGGTGATGCCTACCAGGTACAGGCTTCCTTTGAGGCTTTGCCTTTTCCTAGACATAATCACGCAGCATAGCATCTTCTCCCTGCCAAAGAAGGCTGCCTCTTTCTCCTGACTGCTTTGTAGATGACTTAACATAAGGCCTGTTAGAGAGCTCTTCAGTTTTACACCTTTATAACCTCTTACACATAATGGCTAATCTCTGCCTCATTGGCTTCTGCAAAGTGTGGCTACAGTTTTCTACTTCAAGGTAGCTTTAGACAGTCCAAGACCAATATGGACTGCTCAATAAGGCAGAGCTGTCCACATTTGCTAAGGTCTTTGCAAGCCTTGTTTGCTAAGGATCAAGGGGTCTGCATTTTCTATGAGCTAAGCTGGCTAAAAATAGCCCTACCTATATCAATAAAGCCACTTGCCTGTGAACAAAGCTGCCATAAACCGTAATGATCCACCAAGGACAAAATTTCACTTAGGCCACCCTCACTAAACCCTTAGGAATAAAGCTACCAGCCAATTTCTTTCTGTCTCTTTGGTAACCTACGTTTCTTGAATTTTCTTAAGGTTCACAGACAGTGTACCCAAATATTAGAGTTTGGGGGAGCTTAATCATAATATATTGGCCTTAGTTTAGAACAAAATGAAATCCAGAAAACAAAGAAATGTATAGCAAGAGTATTTGCTTTACTGATATTAAGATAAATTAAGAACCTGGTTATAAATCTTTAGGCAAGTCGGCTAGCTTGTTAATACTTTACTCCTGAATTGAGCAGATATATCTGCTTTGTCACAGAGGAGTACAAAATTTCTGCTTTCCTATCAACAAATAATACTATGATGATTCTGAACTTAATGAAAAACCAAGTCCTGAGCACTTAAATGATCTGAGAAACTAATGTGCATTAATTGCATATTAACATCAAAGAGCAAAAAAGATGCTCTGATAAATATGTAGCTGGTATAATTTTTTCAATCCACTTATTTTGATGATGATGATGATAATTAGACTATGCTGGTTACTTAAGAGAATACATAGAATTATTGGGGGAACCAGCCCCCAATGTTTCAACATAGGTTCTTTCTATTTTCCCTAAGTGTCGGCTGGTCTGAGAAATAAAGAGAAAGAGTACAAAGAGAGAAATTTTATAGCTGGGACTCCGGGACTGTCATCACATATTGGTAGGACCATGATGGCAACCCCGAGCTGCAAAACCAGAAAGTTTTTATTAGGGATTTTAAAAGGGGTGGGTGTGTGTGAACAGGGAGTAGGTCACAAGGATCACATGCTTCAAAGGGCAATAAAGATCACAAGGCAAAGGCAAAATTAGAATTACTGATGAGGGTCTATGTCCCACTGTGCACACATTGTCTTGATAAACATCTTAACAGGAATCAGGGTTCGAGAGCAGACAATGGGTCTGACTAGAATTTACCAGGTTGGAATTTCCCAATCCTAGTAAGCCTGAGGGTACCGCAGGAGATGAGGTGTATTTCAGTCCTTATCTCAATCGCATAAGACAGACACTCCCAGAGCGGCCATCTATAGACCTACCCCCAGGAATTTATTACTTCCCCAGGGTTATTCCTTGCTGGGAAAATAATTCAGTGATATTTCTCCTACTCACACATCCATCTATAGGCTTTCTGCTAGAAGAAAAATATGGCTCTATTCTGCCTGACCCCACAGGCAGCCAGACCTTATGGTTATCTTCCCTTGTTCCCTGAAAATCACTGTTATTCTGTTCTTTTTCAGGGTGCACTGATTTCATATTGTGCAAACACATGTTTTACAATCCATTTGTACAACAGTGGTCCTGAGGTGACGTACATTCTCAGCTTACGAAGATATCAGGATTAAGAGATTAAAGTAAAGACAGGCATAAGAAATTATAAGAGTATTGATTGGGGAAGTGATAAATGTCCATGAAATCTTCACAATTTATGTTCAGAGATTGCAGTAAAGACAGGCATAAGAAATTATGAAACTATTAATTTTGGGAACTGATAAATGTCCATGAAATCTTCACAATTTATGGTCTGCCTCAGCTCCAGCTGGTCCCTCTGTTTGGGGTCCCTGACTTCCCACAACATAGAATCTTTTTTAGAAGCAGCTATTTATTTTTTAATACTTGGTGCTCTCCTTTGGACTAATATGTCTAAGTGTGTGGTAGTAGGGAGCATAGCTGCATATCAGAATTGGGGGAAGAGGAGGACTCTTTTCAGACTGTTACTCACTTAGAGGTTCTAATATCCACCTTCACTCTCTCCAGTTGAGAATCTCATTTTAAATGAACTACAGAGGTAGAATCTTAGAGATCAGTATATTACGTTCCTCGGGTCACTGGGTCTGAAAGATTTGAAGACCATTGTTTTGGAGTCATTTTAATTCCCTATTGCCATGCTCATTTATGGCTCCACCAGGTCCTTCATTGACCTGGCATTGAAAACATTACCTCAGCATCTTGTAACTACCCTCTAGCTACCTAAGGCCTGTTGTCTTTTGTGAATCTTCTCTCCCATTATGCTCCTTTTCTTTCTCCATCCCACATGGAAATACTCTACTTAACCTATTAGAAAATGTGCCTGATATGTAAACCTTATCACAGAGCAAAGCTTTCAAGTTGCCATTCTTTAATACACTCATTTAATCCTAAAATAGTTAAGGACCATCTCCATATGCCAGGCCCTGCAAGATAGCTAAGATTACCATGATGACGAAGACCCAGAAATAGCCATGAAAGAATGTAGGGTTTAGGCAGAGCTTATTTCCCGAAATGCCATTCTGAAAGCTTTACTACTCAACATGTAGGTCCCATGACATTGTTTTAGAAATGCTGAATCTTAGGCTCCACTCCAAACCTATTCAATCAGATTCCGAACTTAAACAAGAAACACAGGTATGTGGGTATACACATTAAACTTTGAGAATTATTGCCTTAAAATGCTAATTCTATGATATGTTCTACTATTAAAAAATCTTCTTTGTTTCATTCAATTTCAAAAGTTCTGGGTTAAAGCCAGTTTTAAAAGGTTTCTGTATTGAATAGCTTTACAGAGGTTTTAATGTAATCATTTTTCATTTTAAGCTACAAGAAGCACACATGTTCAAAGAAGTGCTTTGTGTTTCCCAACACTTTGACCAGGAAACCCCCTTTAATCCAGAATACTTAAAATAACTAGGACTTTAGAGAATGCCTCTTGGAAAAATTGGAGTCACATAATTTTTTTCTGCTTTTTTCTTAATTTTCACATTTCTGAGAAAGTTTTCATTTTATTATTTTTATACTCTATTATAACACACACCCTTATGTCCATTTTTTCTAGTATTAGAAACATTTCTGGCATTTAAACTTACCCTCTTCTGTCTCAGTCCATATAGCTTGAGTGGGATTGACCTGTCCCCAAGGCATGAGTGAGCTTGTGACTCAGGACTGTGCAATCAATCACTGTAGTTTTGGTTCAAGGACAGGCATATCAACTGTATTGGGCCAGTTAAGTTTGCTGTAGGATTTTCTGGGGGAAAGTGGAGAAACAGAATACATTAGATGACTATTGTCTCGAGGTCATAATAATATCGTAAGCACTTGGATATAGCTAGGCTGCAGATTGCTCTCTTGACTTCCATCCTTTTGAAAGTTATTTTGACTTAGGCCTCTGTTGTTTTTAACAGTAAGAGCCCTTTTTTAATGCATATAGTTCATTTAATGTACTACTAAGACAAATATTGGACCCTTTTAAATGACTTGTACTGTAGATGGCAGGTAGATAAATCATGCAAGGCAGGTCACCTTGTTAGCCAATGTTCCTCTGATGTCCATTGTAGATGCTGGGGTTAGGATCCACTCTAGGGACATGGATTTTTTACTTGTTGCCACTGGCAGTGGTCATTAGTGCTCTCATAAAAAGCATCTGGTGTCCCTAAAAACCTATCTAGAAGTAGTTGGCAAAACTGGCTGCTTCTCAGATTCATCTGGGAATCTTGTTAAACATTTAGACACTGGGACTACAAGAGAGCTCTTGGGGTAGAAGCTAGGAAGCTGTGTCTGTAACAGCCTCTCATCTGGTGATTCCTAGCACAGTAAGTCTGGCATTTGTCCATGAACGATGCTAGAAAACCCCTTCCCTTAGTGATCTTTGGCTCCTCCCTGGCTTTGTGTGCTCTGTTGCTGAATCAGTTTTTCTCCAATGTAGCCACACATAGAGCCCTCCACCTACAGAGGAACAAATCTTCCAGAGACAATGAACAGCAAGAATTTATATTAAATCCCCCTGGGTATTTGTTTTTGTTTTTGTTTTTCGTTTGTTTGTTTTGTTTTGTTTTCCTGTTTCAGAGGGATCAGCTACATTTACAATCTCAATATGTTTTGTCAGAATGTCAAACGTTTAAGTACATCGTTATGCATTATCTCATCAATCCTCATGTAGAGTTGCCCAATATTATATGTAATGTTCAGTTAAATTTGGATTTCAGATAAACTGTGCATTTGTTTTAGTATGTGTCCGAAATATTCCATGGGACATCCTCATATTATAAATGTGTTTGTCTCTTTTTATCTGAAAATCAAATTTAACTGGATATAACGCATTTGTATTTGTTAAATCTGGGAACCCTAATACCTCGTAACAACCTATGAGGAAGTTAGAGCAGGTGTTAGACTTTTCTAATTATACAGACAAGAAAACTGAAATTCTAAAAGTCCGTAAGTATTAGTGAGCTGTGGAGCAGAAACCAGAGCTAGATTTTCTCACCTCTGATCCAGGACTCTTATGTTTCACCCATCTGGCTTGAGCAATAGTTTAAAAGGATGATTGTGTGCTCCTAAGTACTTCACTTAGCTACTCCATTTTAGCATATATTAGGGGCATTGGGGTTATAAGGATGATTTAGTCTGTGTTCTGCCTTTGAGTTGATGATTAGATTATGACAAGTACTTTGAAAGAGGAAAACTATATTTCTAATATATACATATATATATTCTAATATATTTATAATATCAAAGCCGGGCACAGTGGCTCATGCCTGTAATCACAGCACTTTGGGAGGCTGAGGCAGGTGGGTCACCTGAGGTGAGGAGTTTGAGATTAGCCTGACCAACATGGTGAAACCCTGTCTCTACTAAAAATACAAAAATTAGCCAGGTGTGGTGGCACTTGCCTGTAATCCCAGCTACTCAGGAGACTGAGGCAGGAGAATTGCTTGAATCTGGAAGGCGGAGGCAGTGGACTAAGATTGCGCCACTGCACTCCAGCTTAGGTGACAGACTGAGATTCTGTCTCAAAATAAATAAATAAACCAATAAAACCTACGTTTCTATAAACCAGTAGATTCCCAGAAAATTGGTGGAAAGTACATTTATTTAAATATTGGCTAAGTAGAAACCTTTATTGATTTGAAAACAGTCCAGTGAGCATAGCATAATCCATAAAATGAATAAGAGCTAAGTATAAATCTTTAGTTGATTAGGAACTAGGAGGCTGTCTTCCTTGATTGAGTTGCAGAGCTAAGAATTAATATCATGGACTAGGGGTTCAAAACTTGCACATGAAAGTTAAATTACTTGGGCTCAAACCTGGTTCTATCTATCCTAATTCTGTTACCTTAGACAAATTGCTTAACTTCTGCTACTCAGTTTCTCGCCTGTAAAATGGGACTAATTAGCATAACCATTTTATAGGGTTGTTAGGAAGACTAATTAATTTAATGCATGTGGAGTGTTTTACAATGGTGTTTGGTAAGTGATAAATAAACTTCTACTATTATTATTTTGTTCGTATAGCTGCTGCTTTACACATGTACTGCAATTATTCCAGATGTTCCCTTGCTCCATATTACCTCTCTTACTGATTCCATTAACTGCTACAATGAGTCACATAACTTCAAACAGACGTTTGCATCGAATTTTCCATTTATGAATAGACTGCAGAGGCTATACATGGTGGAGGCCTAGACTGGTGCATAAGATGTCAAATTCTACCCCAAATATTAAGAAGCAGCATAAGTACTCTGCTTATGCTCACGGGCAATGTGGTTTCCTATGTCCATCTAGTCTTTCAAGCTAGAGATAGTTCAGGGAAGAAATTGCTTTGAAAACATAAATTCGTCATACATTTAAGCTTTGTGTCTTATCTTCATTTAGTTCGTCAGTGGAAGAATCCTGAAAATTTGAAACAATAAGATATACAGCCAACTTGGAGTCCATGAATCTGAGCATTTCAGACTAAGGTTTTGGTCCTTTGAACACGTACTCCAAAAACAAGTCTGGCTATCATAGCCAGCTTCTGCGATGTAGTGTATTCCCCACATCTGCCAAGAGTTTGAGCATGCGAAGGGTTCTGTGCCCTTTTTTCAGCTGATTGCTCTACCCCATTATTGCTGACTTTAAAATATTCAAACTACTAATGTAATATGTAGCACCTGCAAATACTGTAAACTATTAGCAGGATGGTAATGAAAATTGACTGCAAATGTAATGACAACAGGTGAAATTATTCATAGCCTGCTCATGGAGCAAACCTAAGAAATAAACTCAATGGGCATAAATGGAATAAGTTCATGACAAATAGGAAAGTATCCCAAACTGCTAAAGTAATAAAAGCAAATATAATAAATCTTTCCTACAAATATAATAAGGTCCCTAACTGTAAATGTAATAAAACCTATCAACAGCTGCAATATGTTTCGAACATATTATATAGCTTTACAAAGAATTATACCCCCTGCTGGTACAGCCTCAACAATGTCATGCTTTGTCTTTTTCCAGTGAGTCCAAATCTAGCACACTGCATGTTGCCCTGTGTATATTAAGTATGACAGAGTGTTACTATAACCAGGTTTGAACTGAAAATGAAATGCTCAATCCAGATGTGCTCTTTGGCCATTCTGCAAGCAGAGCCAAAGGCTGCGGATCTCCCACCAGGGGCTGAAATGCTGCCAGGAAAGCTAAGCATGGGAGGTGAGGAATTGATGAATTGCTGGATAACCTTTGTGTAGCTTGGATATGATGTCTGCATCAGGAAAGTGAGCAGTACATATGACTAAGGGAATGGGGACAGAGGGATTGGAGTGGGAAAAGTGTGGTATGAGGACCTTCTGTAAAGATCATGTATATGCCAGGCACAGTGCCACGTATTTCGTATCTTTCCATCCTTCCTCCCTTTTTTCCTTCTTTCTGCAATTCAGCAAATATCTGTTGAATGCTTGCCAGTTTATAGCTACTAATTATATTCTAGGAATAAAGGAGAAAATAATAAAGTAATCATTACGGAACCCATGAGACCCTTAAACCCTATAGGAGAATCAGAAAGTAAGCAGGAAATTCAAATACAATGCAATTAAAGCCATTACTCGGCAAGAGCTGAGAGTCTGGGACAGAAATCTGAGGAATATCAACATTTAAGAGATGGGCAGAGTTATATCAAATTTCTCTCTTCACATCTTCTCTCAGATTCAGCCAGTTCCCTTTTTTATGTTATGTATTAAATATAATACTAAGAACCAAGCAGAAATAGGTTACCAGGAACAGCAACGGGACATCATGGCTATAAACCCTAAATCTTGCTAATCTACAAACCCTATAGCTTCTTCTAAACTAAATGTACATTTTCTTCTAAAGTATTTTATTACAGGTTTCTCAAATATATATATATATAAAACAATCAACATGTGAGTTTATGACAACCATTGACATAATTCCACCTCTCACACCCGCCTTTTGCAGCATGCCATAAAATAACCAATATTAACACCTGGTTTGTATGGTACCAGGTCTTATTTCTTCATAGAAGCTTAAATATACGCACATAAAGTTTTTGCAGTTTTTCATATACATATTACTTTGCATCTTGCTTTACTCAGTAATATGGATTAGCTATTAGATAAATAAATACACAGCTAACACATTAATTTAGCTGCATACCAAAGGCTAGAATAAACATTATAGGCTGCATACTATTACATGCACTGATTTTTCTCAATTAACCAACATTTGGGTTCTTAGGTTTTTTTTTTTCCTTATTCTTTATTGTTTGTTTACTTTTTTTTGCAGGACCAAAAAAGCAAAAAACAAGAAACAAAAACACACAAACCAGACAACTAAAACAATAATAACAAAAATCTGCAATAGGTATTTTTGTACATATTGCTTTAAAAACATGAGATTCAGTCCAGGCGTGGTGGCTTACTCCTGTAATCCCAGCACTTAAGTCTGGAGGTGGGAAGATCACGAGGTCAGGAGTTTGAAACCAGCCTGACCAACATGGTGAAACCCTGTCTCTACTAAAAATACAAAAATTAGCCTGGCATGGGGGGGCAATAGTGAAAAGTTAAAGTGAAAATTTAAAGACTATGGAACTTTTATTTTGCAATAAGCAGTGGCAGATTACTTTTCAAAATTCAGGAGCAATTCACATTCTTATCAGAGATCATTATCTAGATACTAGCTCCAGGCTATATTTTACTTTACATCTTTTGGAAAGAGAGCTAAAACATGTTTTATCATTGTCTTCCAATTTCCACCTGTAACTGAGTTGCCATCTTTGTCTTTATTGGCTATTTGAATTTTTTATTCTACGAATTATCTGTTCATATAATTTTCTTAATTTATATATATATTTTTTTCATCATGGAACAGTCTTATGTATATTTGAAATAGTAATTATCTTACTATATGGGTTGCAAATATTTTATTTTGTTCTTTGACTTTGTTAATGGAATTCTTTTTATGTCTATTTTCATTTGTGACATCTGGGTTTCCTCTCACTTTGGTGGGCCTACTCTTTCCCAAAAGAGCTATGCCAGAGCTCCTAAATTGTTCTAATGTATATATTTTTTAAAATTATTTTAAATATATGTGAAAAGTTATAAAATATACTTGCATATTACTATTTATTATTGGCATACTATTTTATATATATTTGTACACGTTATAATTATTTATATATGAGACAGTTAACCTATACATTAAAATTTTCTGTAAGAATTTTTTGTATGTGGTATGTGCTTTGTTTTCTTATAAGTTTCTAAACACTTATACTGGCTGTAAAATGAAGTACCATTTTGCTAACTAATTAAATTATAACTTCTCAAATATTCAATCATATTTTCTTTTGGATCAGTTTTGAAGTAATTATTCTAATCAATATGACTATACCTATGCTTTTGCCATACCATTTCTATTACAATAGCTTTAATGTAAGTTTGGTACTTGCTAAGGCAAATTTCCCTCCAGTATTCCTTTTTTTTTTCTTTTGGCCACAATCAAATTTTATTTTTCCATGAACTTTTATATCAATATATCCAGTTTTAAAATAACTTTGTATTCTAATTTGATTTATAATATACTTATCTTGTAAATATGGAAGGATTTACATTTTTGTAAATTATAATCTTATTAAAACACATCGTTGCTCCTCTATTTGTTCAGATTTTAGATTATATATTTCCATCAATGATTGTTGTTTTCTTCATCAGATTTTTCTCCATTTTTTATTTTAACTGGACAACAGTGGAAATACTATTATACTGAAGTCTTTATCAGTCTCTAATTTTAATGGTTCATCTTTTCTTTGTGTGTGTGTGTTTTTCTGTATGTATTGTTTTGTTTTAGTCAAATTATTTTGATGATTCTAGTTATAAAAATATATCATCTGTTAAGAGAAAAATTTCTTGTCCAATGATCATGTAGATTTATATACATATTTCATTCTTGACTTATTGTATTAACTAGCATTTTCAAACCATATAAAATTATGTTTTGCTCCTAATTTTAATGGAAATGATATTACATTTAATTCTTTAGAATGATTTTTCCTGTTTGTTTGAATAGTATTATGTCCACTATATTCCTTAGAATTTTTTAATAAAAAATGCCTGAATTGTACCAAATGTACTTTTAATACATTGCTATATTAATTTGTATTTTTCTTTTAAATATATTTATTTGATATATCATATGCAGTTATTATTTCGGTATTTGAATAATGTGGCTCGATTTCACTTATACTATACAGTCATTTTGTAATATGGGATTTAAATTCTAATTTTAAATTTAAAATTGTACATTATCATTACAGTGATCAGCGCAGCTTTTTAAATCTTTTTTATCTTGATAAATTTGGATATTAAAGTTTCACTTGTTTCTAAAAATAAAATGGGGGCTTTCAATCTTTTGTGATCTATAAAATTCTTTCACAGCACTGGATTACCTGTTATTTAAAGATGATATAAAAATTATCTATAAAGATATCTAAGGTAATTTATTTTTAAATGGCAAAATATTTCATTCATACCACTAATTTTTTGTAGTTTATGTCTGTTTAACTTCTCTACTTTTTTAGGATCAATTTTGATAATTTGTACGTTGGTAAGTAATCATTCCTTTTTTTTCCAAATTTTCCAATTTGTTGCCCTAGTTTTGCACACAATATTTGCACATAAGTATTTTAAACCTAAAAATATAATATGTCTCCTTTCCGATTTGTCATAATATGTAGTTTTGTTTTCTCTTTTGTTTCTTTAATTAAAATTTCATCAGTTTTGTGAGCCTTTTTAAAAAATCAAATCACAGGGTTTTAAAAAATCATATCTATAAATTATTTTTGTTTTCCATATTTCAATAACTCATGTTTTTATAGGTTGCTATCCTTTGATTTTCAAGAACTGTAGACAATAGCTAAATTTTGCAAGGATGGTAAATTAGTAATGACCAAAATTTATTCACAAATATTGTAGCTTCTCCTAATTCAAATATATATACCAGTAAATTTTAGTCTAGTTGCTATGATTATGTATTCATTATTTTATATTTATTGTGCCTTTATTGTTACTTTTAGTTATTTTTCAGTTATACGTGTGTTAACCTCTTTGTTTTCATATATGGACAGTAATATATAAATTGGGTTGATTTTCCAGATTCTAGACATTTATATCCTCCCCTCTTCTTGCAATTACTTATTTGTGAATTAAAACTGCTCTCAATTAGCAGGAATAATATATAGTACATAAATAAACAATATTGTCTAAATCTTTCTTCTCTGTTTTGAATTATTTCCTTGAACTATATCACAGATATGGTTGTAACAGACAAATAGATCTTCAGGTGTTCCCCATAAACTCCACTTTCTATTTTTCACAGCCTTGTTCAGTTTCCTCCCTTTACATGTAGTGCCGAAACTAGCCCAGTTGTACCATAGAAGTGCTGTCTACTGTTTTTCGGATAAACATAGAAACTGACTCTCCTGGTCTTAAAGCTTGAAACTTAAATTTGTCTCATCTGAGTTCCTTCCCCAGGAAACCGGCCTTCAGGCCTCCCAGGTGGTATTAGGGAACTGAAACTCACCAGATCGCTGCATCCAGACAATGAGATACCAGGCTCCTCACTCATCATGACTACCTAAGCAACCACTGGCTTCCTGCTGACCAGCTCCTCTTCCTTACCCCTCCCTAATTCCTGTGTTCCTACACATAGTTAACTTCTCCCCTGCTATATGAACCCCTAAACTTAGCCAGTTGACGAGACAGATTTGAGACTGATCTGTTCTCCTTAACCAAAGCACCTGAAGAAAGCTTTCTTCCCCAGCAATACTCATTGTCTCAGTGATTGGCTTTCTGTGCAGTGAGCAGCAGGACCTAGACTGAAACCCTGGCATTTAGGCAGCAGTGGTGGCCTGTGACTTTAAACAGCAGAATATGGCAAAAGTGATGGAATGTATGTGATTACGTGTATATGATTACGTTTACATAAAATTGTAGTGCCTGTCTTACCAGAGTATCTCCCTGCTGGCTTTGAGGGAGCAAGTGGCTATGTTGGGAAGCCCTGTGTGGCAAGGGATAGTGGATGGTATCTGGGAAGTGAGGGTGGTCTCCACAGCCGACAACCAACAAGAAACAAATGCCCCCAGTGTTACTACTGCAAAAAACTGAAGTCTACAAACAACTCAAATGAAGGTGGAAGTGAATCATTTCCGTTCGAACCTGTGATATGACTTCATTCCTGGCTGACACCTTGATTGCAGCCTGTGCATCCCTTAGAGAATCTAGCTAAGTCATGCCCAGACTCCTGACCTACAAAACGTGATACAAGAAATATGTGTCATTATAAGCTGCTAAGTATTTAGAAGTACTGTCATGTATCAATAAAAATACAGGAGTATTATCAGGTCATATGGTAGCATCTCTCCAATACAGTAAGACATTTTAAAACTTATCTCCAGAAAGATTGTCAGCATTAGGTAAAATAAAAATGTTGGAGCTATCAAAATGTATCTATTTCAATCGCGCCTTTTCATGTTAAGTAATCATTTCAAATTTTAATTTTTAAAATAAAATTTTATTTTAAAATTTAATTTGCATATATGTACATAAATATATATTTGCATATATATATGCAGTCTTTCCTTAGTATCTGTGGGGAATTGGTTCTAGAATTCCCTGCAGATACAAAAACATCCATGAATGTTTAAGTCAATTATATTAAATGGTGTAGTATTGACATATAACCTATGTACATCCTCCTGTATACTTTAAATCATCTCCAGATTACTTATAATACTTAATATAATGTAAATGCTGTGTAAATCATTGTTATATTGTATTAAGGAAAAATAACAAGGAAACAGTTTGTACATGATTAGTTCAGACATATATATCCATTTAAAAACATTTTTTGATATGCAATTTTTTGAATTCACCCATGCAGAAACCATGGATACAGAGGGTACATGTATATATATTCAAACATGTAGTTGCTCATTAATGAGGCTAAAAAATTGTCAAGGTTTTATTTGCTATTTGTTTTATCACTGGTGTGAACTGTCAGCTCCCTTCCTTTGTCTCCTGGCTAAGTTTGAGAATTAAATTAATAGAATTTTTAAAAGCAGTTCTGAAATATTTTGGAGTGCAAATGTTTGTCACAGTAGTCAAAAATTTTTCCTTCACTTTATTTAGGCAATTTCTATATTATGAAAATATCTTCTTTGCTTTTAATTGCCTCTCTGGATATCCCCATCAAATATGGAAATCAAATATTTAATGTAAAATGGCATTTTTTGAGCACCCATTATATGCCAGACAGTTTGTGCATGACACATGGTCCTTGAGTGGTGACATGTCCATGAATCTCCAGCATTGTACGCACTGACTAGGATATACTATTGTGTCCGGAATTTATTCCTTCTGGTGGGTTCTTTGTCTCGCTGACTTCAAGAATGAAGCCGCAGACCCTCATGTTGAGTGTTATAGTTCTTAAAGATGGTGTGTTCCTTCAGATATTCAGATGTGCCCGGACTTTCTTCCTTCCAGTGGGTTCATGGCTTCAGAAGTGAAGCCGCAGACCTTTGCAGTGAGTGTTACAGCTCATAAAGGTAGTGTGGACCCAAAGAGTGAGCAACAGCAAGATTTATTGTGAAGAGCGAAAGAACAAAGCTTCCACAGTGTGGAAAGGGACCCAAGCAGGTTGCTGCTGCTGGCTTGGGTGGCCAGCTTTTATTCCCTTATTTGGGAATAATTTATTCCCACCCATGTCCTGCTGATTGGTCCATTTTACAGAGTGCTGATTGGTCCATTTTACAGAGTGCTGATTGGTGCATTTATAATCATTTAGCTAGACACAGAGTGCTGATTAGTGCATTTTTACAGAGTGCTGATTGGCGCATTTACAATCCTTTAGCTAGACAGGAAAGTTCTCCATGTCCCCACTCAATCCAGGAAGTCCAGCTGGCTTCACCTCTCACTATTTGTTCAATAAATCATTATTAAATGCAAAAAGCAATATCATCAATGTCTCTAATCATTATTAGATACAAAAAGCAATATTAGATACCAAAATCATATCTAACTGAGTGATTAATAAGTGTAGAAGAGAAGAACCAACTTGAAAGTGAATGAAGAGAACTCATGTAGAAACTGCTAAGTTCATGGTCTACCAACATGTTCTTTGCTTGGAAGGCTTGCCTTACACCACATCGCCACGTATTGTTTTATATTAAAGTCTTAAAAGCACTTTCATTTGATCCTTTTCAAATCTCAGTGAACTTGGTATACAGGTATATTTATCTTGGTATACAGGTATAAACTCAAAAGTCAGAGAGTTAAAATAACTTGTTCTATGACATAGATGTATCATGTCAGAATAAGAGCAAGAACCCAAATTTCTTGCTATGAATCCATTGCTCTTCCCGTTATTCACAAGCAATCTGAAACTGCTTATTTTAATGTGTTTTCCTGTGGAATGAAGTCTCTTGTACTGGTGTGTTACTGGTTATCTATATTCCAAGTATTATGTTCTGTCTCCCCAGCATGATCATGAGTTATATTAGGGTAGGCACTTTGTCCTATACCTTTCTTCTAGTTAATATGGAATTTTGTAGATCCTCAATAAATAGCTATTGAAGATTAGATTAAATGGCATTATATCTGCAATCCATTTGTCCACACGCTCTCATCTTTGAATATCTCAACTCCCTCATTCACCTTCAGGCATAGGCATTACACAGCTAAATCTGGTGTTAGGTTATGCTAATGATGTGGAACATGAAAAGTACACTCTGCAGTCTCCAAATGACAGGACAGAAAAGAATGGGTTATGGTTTGATTTATACAGTGCCCTTAGCTAGACCACACATGCTATCTTTCTAAGCACCTAGATTATAAAGCACAGGCGTGGAAAATTCAGAGACAGCCATACATCAGTGGGGATGACTATACTCCCCTACCGGACCAGTTAAAGGAAAATATATCTGTGTATTATATTACCTTTTAGAGTAACCATGATAACTCTGTGGAAAGTTACATTTCTTATATGATCTTTGGTTAAATATCACATTTCAATGTCTTCATAGTCATTCTTACAACATTGTAAAAATGAATCCTCATTTTTTTTTGGACAATACATCTTTGTGAAAGAAACTAGCATAGGGTTTTGGAGCCTTCTCAGTGCTGGGGAATAAATAAATATACTCCAAGGATCAAGGAAGATACCTTTACCTTTCATCATTTTCTACCCCAACTGTGTTTCAGCAACATTATACATTATAGTCTTTTAAACCTTATAACCAGCCTTTGCTAATTATGCCTCTTTTCTTTGGAATATTTTCTCTAGGGTATTTCTTTCTTATACTTAAAGTCTCACTATAGGATTTTAATCCCCTTGTAAGGCTTTCCAGCCCTCCTCTCTCCTCCTAGTATATTTTCTGTGTATATCTTTAGCATGTCTTGTGTTAAAATTATCTCTTCATGTCTCTGTTTTTTCCACTAGATATGATCTTTTTGGAGGCTGTGGTAGTACCATGTTCATCATTATATCCAAAGCAGTTAGTACATAACTTACCACAACTGCCAACAATTCCTGAATTTAAAGGGGATAGTTAATTATTTAATAAAAGCTTGCCATAGCAGTTGTGAAGACTAAATGGGAAAATGCAGATAAATAAATAAATGTTACTGGTGATAAAGCTAAATGTACAATTAGCAGATGGAATAGAGAACATTTGGTGATTCCTTTAATATTGTAAAGAAGAGGGAGGAGTCAAGTTTAACTTCATACTTTCTGATCTGGATAAATAATAATGTGTGATTCCACTGCCCAAGGTGAGGCGCCTAGATGGAGCTATACATGTGCCGTGCAGCTGAGGAGTGATGCCTGTGTGACATCTGAGAAAGTACCGGGTTTAGATGGAAATGTGTCATTATCAGAGTTCAGTAATGTGATTTGCATTCACTTCTCATTCTGCCTGAAAAGTCTTTCCTCCCACTCTTCATTTTGGTAATTGCTGCCTGTTTTCAAAATTCGATCTGGGTCCCCATCCTCTGGGGAGCCTTGCCTAACTTGCGAATTAGATTCAAGTTCTCTCCTGCGAACATATCTTACCTCTCTCTCTGGCATAGGACTCATCATATCACACTGTCTCGGAGGAGATTCTCAACACTTATTCATTTATTTTTCAATAAAGACGTATGGAATCAATAAAACTGATCTCTATAAAAAGAAAATAAATTGTTTAGTTCCACCACACCAAAAATTAGCCTTCACTGTAAAAATAGACAAGAAACAATATACGCCAACAACCCAGAAAGCGCAATCTTTATTAAGGCCAGATGAATTTTCTTTTCTTTCTCAAATCAAGGCCTGCTACAGCAAACATTAGAGAAGATATCATTTTACTTTTAATTTGTATTCCCAATTTCAGAATTACAAGAGTTAAATCTTCTTCAGATGATGGTAAACTGAATTTGTTCTCCATTGATTTTTTTTTAAATAAGGATTCCTGCTTGGGGGTTTCATTCAGTTGGTTGGAAGGAAATCCAGGACTCCAAAATCATGTAAAGCTTCTAACATTAAGAAAAATGTTGGCCTTCACTTGAGGAAGCAACCCTTGTAGAAAGAAAATGTCGAAAATAAATCTCTTTAAAGTGACACTCAGTAAAAGGTATTGCCCAGTCTGGACATGAAAATTTCAGTCACTTTCTCAGGTCTACTGTCTGGTTTCAACACCTTTCAATAAGAGGCTAGGAGACTTTGGGAAGAAAAATAAACTACTTATGAGAATTGGACAGTCATTTAAACCATATACATTTTACCATCCAGCTACATAAAGGTTTTTGGATGTACTAAGTGTAAGTAACACATTATAGGGATTTAAGGTAAACGCCCTTCTTTTTTTAAAAAAAAAGTTCAGTAAATATTTCTGGGTAATTGACTGCTCCATAATGCTTTAGATTTATTTTCCTTTATTTTAGTTTTATGTTTCCCACTGAGGGTGATTCTAACATTTACACTCCATACTTACGTAGCAGTGATAAGAATCCTATAATACATATCATATAATTCAAATATATTGCATATTGCAGAGCCTAGCCCAAAGTAGATATTCAACAAATATTCTTTCCTACACATTTCTAAGGCCCCTTTGATACAGAAGTGACTACTTTGTGAATGCGATAAAGTACTAATTTAGTTTTATTAAGCATGTTTTCACACAGTATTTTTTCTTCCATTTTAGTACCACTATAGAGTGTAATTGAGAACAGTTAAGCTGTAACCATCCTGGAGATCTATATATCTGCCAGTTATCGATCCAGCCTTATAAAAAGGTGCAGAAAGAGAGCCTAAATTGTGCTGAGCAAGTGGATTTTTTTTTAGACACAATCGCATTTCTTTGACGAGGGCCTCTGGTACAGTAATTACTTTTCTTCAAAGGAACTCCTTAGCCCATCACAATGGCAACAGACCTAATAAAGCCAAATGCATCCCCGAAGTTATTGGAGCTGATCTTCTAGGCGATAGAAGCTATTTCCTTTAGTGTGAAAAGGAACACATCTCTGGCCTTTACTTCCTTTTTATAAAATTCAAATGGAGTTGCATTTTGCTACCAAACCCTGCATGCTCTGTCTCCTCTGCATATTTTTAAGTGTACTTACAAGTTATTCAATTTTCAAGTAAATTACCCATTGGATTTTAATTTGTCATCATTGCCATTTAGGGGGCTAAAAATGTCTTAGACTACCTCACCAACTGGATAAGATTGCAGACAAGAGGTACGGGAATCTTTCCACCACGTTACTAGTGGAGGCAGTGTTGCAACTAGGAACTCCAAAATGCCCATATCTCTGTGTAGGGCCCTGGGCTCCACCTGCTATGGAGGCTAATGCTAGGAAAGGAACTTGGCCTACTTGAGGTAAAAGTTTGAAGTGTTTTTCAGGCTTGTCAAGGCCAAAACTAGAGTGAAGTCAAGTGAAGCAACTAAGTAAGTTTCAGTATTTAAAAAGGCTTTCCTCCCCAGGTCACAAAAGTGCCTCACTTAGCTTACCATTGTCCTCACCAACTTGTCAAGCTTCTTTGTGTGTGATTAAGACAATCAACAGTTGGTCATTTCAATCCAAAGTTTATCATAATGATATGGACAGGAGACAGAGAAACACTGGGTAGAAGATGGTGGTTCCCTGGCAAAAGTCCTACCCTCAAGCCTGGAGACCCATGGCCCCAAGTGGGAATAGGCATTTCTGTTTTTGCGCCCAAAAAGTTACCTTTTGGCCGGCCATGCCCCCTTATCCTGTATCCATATAAACCCCGAACCCCAGGCTTCAGGAGCAGATGAGCAGACAAGGAGACAAAGAGACAAGCAGATGAAGGTCAGCATGGTGGTGCAGAGAAAGAGAAGAAGAGGAACATCTGAACACAGAGAGGAGTCTGGCTGCGGGTGGGTGGAGAGGGGTTTGGCCCGGGGAAGATAATCTTGCCACTCCATCCCCTTCCAGCTGCCCATCCATCCTACTAAGAGCCACCTCCACTGCTCAATAAAACCCCATATTCATCCTTTAAGTCTATGTGTGATCCAATTCTTCCAGGACACTGGACAAGAACTTGGGATACAGAAAGCTGTCACACTGCCCCTCTGCCCTTGCAGAAAGGCAGAGGGTCCACTAAGTTGGTTAACACTCAAGCCATCCATGGATGGCAAGACTAAAATGGCACACTGTGACACATGCCCACTTGGGCTCCTGCACCTGTCTGTCTGTGTGCTTCCCCTTCACAAGGGGTTGGAGCAGTGGCAGTGACCAAACACACAAGCCACACCCCTGTCGCACATCCTGTGAGGGGGGTCAGGGAACTCTCCCATTTCAATAATGAATGTTAATATTCATTTAAGTGTTCACTATAAATCAATCTTTGTCGTAAGAGTTTTATGAGCTCATTTTAGCCTCCCTATAACACTATGACATAGGTACTAATAGTGTCTCCATTTTAAAGATGAGGAAACTGAGGCACAGAGAAATAAAGTAACTTGTCAAAGATCTCACAAAGTTTAAGAAAGAGCTTAAATTGAAGAGCTGGGATTCAAAGCCATGTCGAATGACTCATTGCCATTTTAGAAGAAACTCCAAAGCATCTTTCCAGGCAAGCTGGAGGCACAGAGTGTCAGCCTGAGACCTGGGTTTGGTGCAATGTCATCTCAGGGCTTGTCTTTGGCTCAGGATGTATCTAAAAGAAATTGGAAAGACTATTCTGAAGAAGGTAGAATTGGGACTTGATTAGATTAATAGGGCTTTTATAACAAAATACCACAGGTTTGGGGCTTACACAGCATAATTTTAATGTTTTACAGTTCTGGAGGCTAGAAGTTCAAGAGCATGGTCTCGTTAGGTTTGGTTTCACCTGAGGCCTCTCCCTTTAACTCATGGACAAGCACTTCTCATTGAAACCTTACAGGGTCTTTCCTCTGTGTGTGTGCACCTCTGGTGTCTCCTCTTTTTCTTATAAAGACACCAGTGGTATTGATTAAGAGCTCCACCCTTATTACTTTGCTTCACTCTAATTACCTCTTTAAGGCCCTATCTCCAAATACTGTCACATAGGAAATTAAGGCATCAACCTCTGAATTTGAAGAAAGATACAATTCAATCCACACCAGGTACATAGAGGCAAGATGATTTATAGTATCCAAAGGAGAAATGTCAGTCAGAATAGGCAAGGATCAGATGCAGTAACAAACAGTCTTCAAATCTTAATGAGTTAATACAATAACCATTTATTTATTGTTCATATCATAGGCAAAGTCTGGCTTAGCAGTGACTATGTTCATGGATTCTGGGAACCAGGATGTCAGAGACACATATATCTTGACACATGCTTCCATCAGTGTACAGAATGGTAAAAGAAAATCAGACAATTGTACACTGGTTTAAAGCTTTCAGCTTCCTTTAATATTTCAATGGCCAAAACAAAAAACACAGCTACGTTTAACTTGAAAAGAGGTAAAATACAATCCTACTACTGTATGCCTTGAGGGATCACACAAATACTTTCTAGGCAGAGAAGCAAGTATCAGATCATCAGCGAAATATCTGTTATTGCTTTGGTGGACTGGGAGTGAAGGGACAGCTTTAGGGATGTAGGCTGTTTTAAATAGTTTTAATTTTTTTTCCTTTGGTTTCGTTTTGGTTTTGGTTTAGAGGAGCAGCTTAATTATTTTCTTTGCATACAAGATATTTCGCATTTCTGGCCATGCCCAGTAAAAGACATTAGCTTCTCCCTACCTCATAATTATAACTAAAAACACCCATACCACCACCAAATTATCAAAAACCACTGAGGGAGTTGTGAGTTGGATGAACCTACAACTGGGATACAGTGTTGTAATTTAGTTATGTTCACTAAATGTTCACTAAAGAGACTTACTTCTCAATTCCAGACCCCACATCTGTTTGTTGGTCAAAGCAACACAAAATTAACTCACAAAGCTTGCTCATTTTTTCATCATGAGAAATAGGGATAGGGTGATGGAACTGTCATACTGTCCGCCAAGAGTCAAACACTAGAGTATAAATAATTCTGTAAGAAACATAAAATCAGGGAAACCAATGGGAAGAAGAGAGAGAATACAGATCAAAGGAAAAAAAATAGGGTCTGGTATTGTCCTGGTATCTGCAGAATTTGCAGAAAGAATTTTGTTAAAATGCCTGTAGCATTTGAACTTAAGAAGAAAATATTAATTGCAACAAATCATAAATACCACAATTTGCAGAAACCACATGGAAATACTCAGCTGAGTGTGCTACGGTTTGCAAACATAAAGTTAAAAACATATTGGTCTTGCTGACTAAGGCCAACACCACAACTATTGAAATACACTGATTTTAATACCTCATTTCACTGTAATTTTGCAGCAGTAAAATACATTTGTAATTATGTAGCTTCAAGCATTTCTTATGGAAAATTACTTTTCCTTAACATAATGACCTTTTAAGTTGTGGTATTGCTTCACTGTAATTCCAAAACTATTTATACCACTTACAGTTAGTGCCATATGATTTAGAGCTCCTATTTTATGGCCACCTTCTTCATTACTATTTTGTTGTATAAATATTTCTTTTTTAATATTATTTTTTAAATGCTAGTATAAGTATGGCAAAGGAGAAAGCAAAATTAATATTGTTTTTATTTCTATATATTTTAAAAGGTAAAAAGAACAGAAATTCAGAAAATATTTTTTAAATAAAGAATATTTAGGCAGTTTAAAAATTAATATGTTAAACACCAACACGACATCTTTTCTGTATAAAAACAATAATCAGATAAGAATTTTAATGAAAGAAAAAGTCTCATATATGATAGCAACAAAAAAGATGTACTCTCTAGGATAGGTTTAACAGGAAATATGCATGATTTATCTGAAAATACATTTTTCTAAAATTCTATTGAGAGACATAAATGAAGTTTTAAGTAATTTAATACTCTTGTATTAGAACTCAATACTGTGTAAGTTTTAATTCTCATAAAATTCATCTATAAATTCAGTGCAATACCAATTAAAACAATAGATTTCATTGAAAATAAATAGGGAATGATATCCAAAAAATTATGAAAATAAAATTTTAAAAAGAACAATGTGTCAGACTAGCTATGGAAGTTTGTCATACAAATATAATAATTAATATGGTTTTCTACTGGATGAGTGTATCAATCAGGATGGATTAGGATATGCTGTAGTAAAAAAGAGCCTCAACACCTTTGTAGCTACAACAAAGGTTTAGTTTTTTGCTCATTCTACAGTCTATTGAAGGTCACCTCTGAGCTCTGTCCATAAGTCCTGAGTCTAAGGTTCAGGCTGATGAAACAATATCATCATGAGCACTGCAGATTACCATGGCAGATGAAAGAGTGTGAAAGCATTTTGCATTAATAATGAAGTGTTCCAATACTTATCACTTCTGTTCACAACTCATTGGTCAGAAATGCTCCCATCTAATTACAAGGGGGTCTGGGAAATGGAATCTCACCAGGAGCCTGGAAGACAGAGAGCCAGAACTATTTGGTGGTCAACAGTAATGAATAACACAATCTGATATAAGCAGATCAAAAAAGCAGGCAGTAGTATCCAAAGACAGGAAATATGAGAATGAAGATTCTTATAATGTTTGAAATACAATATTGAAATTTTGTGTTTGTGTGTGGACGAGGGGGTTGTGAATGTTTTACAGAAAGCTAATTATTTATTCAAGAAAGATTTACCTTTTTACCTTGCACCCACAATATGATTGGTGCTGTTACAGGTCCCAAGAATATGCCAGAGAACAAAACAAACAAAAATTCCTGTTCTTACTTGGCTTATTAAAGACACAAATCTGAAGAATACATGATCCTTGCCCTGTGGACTACAAGCTGTCCACAAAACTGTGGATGTTAGTGAGAACATGTATAATCTTATTATATACATTTTTAAATCACACGTGCATTACCCTTGCAAGTAGACTGTTTGGATACTTGTTTTAGTTATTCATTTCCCTTTAGGCTTCATATTACTGGGGCTTGGAATACATATGATACCCCAAAATATGACATTTGGTGATTGAGGAAGCCACAGAAGCAAGATGCTCACTCTGACCTTTTCCCACCTTTCTGCATGAAGTAGGGTCATAAAGAAATTCTCTGACCTACCTTGTCTGAAAGTACGTCACAAGATCCTCATTCCAGAGTGGTCCTGCCCCATGTTTTGGGAGGAAAAACATGCCACACAGAGAGGCCAAGAAGAATCTGAACAGACCTTTCTGAGTTTTCTCTGATTTATTACCGTTAACTCAAACCCTTGTTGTCCAATCATATTTCTCCACAACTATCCTCTTCTTTTGTCAGACTTAGCATAAAAATACACAATTTTCCTTGGGTCATCATTTCTGAAGATCTGATGCCATGCAAAATTTTGATTAAATACATTTGCTAAGTTTTGCTACTGCTAATCTGTGTTTTGTTACATGGGTGTCAGCCTTGGTATTTGTGATAAGTGGAGAAAAGTCAGCTCTTTTCTCCCCTATAATGTCTAATTTTAGTTTATTCTCATTGAATTATTTCAAAACACTGAAATTTGTGCCTTTTTTGCTGGTTGACTTTTGCTTTTGAAACCACAGTCTGTATAAAAGTGTTTCTAATTAAATATTTTAATTTCAAAAACTGTTTTTACTTACATAAAATTATGTATATTAATTGAAACAAACACTAAAGTCAACCAGAAGGAATAACATAATTCCTTGTAATCTACCACCTGTAGATATCGATCTTCAATATTTTGATATGTTTTTATTCATGTTATTATATAATAACTAGATATTGAGACAGACAAGTGTAAAGGGGTTTCTGGAAAAATCTCCAACCGGCCTGTGCACTGGGAGGAGTGCGTACGGGGTTGGAGCGATGGGAAGTTCATGCCCTTTGCAGCGGGGAGGAGCCTGGCCTCTCTCTCCGTCCTGGGATGGTACCTGGGATTTAATTTGTGAGGTGGGAAGTGCACTAGCAAGACTCTGGCTTTGCGGAGGGTCCTTGTTTCCCTTTTTTTCTTTTTAATTTTTTTAACCTTTTTGCCCAATAAATTCCATTTTTTTCTCACCCTTCAAAGTGCCTGTGAGTCTAATCTCTCATGGCGATGTGACAAGAACCCAGATTTTAGCTGAACTAAGGAAAACGTCCTACAACATTATTTTTTTAACTTTGAAATAACCGAATAAATAAACCTATGCATGCCTTTGACCTTAACATCAAGTAAGTTTTATAACCCGTTTGCATTTTTCCTATATATTTTTTTCCATTAAGTTCTTTTATTGAATAGACTGGTGGGGTTTTTTTAAGCAGTTTTAGATTCCAAGTTAAATTGAGCAGAAAATATGAAGATTTTCTTATACCTGAAACCCCAACATGCACAATTTCCCCTACTATCAAAAACTCCCACCAGAGTGGTACATTTGTTACAACTGATGAACCTACACTGACCCATCATTACCACTTAAAAACCATAGTTTTCATTAGCGTTTGCTCTTAGTACTATATATATGATGGGTTTTGACAAACGTATAATGACATGCATCAACCATTACAATATCATGCAGCATAGCTTTTCTTCCCCCCAAATCCTTTGTACTCCATTTGTTCATCTCTCCACCTACCAGCACCCCAGGCCTTGGCAGCCACTGAATTTTTTACTGTTTCCATAGTTTTGCAGATTTAATTTGGTGCCTTCTCAATTTATAAGAGTCTGTTGTGATATAGAGCAATCCTTCTCTTCCTGGTATAGAGAGGGAAACACATTTACAAATGGAGACTTCATTATAAATACAAATTGCTCTTACAAAAAAGTAACTTACACTCTGTTTACAAAGCCTCTCCTGTGTATGCTATTTCACAAAATTATCAGCTCAAATTAATCCTTCTGCCAGAGAGGCATATTTTGGGGTGACATATTCTAGTCTCCCACAGTATATTTATCTGGTCTCCTATAATATATTTATGTATATTTCTGGACTTTCTGTTCTGTTACATTGGTCTATTTTTCAATTCTTTCACCAATACCATGCTCTCTTCATCACCATAGTTTTATACTAAGTCTAGAAAGCAATTAACTTGTGTATTTTAATCTTGTGTTATGTTATGTGTCCCTCAAAAGTTCATGTATTGGAAACTTAATTGCCATTTTAACAGTATTAAGAGGTGTGGGCTTTATGAAGTAACTAGGCCATGGGGGTCCACTCCTTATAAATGGAATAATGCCTCTATTGCAGGAGTTGATTAGTTATCCTAGGAGTGCATTCCTGATAAAAACATAGTTTGGCTCCATCTTCTTTTTCTGTCTCTCATGAGCTCACTTCTGCCTTTCATCTTCTGCCATAGAATGACCTTTGACAGATGCCAGAACCGTGGTGTTGAACTTCCTAGTCTCCAAAATCATGAGCCAAATAAACTTCTATTATTTGAGAATTACTCAGTTTTTGGTATTCAGTTACATCAGCAGTAAATGGACGAAGACAGAAAATTGGTATCAAGTGTGAGGTTGTTGCTGTAACAGATAACCTGAAAATATGGAAGTGGCTTTGGAATTAGGTAAGAGGTAGAGGTTGGAAGGATTGGAAGGAGTGGGCTAGAAAAAGCCTGTATTGTCATAAATGATGCATTAGGTGAAAGTCTGGTAAGTACTCTGAAGACAGGAAATTCTTAAACTTCTTAAAAGTTACTTAAATAGTCATGACCAGAATGCTACTAAAAGTCTAGAGAGTAAAGCTCATTCTGATGAAGGCTCAAATGAAACAGGAACAATAAATTAGAATTGGATTAAAGACCATTCTTGTTATGAAGTAGCACAAAATAGCTCAATTTTTTTTTCATGCCGAAGAACTTTCTGGAATGCAGAACTTAAGCGGGATGAACTAGGATACTTGGAAGAAATATCTAGGCAGCAAAGCATTCAGACTGCCATATGCTTACTTTTAACTATATGCAATGAGATGCAAGAGGAAAGGATTGACTTAAAGATAGAATTTATAATTAAAAGGAAAGCAGAGTGGAAAGACATTGAAAATTTGAAGTCTGGTCATGTAAAAAGTGGAAAGGTGTGTTCAGGAGACAATACTAAGTGTGTGGCCAAGCAACCAATTGCTAAATATAATGTCATGGATACAAATAAGCCAGGTGCTATTTTTCAAGACAATGAAACAAAGACCCTGAAGGCATTTCAGAGATATTCAAGTCTTCCCTTCTCATAAGAGACCAGAGCTCTAGGAGTATAGAATGTTCTGGGAAGAACAGCCTAAAGTGCCTATCATGGACTCACTATCTAGGGCTGTCTACAGACTGCTCCCCACTTTCTGATATAGTGCTGCCTGGCCACCCCAGCCATGGCTTAAGCAGACCCAGGTGTGACTCAACCCACCACTCTGGAAGGTACAAGCTATAAATTTTGGCAGCATCAACTTGATGCTAACTCTGCAGACTCACACAATGCAACTGTGGGGCCATAGCTTGCTCCACCTAGATTTCAAAGGATGATGTGGACAGCCTGGGGGTCCAGGCAGACACTTGCCATGGGGTGAAGCCACCATAGAAAGCTCCAACTAGGGCAATGATAAACAGAAATGTTAAGTTGGAGCTTCCACAGGGTTCCCACCAGGGCAATGCCTGGTGGAGCCATGGGAGAGGGACTGTCACTGAGACCACAGGATATTAAAACTACCAGCATGCAATGCCATCATGGGAGACTTGAAGCATGAGCTGAGTTCAGCAAAGCCATGGGAGAGGTGCTCTTTCCTAGGGCTTTGGGAGCCCAAACATTGTCCCAAATTATCCAGGAAGTGGGATATAGAGTCAAGGAAGATTATTAGAGCATTAAAAATTTAATATTTGCCCTCTTGAGTTTTGGATTTACTTAGGACTAGTTACCTGCCCTTTTTTTTTTCTTACCTATTCTCTCTTTTGGAATGGGAATGTCTGTCCTGTCTGTTCACCACTGTATTTTAAAATAGATAATTTGTTTTGATTTCACAGGCTCCCAGCTTGAGGGAATTTGCCACAGGATGAATCATGCCTTGAATCTCACCCATACCTCATTCAGTTGAAACCCTGGGCTTTGAACTTTTGAATTGATGCTGAATGAGTTGTGACTTTTGGGGCTATTGAAATGGAATAAATGTATTTTGTATTTAAAGAGGACATGAGTACTGGGGGTCAGGGGTGGAATACTATGGTTTGAATGTGTACTCTAAAAGTTCATATGTTGGAAACATAATTGCTTTTGTAAAAGCACTAAGAAATGGGGCATTTAAGAAGTGATTAGGCCATGATGTCCCTGCCCTTATGACGGGATTAACTACTATACGTTAATGCAGAAGAGGGCTCCTGATAAAAGAATGAGTTTGTTCCCATTTTCTCTCTCTATCTCATGTGCTCACTTTTACCTTCTCCTCTTCTGCCACAGGATAATGCAAAACAAAACAGAAAAGGCCCTAGAAAGATGCTGGCACCTTGATATTGGACTTCTCAGCCTCCAGAACTGTGATAAATTATTTTTTTTATTCATAGATTACCCAGTCCGAGGTATTGTATTAGTCTGTTCTCACACTGCTAATAAAGATATACCCAAGACTGGGTAATTTATAAAGGAAAGGGGTTTAACTGACTCACAGTTCCACATGGCTGGGGAGGCCTCACAATCAAGGTAGAAGGCAAATGAAGAGCAAAGTCATGTCTTACATGGCAGCAGGCAGGAGAACTTGGGCAGGGGAACTCCCATTTATAAAACCATCAGATCTCATGAGACTTATTCACTACCATGAAAGCAGTATGAGGAAAACCACCCCCATGATTCAATTATCTTCACCTGGCCCCACCTTTGACATGTGGGGATTATTACAATTCAAGTTGAGATTTGGGTGGGGACACAGCCAAACCATATTATTCACCTCAGCCCCTCCCAAATCTCATGTCCTCACATTTTAAAACACAATCATGCCCTTCCAGCAGTTCCTCCAAGTCTCAATTTATTCTAGCATTCACTCAAATGTCCAAGTCCAAAGTCTTATCTGAGACAAGGCAAGTCTCTTCTGCCTATGAGCCTGTAAAATCAAAAGCAAGTTGGTTACCTCCTAGATACAATGGGGGTACAGGCTTTGAGTAAATACACCCATTCGAAATGGGAGAAATTGGCCAAAATGAAAGGGCTACAGGCCCCATGAAAGTCTGAAATCCAGCAGGGCAGTCAAATCTTGAAAGCTCCAAAATTATCTCCTTTGACTCCATGTCTCACATCCAGGTCACAGTGATGCAAGAGGTGGGCTCCCATTGCCTTAGGGAGCTCTGCCCTTGTGGCTTTGCAGGGTACAGCTCCCTTATGGCTGCTTTCATGGGCTGGCATTGGGTGTCTGAGGCTTTTTTAGGTGCACAGTGCAAGCTTTTGGTGGATCTACAATTCTGGTATCTGGAGGACCATGGCCGTCTTCTCACAGATCCATTAGGCAGCACCCCAGTGAGGACTCTCAGTGGGGGCTCCCACCGCACATTTTCCTTCCACACTGCCCTAGCAGAAGTTCTCCATGAGGGCTCTGCCCCTGCAGCTCAGCTCTGCCTGGACATCCAGGCTTATCTATACATCCTCTGAAATGTAGAAGAGATTCCCAAACCTCAATTCTTGACTTCTATGCACCTGCAGACCCAACACACATGGAAGCTGCCAAGGCATGGGGCTTGCACCCCCCCCTCTGAATCCATGGCCTGAACTGTACCTTGGTCCCTTTTAATCATGGCTGGTGTGGCTGACACACAGGGCACCAAATCCTCAGGCTGCACACAGCAGGGTCGGGGGTGGGGGGGCCAGGTTGCGGGGCTGGGACCGGCACACAAAACCATTTTTTCCTCCTAGGTCTCCAGTCATGTGATGAAAGGGACTGCTGTGAAGACCTCTGACATGCCCTAGAGACATATTTTCTCATTGTCTTGGCGATTAACATTTGGCTCCTTGTTACTTATGCAAATTTATGCAACTGGCTTTAATTTATCCTCAGAAAATGCGTTTTTCTTTTCTATCACATTACCAGGCTGCAAATTTTATAAACTTTTATGCTCTGCTTCCCTTTTCAACATAAGTTCCAATTCCAAATCATATCTTTGTGAATACATAAAACCAAATGCTTTTAATAGCACTCAAGTCACCTCTTGAATGCTTTACTGCTTAACAGTTTTTTTTCTGCCAGATGCCCTAAATCATCTCTCTCAAGTTCAAAGTTTCACAGATTTCTAGGGAAGGGAACAACTAATACCAGTCTCTTTGCTAAGACATAGCAAGAGTCACCTTTATTCCAGTTCCCAATAAGTTTCTCATCTCCGTCTGTGAAAATGTCAACCTGGATTTCATTGTCCATATTACTATCAGCATTTTAGTAAAAGCCACTCAACAAATTTCTAGGAAGTTCCACTTTTCCACATCTTCCTGTCCTCTTCTGAGCCCTCCAAACTGTTCCAACCTTTGCCTGTTACTCAGTTCCAAAGTTGCTTCCACATTTTCAGGCATCTTTACAGCAGTACCCCATTTACTACATTAGTCTGTTCTCACACTGCTTATAAAGACATACCCAAAACTGGGCAATTTTTAAAGGACAGGGGTTTAATTGCTTCACAGTTTTAGATAGCTGGGGAGGCCTGACAATCATAGTGGAAGGTGAATGAGGAGCAAACTCATGTCTTATATGATGGCAGGCAAGAGAGCTTGTGCAGGGGAATGCCCATTTATAAAACCATCAGATCTCATGAGACTTATTCACTACCATGAGAATGATATGGGGAAAAGTACCCCCATGATTCCATCATGTCCACCTGGTCCCACCCTTGACATGTGGCAATTATTACAATTCAAGTTGAGATTTGGGTGGGGACACAGCCAAACCATATTGGATATTTTGTTATTGCAGCAGAAAATGAACTAAGACACTTTGCATCCTGCACCCTTGCTATAATTATTTATTAATTTCAGATGTCATAGATTTTTTTTTAATTTGTGTTTTATTTTCTTGGTTTTCTCAAAATTACTAGATCTGACTATTGCTTTCATTTAAAATTTGATACTAGGGATGTTTTAAAAATCATATTAGATATTCTAATTTACTAATTTCTGTTTTCATCTTTAAAAACACATTTTTCTTCCATTTTGCTTCCTTATGTTTGTTTTGTTAATTTTACCTAAACTTTGCTTTGAATAACTACTTCATATATTTCCATTTTTCTTTCTTTAATCACAAAAGTCTTTGTGCTACTAAATTTGACACTGAGTACACCTTTAGGCTCTAGCCTAAAAATAAAATTATAAGCTCCCCCAACTGTCTGAATGGACTGTCTCTTGGAGAAGGGGACCCCAAAGTAACCTTGAAAACGGAGTACTCAGCCCTGACTCTGACGGGATAAGAGGTTAAAAATATCCCCTCCTTTGCTAACCACAATTCGGCTTTCTTCCCTAAGGGCTAAACAGAAACCAGTATGATCAAAAGTCTCCACCACTATTATCAACAACCATCTGACATTACGTCTTCTTTTTTGCCTGGTCACTTACCAGGTGACCATAGAGTGGTCCTGGCCAGTCTAAGGAGAATGTGCAGTAAGGGTTTTTTTGTCCTCCACTTCACTTTTTGATATCAGAGGGCCTAAAGCTTTACTGTCACTTTATGCTAACACTGCCATTTTTTTTGTACATTGGTTTTTTTTTTTTTTTTTTTCTTTGAGATGGAGTCTCGCTCTGTCGCCCAGGCTGGAGTGCAGTGGCGTGATCTCGGCTCACTGCAAGCTCTGCCTTCCGGGTTCACGTCATTCTCCTGCCTCAGCCTCCTGAGTAGCTGGGACTACAGGTGCTCACCACCATGCCTGGCTAAGTTTTTGTAGTTTTAGTAGAGATGGGGTTTCACCGTGTTAGCCAGGATAATCTCCATCTCCTGATCTCGTGATCCACCCTCCTCGGCCTCCCAAAGTGCTGGGACTACAGGCGTGAGCCACCTTGCCTGGCCTGTACATTGGTTTTATGAAGGGTCATGAAGCTCAATTGTGCATGTGCATGTTTGTCCTTTCATAAATATTCATGACTCCTCTTATAGCTTATTGAATATGTACATTTGGTGACCCTGCATAAATTCCTGTTTCCTTTGCCCCTCCCTTGCTGGAAACTATACTGCTGGGCCTTTCAGAATAACCACGCTGCAGGCTGCAACGCTTTATGTGAAATAAAACCCTCATTTCCAAATTTATAAACCTCATCATTCTTCAGTTGACAATATGTATCTTATGCCTAGAGTATAATAGGTGACAGGCTATTAAGTCATATGGCTGAAGAATTTACTTGCTCTGAAACACTGGGCATGTAAAATGAGAACAATGATAGTATCTTCCATGCAAGATAGTTGTAATGGTTAAATGAAATAATCAATGAAAAAGAATTCATAAGCATTTATTTTCCATTATTTTTATTTTAATTTTTAAATTATTTAATATTTTTATTTTTTATAATTTTAATAAAACAAAAAAGTATTTTACTTTTACTAATATTTATATATATTTGGAGATATATTTTTGAATACATATTTATTTAGGTTCAAAATGTAAGAGGCCTCTGTTAAAACATATTTATAAATTATTTTATTGAAATTATCTGTCTTTATTTTTCTTTTCTTTCTTTCTTTTTTTTGAGACGGAGTCTTTTTTTTTTTGGCTCTGTTGCCAGGCTGGAGCGCAGTAGCTCCATCTCGGCCACTGCATCCTCCGTCTCCCATGTTCAAGCAATTCTCCTGCCTCAAGCTCCCAAGTAGCTGGGACCACAGGCGGGCACCACCATGCTCAGCTAATTTTTGTATTTTTAGTAGAGATGGGGTTTCACCATACTGGTAAGAATGGTCTTGATCTCTTGACCTCATGATCCACCCACCTCGGCCTCCACTTTCGGATTACACTTTGGGATTACAGGCATGAGCCACTGTGCCCGGCCTATTTTTATTTTCTAATCTGAAAGTAAGTGAGAGAGTATAGAGATAGCTTATATAAACTAAACTATCTTTAAGGTATGAATTTCTTCCAGTTCAATCATGGTATTTTCAACATTTTTTTTTCATATTTATATGCTATGTAATTTATAAGACATATTTATGACTTACAGTTTCATTATGGAGTAGGGAACTCATTATTGTATGAAGCATAGCCAGGTCCATTTGTTTACATATTAACTATGTCTGCTTTCACATTACAATGCCAAAGTTTGGTAGTTAAAAAAGGCAACTGTCCACAAGACCTAAAATATTTACTTTCTTTGCCTTCACAGGACATATGTTTGCCTATCCTGTATTTAGGCTTTTGGAGACATTAAATATTTAGCATTTTCTGTGTGACATATTGTATTTTTTATCTTTCTTAACTAGGATAGCCTGCTTTAGTTCTGGGGTAAAATTTGTAGGCTTAGATGAAGCCTGGAATGGTAAGAGACAAAGTAGAGGTTCACAGAAAGGCAGTTAGAATAAAAAGGCCACCATGTTCATAACTATTTCTCACAAAGCTCCAGGTAGCAATGGCCTCACTTATGCAATATGTGGGACTAATATATGTATCAGGAAAGGGGTAGCTGGTCTTTTTCGTTCAGATAATCTTCTCAGGAATATAAGGCCTCTCAACATATTTTAGAAAGAGGTATTTATCCTGTTAGAGGGATTTCATAGTGTTGTTTTTCAAGACAAGTTGAGAGAAGGGGAACCATTGATAGAATTTTTAAAATTAATTTTAAATTTCATAGAAATTTAAGGATAATTTTAAGTTATAAGCTACAATGCTATAAAAATTGACAAAAAATGATGAACAGGCCAATCAAACTACTGTTTTGGGCTCCCCCACAAAAAAAATTGAAGATTTTCTGAGATAGGTTCCCATTTTGATGATGTTTTTCTCTTTCTACCAAAATGCTGATTTTGAAATATCACCAGTCTTGTATCTCCATTTATTTAAAGAGGCTTTGAAAGATTTTTTTTAAATGTCAAGAAAGAGTTGATTAGAAATAACTAATTTACAAAATAAATATATAGAGCATAGCAATTTCAAGATACTCTGGGACATGACATTCAATTAAAGAAACATAAATAATCAAATAACCACAGAGTCAAGCAACATGAACTTAAAGAACGAAACATAATATTTACTAGAGAAAAAAAATGCTTCTTGTAACCTAGTTGTTTAAAATCTGTATGCAAACTCCAAGCACTTATTATCTCAGATCATTTGGGCACTTAATCATATACTATCGGGGGAACCAGCCCCCAGTATTTCACCGTAGGTCCTTTCTATTTTCCCTAAGTGTCGGCCAGTCTGAGAAATAAAGAGAAAGTGTACAAAGAGAGAAATTTTACAGCTGGGCCTCTGGGGGTGACATCACATATTGGCAGATTCCATGATGCCCCTTGAGCCACAAAACCAGCAAGTTTTCATTAGGGATTTCAAAAGGGGAGGGAGGTACGAACAGGAAGTAAGTCACAAAGATCACATGCTACAAAGGGCAATAAAAGATCACAAGGGCAGAGCAAGATCACAAGGTGAGGGTGAAATTAGAATTACTGATGAGGTTCCATGTCCCACTGGGAATGCATTGTCATTGATAAGCATCTTAACAGGAAACAGTGTTCGAGAGCAGATAACCGTTCTGACTAGAATTCACCAGGCTGGAATTTCCTAATCCTAGCAAGCCTTAGGGCACTGCAGAAGACCAGGGTGTATTTCATCCCTTATGTTCAACTGCATAAGGCAGACACTCCCAGAGCGGCCTTCCATAGGCCTACCCCTGGGAATGCATTCCTTTCCCAGGTTTATTCCTTGCTGGGAAAAGAATTCAGTGATATTTCTCCTGTTTGCTTTCTGCAATAAGAAAAGTATGACTCTGTTCTGCCCGGCCCCGCAGGCGGTCAGACCTTATGGTTATCTCCCTTGTTCCCTGAAAATCACTGTTATCCTGTCCCTTTTTAGGGTGCCCAGATTTCATATTGTTCAAACACACATGTTTTTACAAACAATTTGTACAGATAATGCAATCATCACAGGGTCCTGAGGCAACATACATCCTCAGTTTAAGAAGATGATGGGATTAAGAGATTAAAGTAAAGACAGGCATAGGAAATTATAAGAGTATTGATTGAGGAAGTGGTAAATGTCCATGAAATCTTCACAATTTATGTTCAGAGATTGCAGTAAAGACAGGCGTAAGAAATTATAAAAGTATTAATTTGGGGAACAAATAAATGTCCATGAAATCTTCACAATTTATGTTCTTCCACCACGGCTTCAGCCAGTCCCTCCTTTCGGGGTCCCTGCCTTCCCACAACAATATCCAGTCTTATTGCATTATTGATCTGCCATGGTCCCTGCAGTCTAACTCCTGGATCATTAATTATTGATGAGTGAATATCTTGCTTTAAGAGCTAGATTCAAATTCCTTAAGACAAGAGATCAAGATCTTTATATGCACAAATTCTCTACTCATGAAATGTAATTGAACATGAAATAGAAACTAGGAGACCTGATATTTTTCCGGATACTCGTTATAGTCCTTTGTACTTGTTTAAGTCATATAAGCTGTCTGTGCTGGTTTACTTGTGCAACAGAGATATGTCAATGAGAAATCAAGGTTCCTTCCTTCATGGAGTTTACATTCTAGTGGAGAAGTTAGACAATATATGATTATACAAATAGACAACACTTTCATAAGTAAGGGTAAAGAGCTATGGAAAACAAACAGAAACAATAGAAACAGAAGCAATAGTGTGATAACTGTAGTGATAATGGGTTAGAGAGGGCAACTCCAGAATGAGTGTTCAAAGGTTGATATCCAGTTAATGAAAAGACCCCAGCCTCAAGGAAAGGAAAGAAAAGCATATTTGAAATTCAATAAGAAATAAGTATGAAGGTCCTGATGCAGAAACCAGCTCTACCTGCTCCAGTACAGGCCCATATTTGTCTGTGGCCTGAGCTCAGTTAGCAAGGGCAGAAAGCAACTGTTGGACATGAAGATGGAGAGGTGCTCAGGAGGGCACTGGAAGGTTTAAAACCAGAAAGTAAAGTGGTCCTCCAGTTAGGAAGCCATTGTTAAGATCTTGGTTAGAAATAAAGGTGGCTTGAAAGTCCGAGATTTTTGCAGGTTTTGGGTAAAGTATGTGGACGTAGGATATGTTTTAGAAAAAGAGCTTTGTAAATCTTACCACAATGTGAAAATTTAATGTATTCTGATTATAGTTACTCATTAAATATTTTAAATAAATTCATCTTAGAAATTACTTTCAACTTTTTACTCTCTTTTTAATATTAACTCACCTCCAAACACATTTCTATACTACTGTAGCTGTCTTTGTTTCCTTTGTCCTTTTTCAATACAACAAACTAGATTCTGATAAAATAATACCCGTGTGCATAGTTGCTACTTGCTAAATATTTGCTATATTAATGACTGCATAAATAAAATATGGCAAGCTTGTTACAGGGCTGATGGGTCAAGAAAATATTTGAATGAATGAAACATAGATTTAAAGGGTTTATTGCTACCAGTTAAAGTCAGTCAACAGTCTCTTCATTTCAGGATGAGAATTTTATAATGTCACTGACCCTGGGATATGGGTTTACATGAAACTTCTTGGCAGCATTAGTTTAGTCTGGTAGCACAAAATAATGTATATAAATGGGCCTTGGAAAGAACAAAGCTTTGTGTCAATAATTGTAAGGATTGCTCCCATTTATTTTTCTGACCCCTATGTGTGTCAGATCTCATGCTAGGCATTTTTACGTATATTGTCTTGTTTAATTCTCACAAAAATCATGAAGGATAAATGTTATCATTTTATTTTAAAATTGAGGGAATTATTACTCAGTAACGTTATTTAACGTCTGGATGAAGATGTATCTTTCAAACCCCACTCTCAATTATTCTATTGCATCAAGGATTTAGAATTGATTAAGAAATAAATATTAACTCACAAATATCTAGCAAATTATTAATTTCTTTGAAGAGTATCCTAGAAATTATGCTACATATGTTCCTAAAATAATCACAGAATTATAGATTGTAGAGATTTAGAGCTAGATCCATAAGGAACCAGATGCTTCTTCATATGCAATTTCTTGCCTGACTTTCACATGCTCAAGGTCACAGAAAAGCAAAGCTGGGATTCAAATCCAATTTGGTGTTCTTCAGACCATAGCATACTGGCTCAGAATTTGACATTTTGTTCATCTCTATGTTTATAAAAAGGCAAGATAAAAGACCCAGAGAAATCTATGAAAGGGCTCATTTTGCCATTGGTGAAAAAAGAAATTGTGATTTACTTGAAAGAAAAAGATGACATAATAAAAGTAACAAATAGCTTTAGCTTTAAAATATAGTATGCCCTAAAAAATGCCTGAAAATAATGAAACAAGAGTTCTTAACACCATCATAAGAGTGTACTGCTCCAATGTAGAGAAATATAGAGGTGAAATGGAAGCTGTGAAATGTCAAAGGTAAACTTGGCCAATGTCAGCAGTGTGCGTTGCAGAAACCTCTGGAATGCATGACAGAGAAAGCAGGAGGATGTAGTAAACAACAAAAAGATCACTGCATTGAGCATTCCACAGATTTCTCAGCTGAAGAGGAATTTTCATTTCTCTGATGCTTTCAGCTCAACATGGGCCCCAAATGACAGATATGCAGTATGGTTCTCTTACCACCCCACCCCCACACTGTGACCTCTGAGTGGAAAGAGACACCTACAGACATAAGCCTGGGGAAAGCAGATCTTTATGCTCAGGGACAATCTCTCTTGCATACACACTGGAAATGCTTTCTCTGATCCCACCCATAACAACAAACTCAGAATGCCCTCCACCCACACCAAATTCTTCAAAAATGACTAATTTCTATGCCATGTAATTAAGACAACCGATTTCTCAGAAAAAAAATGTGGCTGCATTGAGCATCAATTACAGTTTTCTTTAAATGAGGATTTTTTCTTATCTCTGCTGGATTTGCAGAGTCCTAGTTTTGTAAAGAGTTTCTTTCTTTCTTTTTTTTTTTTTTGAGACGGAGTCTCGCTCTGTCACCCAGGCTGGAGCGCAGTGGCGCGATCTTGGCTCACTGCAACCTCCCGGGTTCATGCCATTCTCCTGCCTCAGCCTCCCAAGTAGCTGGGACTACAGGTGCCCGCCACCACGCTTGGCTAACTTTTTGTATTTTTAGTAGAGATGGGGTTTCACCATGTTAGCCAGGATGGTCTGGATCTCCTGACCTGATGATCTGCCCGCCTCAGCCTCCCAAAGTGCAGGGATTATAGGTGTGAGCCACTGTGCCTGGCCTGTAAAGGGTTTCAAGTGAATTCAGAGTAGACGTTCTGGATATTAATCATACCCATGATGATACACAAATATGAGAAACAAGGTCATTTATATAGGCTATAATTTATTATGGTCCACAATGTTAGGAGTAAGTTAGAACCCTACGTTGAAATATGTTTTTGGGGTTTCCCGTGCAATCTGTCACATTGATGGTTAAAAGTGAACTGCAGTGCCTAGGCTGAAAGTGGGATAGGGTGTTATTGGGAGTTGTACCTATTAATGTTTGAGAGATTTGATTTAAAAAATCACATCAGTTTACATGTTTACACCAACTTAGTTGCTTCCCCATTGTATTGTTATCCAGTCACAGCTCAATGTTTACCTTGTCCCATTAACTTAGAGGACTTGGAGAACCTTTACTTTCTTGTGGGGAAAAAAATGTAAAGGTGTTTTTAAATAAGTTAATGTAGCAGACAAAAAATTATAGAAATAAGAGCCAAGAGAAAATAAGAAAGATCCAAGATTGTTGCTTTTAAAGGGAGAGATATCTGAATCACATTGAGGAGCTGCCCCCAAAGTGTTCTATGCTTCTAATCTATGGCAGAACAAATCCTATTATTTTCCTATGTAGCAGCCATCTCATGGTAATTCAGTAATTTTTTATTTAATCTATTTCCTTGATACTATACTTTACAGAATATGCTTCATCTGTGTTGTTTTCTATCTGAATCCATCACCTAGTAAAGCCCTTAGCAAATGGAAGCTATTTAGCTCATATCTGTTGAACGAATAAATGCATATCCCTGTACTTCACTCTCCCAATGGTATATCCTAATATTGGGTTTGGATGGATAAACTCATATGTGTTTTCAATGATCGGGGCATTTTATGCAAGGTCCTCTAATCTGTGGAGAAGACAGATCAACAAATAATCTTGTATGTTTTGGTGTGAATATCCCTCAATATCGACATGGTATCCACAGGTGGATTTTGAGAAATGATTAGGTCATAGGGACTCTGCCCTCTGAACAGATTAGTGCTTTATAAAAGGGCTGGAGGAAACTAGTCTAGGCCTCTTTTCGGTCTTATGTTCTTTTACCTTGTGAGGACCCAGTGTCCTTTCCATCCAGAGTATGCAGTAACAAGGCTACATCTTGGGGACAGACAGCAACTCTCATCAGACATCAAATCTGCTGGCAACTTGATCTTTGGCTTTCCAACCTTAAGAAATATAAAAAATAAATTTTTATTATTCATAAATTACTCAGTCTGTGGTATTTTGTTGTAGCAACACAAATGGAGGAAGACACTGTGTTTAACACTATAGCCACTAGAGAAAAGACACAGAGACTTCTGGGAACAGAGAAGAGCGCCTGGTTCAGCTCAGCAGATTGGCGTCTTTTGAGATTTCTTCCACCTTTCCTCCCACCTCTCATTATATTTCTTTGCTAATGCTTGGTATAAGTCTATATCCAATGCATAATTTCCTGGCCCACCCATGGGTCGTAAGTGTCTGTGCCCTTCCTCCACCTCCCTAAAAACGCAAGTCTCAGGTACAAACACTATTAGTTCTCCTTTTTGACAGGATTTCTGTTCCTTCTGTCCCATATCAAAGACTGGTCTCCCCTAGACCTCATTAGTGCCTCAACCTAAACTACCTACTTGGTTAGTGCTTTAATGCATAATGCTCCACTCAATAAGTGCTTAGTGAAAATATATTGTTCAGAACACTGACTTCTGAGCCTATAGCTGCTTAGATTTCTGGTTGATTGAGACATTCCTAAAAGCCAAATTCCCACATTCTAACTTTTGGAATTTTAAGCTCAACTCTATCAAAAAGTGACCATAGGCCTAACAATTTTGGGTCGTAAAGATTTTTATATGATTTTACATTAAACTTTACACAAATTTGATTGAATCCTTTGAATAATACTAGTATCTCTCTCAAAAAAGATGATTTGGAAAAACAAAATCTAAGTAAAGTTTGCCACATACATCTCTTCAGCCCTGCAAAAGCAAAGCAAGTGCTTTGTCAGTATTTCCATAGAACTTGCAAATAGAACACCCTTCACTAAGAATAACAGAGATATCATCTCACACCAGTTAGAATGGCAATCATTAAAAAGTCAGGAAACAACAGGTGCTGGAGAGGATGTGGAGAAATAGGAACACTTTTACACTGTTGGTGGGACTGTAAACTAGTTCAACCATTGTGGAAGTCAGTGTGGCGATTCCTCAGGGATCTAGAACTAGAAATACCATTTGACCCAGCCATCCCATTACTGGGTATATACCCAAAGGACTATAAATCATGCTGCTATAAAGACACATGCACACGTATGTTTATTGTGGCATTATTCACGATAGCAAAGACTTGGAACCAACCCAAATGTCCAACAATGATAGACTGGATTAAGAAAATGTGGCACATATACACCATGGAATACTATGCAGCCATAAAAAATGATGAGTTCATGTCCTTTGTAGGGACATGGATGAAATTGGAAATCATCATTCTCAGTAAACTATCGCAAGAACAAAAAACCAAACACTGCATATTCTCACTCATAGGTGGGAATTGAACAATGAGAACATATGGACACAGGAAGGGGAACATCACACTCTGGGGACTGTTGTGGGGTGGGGGGAGGGGGGAGGGATAGCATTGGGAGATATACCTAATGCTAGACGACGAGTTAGTGGGTGCAGCACACCAGCATGGCACATATATACATATGTAACTAACCTGCAAAATGTGCACATGTACCCTAAAACTTAAAGTATAATAATAAAAGAAAAAAAACTTAAAAAAAAAAAAAGAAAAGAAAAGCAGATAACTTGCATGAAATGAGCCTTCTGGTACTTTTTTTATCATAAAAATCTCTCGAACTCCTTTCATCTCACCTTTAAATTGGCTGTTATGATTATCCCAATTTTACAGATGAGTAAACTAAGTTTAACAGAATTTTTACAATTTTCCCATGGTCACATCTGCTGCTAAGCAGCAAAGCAGGAAATGTGACCGCAGTTCTGACTCTCCCCAAAGCTTCTCTCAGAGAAATAGAATCAAGTGGTAAAGAACATTTGGGATTTAAATCTAGACTTGTAACCACCCAATGGATTTATTTTGCCTGCTGCCCAGATAGAAGCAATTTATCAAGACAGGGTAATCGCAATAGAGATAGAGTTTAATTTTTGCAGAGCCAATTGAATGGATGACCAGAGTTTTATTATTACTCAAATCAGTCTCCCCTAAAATTCAGAGGCTAGGTTTATTCAAGGATAGTTTGGTGGGCCAGAGAATGGTGCTACTGATTTGTGGGGCATACAATGACAGAGATATGGAAAATAGTCTGCTTCTGGGTGGGGCCACAGGACCAGTTGGCAAGTCTGGGTGGAGCTCTCCTCATCAGAAACGTGAAAACATGAAAAGACATCTCAAAAGGCCAATCCTAGGTCTTACAATAGTGCTATTTTCTTCAGGGGGTTAAAGACAAGACAGGGGTTGTTTAGATCAGATCGCTTTCACTGCCATAATTTTCTCACTGTTACAATTTTTGCAAAGGCGGTTTCAGTCTGGCTAGAGTTCCACTCCCATCTCTTCTGTATGACCCTGAGCATATTATGAAACTTCCTTGAGCACAGTTTTATTATAAATCAAGTGGGAATAAAAATAATTAAAATAGTTGTTGAATATGTTTAATGGGCTTAATGGGAGAACCAACGGGTTCTCCTTGCCCACTACCTAGCAGAGCCAATTATCAAGACAGGGGAATTGCAATAGAGGAAGAGTTTAATTCATGCAGAGCTGGGCTGGCTGTATGGGAGACTAGAGTTTTATTATTACTCAAATCAGTCTCCGTGAAAACTTGGAGACTAGAGTTTTCAAGGATAATTTGGTGGGTAGGGGTTGAAGAGTGGGGAGTACTGATTGGTCATGTCTGAGATGAAATCATAGAGAGTCAAAGTTATCTTTTTGTAGAGTCCATTCCTGGGTGGAGGCCACAAAACCAGATGAGCCAGTTTACACATCTGGGTGGTGCCAACTAATCCATCAAGTGCAGGGCCTGCAAAATATCTCAAGCGCTTAGGTTTTACAATAGTGATGTTATCCCTAGGAGCAATTTAGGGAGGGTGAGAATCTTGCAGCCTCCAGCTGCATGACTCCTAAACCATAATTTCTAAACTTGCGGCTAATTTTGTAGTCCTACAAAGGCAATGTAGTCCCCAGGAAGGAAGGGAGTTTGGGGAAAGGACTGTTATCATCTTTGTTTCAAAGTTAAACTATAAACTAAGTTCCTCCCAAAGTTTATTTGGTTTATGCCCAGGAATGAACAAGGACAGCTTGGAGATTAGAAAAAAGATGGAATCAGTTAGGTCAGACCTCTTTCAGTGTTATAATTTCCTCAGTTATAATTTTTGCAAAGGCAGTTTTAGAGATATGGGCGTTCACAATTTTTTTAACCAATTTGATGGAATTGTTTTCAAAAAGCTTTCTATAGGGTGCAAAAGTAATAAGAATAGTGCTTTGTCTCAGCAACTGCCTTGCATCATAATGTTAAACTCCCAGACTACAATCCCCACGTCCTATATCTATGTTGAAGAAAGATATATTTTAAATTATCTAGGTTTCTCATACTCCTTGGTTTATGTATTTTAAAATCCATTGGTGAGTTCTGATTGCAAGTAGGTTATTTTGAGGGTCCTATGGAACCATCACTGTGGAGCTGCCATGGCTGACAGGGACGACCTGGTGACCCGTTCGATGGTGGGATTTTAAGGAGTGACAGCTTGAGATATAGCACATGTGCTTGGAGAGATTTCCAGGGACAGCAGACTGCATTATTGGCCTTACTGTTTCACAATGCCAAGGCATTATAGGGACATGACTGTTAACAACAGAGTGTGCCATTGTTTTGCTGGTATTTTTTTCTCAAGCCTTTCTGAGTGACAGTCCCTGGGGAGAGTGAATTATCACCCTTAACTTGTAACTTAACTGCTCCTGTTGTCATTCTGCATAATTGCTGTCACCCAGGTAAAACTAAGTTGTTTTTCTCCCTGGTAAATTCTCCCACACTCAGCGTGGAGCCCTTCAGGCAAGGCAGGCAGTAGGGAACCTGGGCAGATAATGTGGCTATTTAAAGGCATCCTGGAAAGGGAGAATCTTTAAAAGGCTTTTTCTCTAAAGACTAAGGCCATGTACAGTGAAGATACTAGTTTAAATAACTGAAGTTGCAATTCACTTCACAATTACAAGCATAGGGATTATAATAGTATGAACCATATTGCAGTTGTGAAAATTAAATTAGTTGATACATGAAAAGTGTGTGGCACAAAAGATCAGTGTGTTCACTGTGTGTTCAGTGTGTGGCACAAAAGATCTCAGCAAGGGTTGGATTTTCTTACTTTGTAATATTATGTGCTTATTCATTACAACCATCTTTCAAGGTAGTAATTATGATTCTCATTTTTTCAGATAAGAAAACTGAACTTTTTTGGAGCTGGAATTTAGAAGTAAGTAGGTCTAAGTCTAATGCAGATGGGCTTAACTTCCAAAAAAGCTCTCTAGATTCAGCAAGTAACTAGATTCACCAAGGAAAAGCTCTCTAGATTTTCTTTCTTCTTTTTTCTTTTTTTTCTTTTTGCCAAGTAAGATGTGAGAAGAGCTTGTCACTCAGGGGAAATTATTATAGAATATAGGGTTTACCAAATAGCCCCTTTATTTGAATAAATTATTTTATTTTTTCAAAAACTGTATTTTCATAAAACTAACATAACTAGCTAAATACAATAACCAATTTTGAAAAACAACTGCTTCAATAAATTATTTGCTTTCATGAAGAGCCTGAGGCTGATAATAGATATTGATAATAATGCTTACCACAAGAGTAATAGTAAATACAATTACAATAATGATGGTGATGTTGATAATAATAATAAAATAATACTGTATACCATTTATTGACCCTTTACTATAAGCCAAGCATTGTTCTAAGAACTTGCCATCAATATCTCATTTAATTCTCATTAGGCAGGTGCTATTATTATCATTTATTTATATATTATAAAATTGAAACTCAGAAAGATGAAGTAAAATACTGGAAGTCACAGTTGCTACATGGATGAGACAGGATTTGATTTCAGGCTATCAGGCATCAGAATTGTGTTTTTTATATAGCTAGAAAATGACACATTAGGACTCGAACCCAACACTCCCCTTCTTCCATGTTCATTCTCTTTTCTTTTTGTTCAAATGGGTGCAGAGCGTGGATGCCCTTTGACCAACATTTAGATTTTCTATAAAACTAGGTAGCACACACTCATAAGATTTGAAAAAGCAAAATTTACTTAGACTATAGTATGGTGCATACTGGCAATGCCCAAATAAATAAATTGACAATGCCCAAATAAATAAATCAAGAGTAAATATAATATAAAAATTGAGTTCTCTGACTGCATAGATGATTCTTAATAAGGTCTGCAAGAGTGGGAGAGGTGGCACAAGAATATGGGTAGGGATGGAGGCTACAGCCTGGGAAGCAAAGGAAGGATCTTGGGAGATGTACGTTAAATGAGCACTTTCATAGGAGTATGGTTTTCATTATATACAAACTACAGAAAGTAAAACTCAGCAAAATCTTTGCTAGTGCGTATAGGTCATGGGTTAAAAAGAGAGGATGAACCACTTCTTAAAGATGTATCTACTTTTTATCAACACATACTTTAGGTTCAGACTGACCTATGCTTAAACACTGATTACACTTTTGAGTAAGTGAAATCAGCTGAGTTTCAGTTTGATCATCTTTAAAAGAGAGATTTTGATACTTTTCTTGCAGACATTGTTCCTAGCACATGGTAAAAACCCTATAACCAAAACCTATTATTACTATTATTATCTATTTTAATAAAAATTTAAAGTATTATTCGTTTAATGACAAAAACACCAGTAGTTTTGATAAATGCATATTCCCATTAATTTTATTATTGATACTTCATAATCTATTCAATATCTCTTTCTCTAAGTACTAATAATTGCACTCATTTAAAGTTACCCACTTTTACCTCTATTTTCTTTATTTTTTTGTCTCTCTTTTCTCTATTTTTTTTCCTAGGATCTCTCTGCTTCCCTTTTTCAAACCAGGTTATCTCTTCAGTTAACACTTCATGACTTTTCCTCTTTAAGGTACTCAAAACAAGAAATCCTAATTTTCACAGCAGATGTAAGTATTTTGTTTCAAAAATAAGCAAACAAACACAAACAGAAATTTTAACTCCTTATTATGCTCACTGGGAGAAAGTAGATATTGTAATCTGGACATTTCTTGATGCAACTCCTCACAAGCAATCTTAAAATGTACAAAGGTTTGGCTTCATATTGATGGGCTTTCAAAAATAATGTGTAGACCAGCCTGACCCTCCAGAGGTGCAGAGTTGCAAATTCCAGCTACATTATTTGAAGGGTTAAAGTCATTGTGAAGAGACTCAGAACAATACACCCCAGTGATCAGTTGGTGGTGACACTGCCACTTTCTCATGGTCTGGACCGTAGGCACCAGGGTCAGACATTTTGCAATTGCCTTGACGGTTGCAGGGAGGAGTTATGATATTTAACCTAGGACACCAGCCAACAATTATTTATCTGTCAAAACTTTTCAAATATAATTCAGTGTTACTGGGTCCTGCTGAGCCTGAGACTGCCAACCTGTCTGAGTTCCATAAGAAAGATCTTCAGATAATTTCTGTAAAGGCAGACAAGGGCAGCCCCATCACCAAAACTCAGAGGTAAGAAGGGAATAAAGACAATTTTTAACCACTCTTCTCTTTCATTAAAAACAATCAAAATGTCTCTGACTTTTGAATGAATTTTGAGTCAGGAAAAGCTATGCCTCTGGATTATAAAAGCTGGCTCTGCAGCACCTGGTTTTCCAGGAGTTAGAGAAGTGTCAAACTGGCTTAACTCAAACCTGCTTGTGCACCACCTTTGAAATTTGGGCACACTAACCTCTTCGAGGCCACCTTCAGAGTTCATTTTCATGCTCTGATCCCCAAATCTGCTGGTTCTCTCTCAATCTCTGTACTCTTCAGTTAAAATGTCACAGTGGGATGACATTTGATTTGCAGAAGATAGAAGCATAATCATTGCCTTGGATTCAGTCCTATTAAAAATTTCCCTGATAACAAGTTTACCTGGGGGAGGAAGGAGAAAGAAAAAGGAAATCTCTGTGTGTGTGTGTGTGTGTGTGTGTGTGTGTGTGTGTGTGTGTGTGTGTGCATGCACATGTGTGGTGTGGAAGGTGGGGACATCCTTAGAGCTCTGCTGATAAAATCAGCAGAGATTTGAGAGTGCATTACAGTTTTATTTTTTGACCAAACCGTAATGCTGGGGGATTTGACTGCTGGGAGAAAAGGGGACACATTTGTCAGACTTTTCACTTCAATATATGCTTGTGCAGTTGGTAAATAAAATACTTGAGTAGATATGAATTGCTCTGTTGTCCCGTGGCTTTAGGTCTAAGGGTTTACCTTATAGTTTTGCAAGTCCTCCTTTAACTTATAACAGCTTTGTATTGAGTGAAGATATGTGAGAGTCCTTACCTTATAGAAAAGCAGCTGAAAAATCAATGTGCCTACTGAAAACTGAACTCACAGGTTCAGAAGAAAAATGCTTTAAATATCAATAAATGTGTTTCAGAAAAATGTGGTGTTTCTGCCTACTGTGTGACTTGTGTGTAAATTCTAGGACATAGCATGTGCTTGATAAATGACTACTGGATGAATGCATGTGCTATTTATATAACACATATTTCATAACAGCTAACTAGCTAACTGTTCTGCTCTTATTGTAGGTAATGGGTCAGTAATAGGTCCATGTGATGTTGAAAAGAAAATAAGTTGGAAAGGAGGCCAGTTCAACTTAGGTGCTCAATACATGATGGTTGGATACATTAAAAATTCACTCCTGAAAAGATGGTCAGTCAAGTCATTTTATGCTGCCCGTATTTTGTTTCAAGGTTATGAGACTCTAGGCATAAGCAGAACATAACTAAACACAAATTAGAAAAAAACCTGAAATAGATTGCTATATATTGTTTTTGTAAAAGGAATGGCAATTTTTTAAAATTATACTTTAAGTTCTAGGGTACGTGTGCACAACATGCAGGTTTCTTACATATGTATACATGTGCCATGTTGGTGTGCTGCACCCATTAACTCGTCATTTACATTAGGTATTTCTGCTAATGCTATCCCTCCCCCCTCCCCCCACCCCACAACCGTCCCCAATGTGTGATGTTCCCCATCCTGTGTCCAAGTGTTCTCATTGTTCAATTCCCACCTAGGAGTGAGAACATGCGGTGTGACTCCACCTCTGGGCAATTGTTTATATGCCATTATATTAAACAATTATACATATAATTGTTTAACATTGTAGAAACATTTATTATATAAGATTATATAAACAATTGTCATTCCTTTTAAAGACAAAAATTCCCATAGCAATCTATTTCAGGATTTTTTGAAAAAAGTTGTTTAAGTCATAATTAAAACATTTTCCTTGATTTAGAAGGAAAGAGGAATTGATCCCATAGCTGCCCAGAGAGAAAGAACTCTTCTTAGAGAAGGAGGTGACATTCTTTCCATCCATAAATTACTGGTTTAATTCTTAGTAACAGACTAATCATTACTTCAGGCTTTCCAGCTGAGTTAAACCAACATGATGATGTGAGGACCATTAAGAGGTGGGTAGATCACGAGGTCAGGAGTTCAAGACCAGCCTGGCCAATATGGTAAAACCCCGTCTCACTAAAAAATACAAAAATTAGGTGGATGTGGTGACGAGCACCTGTAGTCCCAGCTACTGGGGAGGCTGAGGCAGGAGAATCGCTGGAACCGAGGAGTTAGAGGCTGCAGTGAGCCAAGATGTCTCCGCTGCACTTCAGACTGGTCGACAGACTGAGACTCCGTCTCAAAAAAATAAAAATAAAAAAAAAAAAACAGAAAATGTCTTTTTGGTCATATATGTATGTATATATTTTTAAACCGCTTTATTAAGGCACAATTGGCATGTAAAAAGTTTTGCTTATTTGATGCATGCAACTCAATGAGTTTAGGAATAAGTGATGAAACCATTACTACAAACAAAGCCATAGACATATCCCTCACCTCCCAAATTTTCTTCTGCCTTCTTTGTTATTGCCATCATCATCAATGTGTGTATGTATGTGTGTGTTTGATAAGAACATATAAGATATGCTCTCAGAAAATTTTAAGAATATGATATACTATGTTAGCTCTTGGTACTATTCTGTATGGTAGATCTCCGGAGTTTACTTATCTTACAAAACTGAAATTTTGTACCCTTTGTAAGTCAAATATATTGTTAATGTCAGGCCTCTGGGCCCAAGACTGTACGTATGCATCCAGATGGCCTGAAGTAACTGAAGACTGACAAAAGAAGTGAAAATGGCCTGTTCCTGTCTTACCTGATGCCATTACCTTGTGAAATTCTTTCTCCTGGCTCATTCTGGCTCAAAAGCTCCCCCACTGAGCACCTTGTGACCCCCACCCCTGCCAGCCAGAGAACAACCCCCTTTGATTGTAATTTTCCACTACCTACTCAAATCCTATAAAACGGCCCCACCCCTATCTCCCTTTGCTGACTCTCTTTTCGGACTCAACCCGCTTGCACCCAGGTGATTAAAAAGCTTTATTGCTCACACAAAGCCTGTTTGGTTGTCTCGTCACACAGACGCGCGTGATATTTGGTGCCGTGACTCGGATCGGGGGACCTACCTTGGAGATCAATCCCTTGTCCTCCTGCTCTTTGCTCCATGAGAAAGATCCACCTATGACCTTGGGTCCTCAGACCAACCAGCCCAAGGAACATCTCACCAATTTTAAATTGGGTAAGCGGCCTCTTTTTACTTTCTTCTCCAGCCTCTCTCACTATCCCTCAACCTCTTTCTCCTTTCAATCTTGGCTCCATCCTTCAATGTCTCCCTTCTCTTAATTTCAATTCCTTTCCTTTTCTGGTAGAGACAGAGGAGATGCGTTTTATCCGTGAACCCACTGATGTATTTAATGATATTTTTCTCTTTACTTTTACACAAAGGAAGCATAGGGTCAAATTTCCTACTCTGCTACAGACTAGGTAAGGATAATAATATTTATCTTATAGTGTGATGAAGAACAAATGAATTAGTAACGCAAAGTATTTATTGTAAAGTACAAACTTTGCCATTGAGTCTGAACCCCTTGATACCACAGGAAGTGATATAAACACTTGCAGGTTTTCGAGGCCTCAGGCCACACCTAGCATCCAGGAAGCGTTCATCTTAATGGGATGAGATGGCCATGGGATCTTCTAGGCCTTGTGATGTCTTCTCAAACACCTATTTACCTCTGCCTTTGTAAATCCTTCCTTCCTCTTGCCAACTCAAATTGAACTGATTTCTTGATTCACGGTGTCACCCTGGTATTCTGTATATACCAATATTTCTCAGCCTTGGCACTTATTGACACATGGGACTGGATAATTCTTGTTTGTGGGTGGCTATCCTCTTTACTGTGAGATATTTATCAGCACCCATACCCCTATCCGCTAGATGCCAGTAACTCCCTCCCAGCTGTGGCAACCAAAAATGTCTCCAGATATTGCCAAATATCTCTTAGTGGACAAAACTGCCCCAGTTGAGAAACACTGGTTGTATCATTTATAACGTTTTATTGTACCTATTTAATAAACATCCATATAGCACATATGTCAAACATTTTTTCTAAAAGCATTGCATATGTTAATAGTAATCCTATGAGTTAGGTGCTGGTATCACATCCAGTTTACAATTGAGGAAACTGAAGAACTGAAAGTTTAGAGCTGAGAAAATTTAGGCACAAAGAAGCTAAATGACATCTCCAGGCTAATATATGGAGAGGGGATTTCTATTCCAGTGGTTTGTTTCCAGAGCCCATGCTGCCAACCACCATGCTATGCTTAATCTCCAGTAAATGAATTTGTTTCCACCCTGAATGTGCAAAGCCCAGGGCATGGGGGGAGTGGGGTTGGGACTCAGAGTCTATAATTACCTGAAATAATCTAAAATTATTAATAAATATAAATAATGTTACTAATAAAGCAGGAGCCATGGGCGAAAGATATTATCAAAATAAATCTCACATGTAAGTAGATGGTAATTCCAAAGCATCAAGCACAGTGTAGAATTCCAGCTACATGAAGAAGTGCCTTTCTACATTCCTACCTCTTTAGCAAGATGTGTTTTATATCACATAGGGGAGGGAAGGTTTCAAGTCTTACGTATTAACTAATTTCTAGATGAGGAAACAGATTTAGGGAGATTAGATCACTTCCCAAGATCATAAGGCCAGGGAACAGCAGAAGCAGGTTCAGATTCAGTCTTTTAACATGCCGTCCAGTGCTCTTTACTAATTTCTATGGTTTTTTTTCATTCTCTGGCAACTCTAATCTCATTATCAAAATAATCATTCCCATCATTTTCATGATCCATAATTATTCTTTTCTATAACTATTTTGGTTATTTATTAAAAACCCACAGTGTATGGCTTACTTTACCTTTTTTCATCCATCACAGAGAAATTAAAAGCTCAAAATGTTAAACACATCTACGAATGAGTCTGTTATCATCTATGCCATTATTCAAATTATTCTCAGCTCTTACCAGATCACTAGGTTTTGTTTCTTTCACAGTCAAACTTCTTGATGTTCTGCATAAATGATGTTTGATTTACTGACACGAGGAATAATCTATTCCTAACGATTACAATGTCAGATGCAGTGGTGGAACTATTATAGAATTATTAGAACATTCCAAATGTTCAAATTACACTCCCATGGTCCTTTATAGAATCATTCTTTGGTCTTCCAATGGTCACTATGACAGATGATAATTGTACAACTGCTGTTCTGACTCATGATTAGAGCAACCAGAAAGAATTTTAAATTATTAACAAATTTAAATATGTATAATGTTACTAATAAAACAGCGTCACAGCTGAATATCATCAAAATAAATCTTACATGCAAGTAGATATTTTTCACCTAAGTTTTATATGATTTGTGGAACATTTAGAAGGTCCTTTGCTTCCTCTAAATGTCTACTTACTCAAGGGTTATAATGTCTTAAGTCCTAGTATTAGTGAATGAAGCCTTTTACTTACTATGTTCTTTAAAAAGTCAATAGCCCTGGGAAGGAAGTGCTAATTAAAATTAATTCACACCCAGGTATTAACAGCAGGGCATAGTAATTTCTAGACACAGCTAAAAGACTTACTAACTTACCTTGCTACTTTGAACAAATCACTTAACCTCTCTCAGCTTGTGTTTTTTCATCTGGAAAACAGAAATGATGAAATTGACCTGCAAATTCCTATTGTGAGCATTAAATAATTAACACAAATAAAAACACTTTTTAAAGAGTAATATTGCTAATTTTTTTTGCCGAGATTTTGTGTCATTCTTCTAACTAAAAGCACGAGACCTAAGACTGATAAATGCCCAGGATGAAGGCATTTAAAATAGAATACCTGAACTTCAAATTTTTAGCCACCATAATCCCTGCATGAATTTTTTTTTTTTTAATGATGAGTGTTCAGGATTTGTGGAATATTTGAGAGAAAATCGAAGGCCAAACTGACTATAATGTTACTGCCAACAGATAACTCAAATGCTCAGCTGCCGTTCCGCAACTCTATACCAATTACCCATGATCCTTCCGCACTTCTGGCTCTCCCTTTTGCAAATGAGAAGACATTTTTCTTCTCCTGATTTGGATGTTTCAATCCAAAATGAAAGTTATATGACTATATTGACTCAGGGAAATGCCATTGAAGACCATCTACTACGTGAGTAAAACCAATGCTTACTATTAACCGGCCTAAGCAAAGAGACTGGGGTCTATGCATTTGGAAACCAATATATGAATGTTCTGGCATCTGCCAATCTAAATGCTAACAGTAGAAAAAAAAAAAAGCCTTATTGTATTCAGGATGGTCGCCTGAATGAACACTGTGGTTGTCAAGAGCCTGAGAAGTTTCTACCTGCTCTCTAGCTCTCTAAAATTCCACTATTAGGGAGTTCTTAGACTGACCACGTGTTCATAAAGTACAAATATTATCTTGTGGAGACGATAGACCCAATAAAGGACTGCCCACCCAGACTAAGAACAGAAACAGTCAACTATTCATCACTTTCCTCTATCTAGATTCATAGTCATTTCCCACTATTGGCCATTCGCTCTGCCAGGCACTTTTACAAACTTTGCCTATTAAATTTCCCAGCAAATCAGTGACAAAGTTAGGTATTCTCATTCCCTTTGTGTTACTGATAAAATTACTTAATCTATAGGAGCTAAATATATGGGGGTCAGGTGTGGAGCTGAGACTCAAACTTTAATGTCCTTGCTTTATCCCTTGCACACACAACCATGGAATGAATGAAGCTTAACATATTACATGGGAAAGTCCTAACAATATTTTAGAACCACAGTCCTCTGAACTGCTATGGTTTTTTATTTAAATCTCTTACTGCTTGTATTACCTTTTTTTTTTAATATCCTAACTATTGATGAGCATCTGCCCTGCTAGAATACTGTGTTGTGGCATTTCCCACAATTCCAAGCATTTTATCTTTTCATTATGTTCATTCATTCATTCATTCATTCATTCATTCATTCATTCCTCTCTTATTTTGGGGTCCATGAATACAGAAATAAATGCAATGAACTTAGCCTAGTGATTCTCACTTCAACTCTTGTCAAATGAATGAAATGCAGCCTTCCTTGACTATTTTAGTCACTTCCCTAAATCCCTGGAGATATAAAGTATCCTTTCATAGCTCTTCACTCACACGTGTTTTTTATTTTAGGATTTCTTTTCCACATCAAGTATGTATTTCCAGCAAGTGATACCCAAGGTCTGGGAAATAGCTTCTCACTTGGTAGAACCTTTTGTCACCTATTTCAAAGACAAATCTATGTTTCACTTCCATCTCACTTTTGCTTTTACAGCCATAAACTTGTCTGTACTCATTATAGTTGTGATTGCTGACATGGATAATCAGCCCAATATGTAAAGAGGATTTTCAGAATTTTCACAAGGCTAGAGGAGTTCCCTGGGTGAAATTTGCCCAAGTTCACATAAAATTCCTGTGCTTGCATGTAATTAGTTTCAAGCTTTTACTTTCTAAGTTATTGACTCCTGGGAGCAGCACACCCACACCTTGCCTTTTTGTTTGTTGAGTTTATTTTTAATATTCTCTGGCATTGCTTTTTACAAAATAATTTTTACCTTTATAATACTTTTTGATTTACAGGAAAGTTGCAAAGATAATAAAGAGTGTTTCCATATATACATCACCAATTTTTTCCATTGTCAACATCTTGCATTTTCCTGGCACACTTGCCAAAACTAAAAAAACTAAAAAACTGGACATTGGTACATTACTACTGCCAAAAATTCAGACACCATTTTTTTATCCCAGTATCTAATCCAGGCTACCACACTGCATTTAGTTGTCATATCTCTACAGTTCTGTGACAGTCTTTTCTTGTTTTTTTTATGACTTTGACACTGTTAAAGATTATTGGCCAGCTATCTTGTATAATTGCCCTCAATCTGTGTTTTTTTAATGTTTTCTTCACAATTAGACTGGGGATAATGAGTTTGGGCAGAATATCACAGAAGTAAAAGTTGCTTCTTCTCATATTATCTTATCAGAAGTACCTGACATCCACATGACATGCTGGTGATGGCATCCATTATTAGTTGATTGACACAGTGTTTTTCAGGTTTCTCCATTGTACAGTTATTATTTTTTCTCTTTCCTTGTGCTATTCTTAGGAAACAATTACCAACTCTAGCATATTCTCAAGGGAGATGCAGGAAATCTAAACTCTTCTGTTCTGAGAATTGGAATTAAATTTATTCTGCAAGAATTGTTGAAGGTTGCTTCATCACATTTATTCATTTATTCAACACTTTTTATCATTATGGAGTCATGATTTTATTTTATACTTTAGGACCTGATGCAACACTATGTTATTTATTGTGTTTAAATTGTTCCAGCTCTGACCATCAGGAGCTACTTTTGGTTCTACCACTGCTTTTTATTTTATGTGCTGACAGAAATAAATTTGCTAAACAATGTCTACTTTGAGAATTAATACAGTTCAACACTTGATTAAGCAGTCGTAAGACAACATGAAAAAGTATAAAAATTAAAAATCACAAAATTAAAAGGAAAAAGCACCATGAGGTCAAGGACTTTGATTTAATGTTGGGTCTCCAGTACTTACCGTGATTATAATTGTGGTCACTGACAGGGATAATAGGACTTTGTCTGGTTTACTCTTGGGTCTCTGGTACTTACAGCAGCATCTAACACACGGTAAAGGCTCCATAACTATTTGTAAATTTATTGTTTAAGAAAATTATATCCTGTAAATTGCTTGATGAAATTATTTCTTACAACTATATTATCTTTAACTGTTCTTTCTCAGCTGACTTCTGTCACACAAATGCATGTGCACATGCATGTGTGCACACATAAGTAAATATATACCCTAACGAGGCAGAGAGGCAGCATTTACTTCTTACCTCTCCTTTCTCTCCCTTCTCCATCATACTCTCACCAACTTCATAATTTTTAGTCTAGTCTTTTTCAGTCTTTTCTCATTCCACTCTGGCATGGGACTATTTATAAATTGAGGTCAGTATCTTCTAGAAATATGTCAATTTGATTGTGGGGAAAATATGATTCATATCCCAGTAGACAGAAAGTGGCCTTTATTTGTTGTCAGAGTTGACAATAGAATATGCTTTTAAATATATAGGTATTCTCATAATAAAGATGTTCTGTTATTTGTTCTGTTATTTATTCTGTTTCATTCATCATTTATCCAACAAACATATGTTGGGTGACTACCATGTGCTATGAATTCTGAATTCATAGAAAAGGAAGGCCATCTTCCTCCCACAAGAAATTTGTAGGAGTTGACCAAAAACAATTGTTCCCAGATTAGGCTTATTGTGGTCACTAATTATACAAAAGTAAATTCCTTTAAAGGATGTTGAATGACCTTCCAATAACAAAGATAGAAATTTGTTTTCCAAGAGACACTTCAGGATCATGTTTCATTTGCATTTCTCTTCTCTGCAAGCATCCAATGGACCTCATTCTCTTTAACCCTTGTTTTATTTTATCAATAACATTAGGAATCTGTTTTGAACTATTTCAAAAAAGCCCCTTCCAGCTAAAATAGTCTCTCTTCTAAGTAGAAGAACAATCACTTTGGTTCGATAGACATGGACTTGAATTCTGATCCCATTATTTTAGACAAATTGTCTTTGAGGCTTAGTTTCTCAATAGTAGCAATTGACTTAATATAATGACATCTTAAGTGTTTTTGAAATATAGAAAGTTTCTAGTTAAAATATGCCTTTCAATAAGTGTTGTTTCCCTCCTTGTCTTTAGTCTTCTCAGCATCTTCTCTGAGTTAATGTTCATGGTCTTAAATTCTGATATCATCCTTAGGTAAATTCCTTGATTTCTCTAGGATTTAATTTCCTCTTCTGTAGAAATGGCACTGGTATGATTATCTTATCATTTTTTGGTGACCAAGTGAGGTAATGTATAGAAAATATATGATCCAATACATGCTTATGTCATTTTATTGCACTTTGCTTTATTGTGCTTCACAGATATTGCAGTTTTTACAAATTGCAGGTTTGCGGCAACCCTCTGTTGAGCAATTCTATTGTACCACTTTTCCAATAGCATATACTTGCTTCATGTCTCTGCATCACATTTTGGTAATTTTCACAATATTTCAGACTTTTTCATTATTAATTGTCTCTGTTATGGTGATCTGTGATCAGTGATCTTTGACGTTATAATTGTAATTGCTTGTAATTGCTTTGGAGCACCGCGAACCACAGCCACATAAGACAGTGAACTTGATTGATAAATATTGTGTGTGTTGGCCAGGTGCGGTGGCTCATGCCTGTAATCCCAACACTTTGGGAGGCCGAGGCGGGCGGATCATGAGGTCAGGAAATCGAGACTATCCTGGAGAACATGGTGAAACTTTGTCTCTACTAAAAATACAAAAATTAGCTGGCGTGGTGGTACATGCCTGTAATCCCAGCTACTCCAGAGGCTGAGACAGGAGAATGGCCTGAACCAGGAATTCGAAGGTTGCAGTGAGCAGAGATTGCGCCACAGCACTCCAGCCTGGCGACAGAGCCAGGAAAAAAAAAATGTCTGGAAAAAAACAAACTGTGTAATTAGATGTAGGTTAGACAATGACAAGACAGAGAAAACAATCATAGAACTGTAGAGTGAATATAACTAATATGTCTTATAAGTCTCTCTAATTTTTTCTTTATTTTAAAGAAATTAAAATGAGAAATTGTATAGGATGAATTACAGGTTAGATTTATGAGAAAGATGGATAAATCATGTTGTTTTATATTTTTAAGTTAAAAACATTATGTTTCCCTGCTACTTTCAACCTTTTCGATGATTTGATTAACTGCCCATCCTGATGAGGTTTAATAAAAGGCAACGTACAATAGTGATAAAGTTTCAGTATCTAATACAGGCAACTAGAAAGGGTCATCATTAGTCAGTATTGTGTATACAGAAAATATGCAAAGATATTTGCTAAGCTAATTATAGAATAATAAGCACCTACAGTAATGTAGAGTCACATTGCTGGAGGTAGTTTGAAGTAGGTAACTCTTCATCCAGGTTGTTGGAGCTGTTACTTCTGCTTTTGTTTGGAGATCAAACTTGTATTCTGAAGTCCTTGTGCTTTCATAACATTTTGTTTGTCTGAAATTCTAAATTCGATAATTCTATCTTTTAAGTGTAAGACACCATAATGTTGTAGGCACAGTGTTAAAAATTTTACTTTTCTTTGCATAGATTTTTCTGGGTTAACATAAAAGTAGGGGTTGTGTGATTTCTCACACAACCTGTGGGTTCTTGAGGGAACCCAGAAGTAGACTGGAGAAAGGGTCTTTTTTTCCCTGTCTAGTTCCAGGAGGTGAACCACACACAAACTGCCTAATTTAGACTACTGCCGAGATAATACTGATTGCGGCCACAAATCAACCTTGTCAAGTTAAATATGGCACCCACAGAAATTCTCACACATTCTTGGCATTTGTTCTCTTGGTGCTGTGATGGGCTGATTAACAGCTCTGCTCTTTCAAAAAGACCATCATTCATGGGTTCTGTCTCTCTGACCACTCCCAGTATGACTCATGTTGCTGTATAGGTATGGACTTTTTCACTGCCAAAATAAAAAAAAGTTATGTTTTCCATGATGTAAATTGAACAGCCATACCTAAGATAGTTCAGCATGGTTACAGCTTGTAATGAAATAAATTATACGTGCAAGAAACAAAAAAATGTACAGAAATGCAATTTAGATCTTGGAAAATGAAGAGAAAGAATAACAGGTTTGTAAGCTCTTTCTGATTAGCTTGTAACTTGCTGGTGTCTTTATTAGTAGTTCATTGGAGCCATGTGAGCTCCTGAATCATTGATCAAAGTCAAATCTAAACTCTCCTCTTCCACTCTCATAAAAATAATAGTTAACATATATTGAGACCATATTGTATACCAGAGGCAGTCCTACAGATTTCATGTTTCATGTTTTATTGAATTTTTTGAATGCAAGCTTTTTGAACATTAATGTGCATAACAATCTCCTAAAGAACTGTTAAAATACAGATTCCTCACTAACATCCTTCCTCCCTAATTTCAATTCTGATTCTGAGTTCTGGGACAAGACCCAATAATTTGCATTTATAGCTAGCTCCTAGATGACATGGTGCTGGTGCTGCCAGTCCATTAGTTACCCATTGAGTAGTTTTGCCGATGACTCTCCGAGTCAGCTACTACCATCGTTAACCCCATTTTATTCATGAGAAAACCAATCCTCATGAAGAGACGATAAGAATTTTTCCAGGATCAAGACATTGGAAAAGGTAGAGACAGGACTTGGATTTGAGAACAAAATCCACTATCTTAACTACTGCATATATTAAACATTAATCTTGGATTCTACTTTCTCTTCAATTTGATTTGTGAATTAAGTCCTTAATGTGCCTGGGTGAGCTTAACCTACAAACCAAGAGACTTCTACGGCTAGTAGAACTGGGGGAAATATTCTTACTGGTTTTTATTTACAGCCGAGAAGTACAGCGGCTGTAAAAATTAGAAGAGTGAAAGAAACCCTGGTAACGTCTTCTGGTGATTTTGAAGTGGAGAGTTTCAGGCTCAGGCTGCCAGCATTTCTGAATAGCAGTTGAGCAACTGGCAACATCCCAGGACCTCAGCAGGACTGGGAATTCTGAATGGACAATATTTCTTTGTTGAATTCCTCCAACTAAGATTAATCATGACTGGGCATTGTTTAGACATTGTCAGGGTGTATGCTTTCTAGTAATTGATTTATTTCCACATGGACACCTTGTTTTTAATGCAAATGGTTTCTCTTGATGGGTAGATTTTATTCCTCTGTGTGTGCCAGGGGGCAGTGTGGTTTAATCATAGTAATTATGTTTCTTTAGGCCATGTTACATTATTTTTACTTTCTGAAATCTGTGCTTGTAGCCTACAGGAGGAGGAGATACGGGGTGTTCTATGATTCTTAGTTAAGCTGAGCTTCTAAATCCAGCTCATTTTGTTCTTGTTTTTGCTTTCCAAATATTGTATTTCTTCAGAGCGGGAACTCTGAGAACACCTGACTTTTGGAAGGCAGCTTTATTAACAAGAAGGTAACCTCATGGAATGGAGGTGAAATTGCATAAAGTTAGCAACGAATGCCTATTTAAACATTAGAATCAAAGGGAGGCAAAGCAAAACGAAATCCATCATTAATATAAATGTGCTCCATTATCAGGGTGCTGAGCCAAGAAATGCCATAGGGTGGGTTAAGAGGGAACTTAGTGACCTTTCAGGACTTTGAAACAGCCACTCAGGAAAGTAGGTCTTGCCTATTTTAGACACTCTGAAAATCTAATCCTTGGAATGCAGGGACATTATGGGAATGAAGTCATTTGTCATATATTCTGAGTTCCACATCCAGCTGATATGTTTATGATGATTGTAGTCGTGTTTCTATGAGTGCTCTCAGGTTCATACACAAGGTGGTCCATTTGTTATTGATATTTGACCACTGTAAGCTCCACAACTTATGGGTTGAAATTTATGTGAGCACAAATGACTTCTTTTACCTTCAGTAACACAAGAGTGACACTAGAATGTACAGACTTCTAGAGTCAGAATACCTGAGTTTGAATGCCATCTTTGCTTCTTACTAGTTATGTGACCTTAGGTAAGTAAGTTAACCTCTCTGGCTTTGGTACAGAGGGTTGATGAGAGGATTAAATGGGTTAATGTATGTATGTAAAACATTTAGAAAGTGCCTGGCACCTAGCAAATACTATGTTAAATATAAGTATTTACTATTGTAATTGGTGGTCATAAAGTCAACCTGAAGAGCAGGTTTAATGAGCCATCATGGTCTCTTTTCCTAGATCTTTACCCTAATATTGACTCTTGTAAGCTTCTAATTCTGAGGTGAGAACCAAAATGAAAGGATCCTAAGGAAAGGCAGAGCTCTTCTAAATACTCTATTCCAGGTCTCTTTTGCTCTGGACTCCATACTGGCTTCTTTTTGGAAAGGGGTCCCTTTGACAGGGAAATCAGTTCCTTGCCTGTCTTGCTAAAGCAACTCTAAAAAGAGGCATTGCAAAGAGAAAACGATTCAGAAGAATATATTCAGTGAACAAAATATTTAAAAACTGCTTTATTGCACATATGGGAACAATAGACTCTGGGACTACTAGGGGAGGGAGGGAGGGGATATGGGTTGAAAAACTACTGGATACTTTCATGCGCGTCCGTGTGAAGAGACCACCAAACAGGCTTCGTGTGAGGAACATGGTTGTTTATTTCACCTGGGTGCAGGAAGGCTGAGTCCGAAAAGAGAGTCAGCAAAGGGTGGTGGATTATCATTAGTTCTTATAGGTTTTGGGATAGGCGGTGAAGATAAGAGCAATGTTTTGCGGGCAGGGGTGGATCTCACAAAGTACATTCTCAAGGGTGGGGAGAATTACAAAGAACCTTCTTAAGGGTGGGGGAGATTACAAAGTACCTTCTTAAGGGTGGGGGAGATTACAAAGTACATTGATCAGTTAGGGTGGGGCAGAAACAAATCACAATGGTGGAATGTCATCAGTTAAGGCTATTTTTACTTCTTTTGCGGATCTTCAGTTACTTCAGGCCATCTGGATGTATACGTGCAAGTCACAGGGGATGCGACAGCTTGGCTTGGGCTCAGAGGCCTGACAGATACTATGCTGACTACCTGAGTGATGGGATCTGTACCCAAAGCCTCAGCATCATACAATTTACCCATGTAACACACCTGTACATGTACCTCCATTATCTAAAATAAAGCCAAAATTTAAAAAACAAAAAACAAACAAAAAAAAACTTACTTATTCTTCTTTCTAAAGGTTTTCCCTCCTAGTGTCTAGCCCAATTTTTTCTTATAGGAATGAGTTTGTCTGTAGTTGATACCACTTCTTCATTTCCTTCTTGAATGATGGTGGATAAGACATAGGGGAAATTCCATTTGAGGTCACCCTCATGTTAAAGTATGGTAGCCAGAGCATGGCCCAGAGAATGTTATAACCTGCACTAAATGGCTATGTTGTCATGGCAGCTTCACTCTCATCTCTATGTCCACTCTGCTTTGGATTAAGCAGGGTAAATACCCCTTTGCCAGCCACGTTCAGGTACCAGGAATCTGTTTTTCTTCAGTCTTGAGAGAAGCTTGACTAAATTAGAGGTTTAGGAGAATGAAAAAGGTATAGGACTCTGCTTGTCCTACACTTTTATACACATAACAGGAATAATGCAAGGGTAGCATTAGGAAAGCAGTTGATTAACACTTCCTGTGTGTGATATGTAAGGTTAGCCATTTGGACACCCCCTAGAGTACTTGAATATAACCAAACAAAGCACAGGATGCCATGGTTTCAAGACTATCCTAAAGGAAACAGTATCTATGGCTAATTGATCAGTGCTACTGCACATGGTCATCCTACTCCCATTATATTCATGTGATTCAAGCTAACCACGTTTACCCACCCCAGTGAACAAATTTCCGCTGTAACCAGCCAGGGCACTCCCTTTTACTCAATCAGAACACTTATTTTTTAAGTAATCAAAAGATCTGCAAATATATTAGGTTGAAAATATTTTGGAAAGGTTAAAAATCTTTCTCAAATGCAACTTATTTATTAAATATATTCTCATCCATCAGAAGTCCTTCACAATCACAGTGTCCCTATTTTTCCCCTGAAAATTGTTAATGAAGGGGTGTGTGTGCCAGTATGTACATAAAATCAGACCAAGGAAGAAGGATGGCATGGTGTTTTATTTAACAGAGAGTTTTAACAAACTCAAAGCACATTTCCATCCAACATGGGGTAGGGCCTGTCCTCTTTGTGACTGGGCTGCTTGGTTTTGGACTAGACTCCCATAGGCTTTAGGTACAACTACGTCAAGAAGCCAAAAATAGAAATGATAGCATGCAGGGGATTAAAAAATGGTTTAAAGTAATTTTTCAAAGGCCCTACTATACATATTTAATATTTTATCATGCTTACTTCTTCCTCTTTCTCTGGTTCATAAATCTGTGGCTCAGAAGTTTGCACAGATTCTCAGAAATGATTTTTCTAAATACCATAGTATTTGTTCACAGTGACTGCCGAGTCAATGTCCAACTAAACACATTATCTCCCACTACGTAGAAAATTAGATACTAATACATTTTCTGCCAAATAGGTTTTCTAACTGGAACCACTGTATTTTCCAATGACATGAATACCCTTAAATGTCAATATGAATAAATTACTAATAATGAACTCTTCATTTATCTTTAATGCTTTGCCAAACTCCAGCTTGATTGAAAAGCTGATATTTAGTAGAAAGAAGAAAGGGTGTATCTTGAGGAAGAATCAAACTAACAAGGGTAATAGAGTAGAGCATTTCTGTGTCAAATTCCATCTGAACAATCCTGTTTTTTTAAAGGTCGGAAGCCCATACATACTTGGAATTTTTGCTCTCTCTGCCTTTGATTTAAAGTGCAAAATCAAAAGCCTGTTCTATGAAAAGAAGTGCACTTGAGCAACTCAGGAATGTGCTGAAGCCTTTCTACAAATTAATCTCTTCTTTAGTGAAGTGAAACATCGGGACCATTCAGGGACAGTGGGAGGGTCTCAGGGGCTTGAATTTGAGCCAAGCTTAATGAGAAGGAGTTGGAGGCAAAATGGAATTGAACTGTACCTTGTTAACTGTTGAAAGCTGTGAATGAGGTGGACTTACTGGCCAAGAATTCTTTTCCTTTGTTGCAATTAACTGCAGTATAGGGGATACTTGTGAGGTAGTTTTCACGATCTTTAAAGATCATTTTTTTAAAAAATTATACATTTTTACAAATGATTTATAAATTTGCTACTGCTTTGAAGACATATAAATTCATGTTTCAGTGAAGTAAACATTTATTCATTTCACCATTTTTACTGGGAATCTCTATTGCTAGCCACTGTCTCAGGTGCCAGGGGGAATAGTAGTGTTAAACACAGTCCCTGGCTCCAGTGACTCAACTTCCAGCTGGAATCTCTCAGCCCTAGCAGGAAAGGCCAAAACCAAGAGGACATATATGCATCAGACCTCTCTCTCTGCAGTTCTCTGAGCAAACTATTCCTCTTAGGGGATCATGGCATATTGTTTCCAGGGAGACCTTTCTGTGCTGCAGATGCTGGTTTCTTCCATCAATTTCTTCTATAGAAAACTGCTAACTAAACCTGCTAAGCTGGAAGCCTGGTAACCTTGAGAATGAATGTTCAACTATGACCCGGGGAACATGGATTTATGACAGATAAAAATCAACTGGAACAAGTTACTAAAATGTTCTATGACTCAGTTTCCTGTTTTGTAAAATGGAGATGGGATCTGCTCTGCAGGGTTGCTGGGAAATGTGTGCTGACCACAATTGACCACAATTCGCAACGTCTCAACATGTTTCTCAGATGTGACATACCTGATTAGCACCTTTGGATCATTCAAAAATACACCAATTTTATTATACATATTGTCTCTTAAAAAACGAGCTGCTAAATTGTTTAATGGGTAGAACAATTCTATGCCTAGAATGGCCATTGAATCAGGTGTGGAACCACAGGTGTCTTGTAAGTGGCTCTCCAGAGCGAAAGGTTCCAAAGCTAACAGTAAAGTGGGTAAGGTGTGCCCTGAAGTGTAGGAAGAAAAATTGAACTCTTTATAGGTTTTATCTCATCTGTTACTAGTCTCTGTTTTCACATATTTCATAATGTGCATATTAGAATAGTAGATGTATTCATATATACAAATATGTAATTTATTAATAAGTACACATATTTTGGGAGCGCATGCTTAATTTTTAATTGACAGACCTTATAGCCAAAAGAGTTAAGAGACCACTATTTTAGAGGAGGAACAATTAAACTAGTCAGTCAAAAGTAATAAAGAAACCAAAACCATGTAGGAAGGCAATATTCCAGGTTAATTCAAATTGTCTTTAATGTGAATGGACAAAAACCCTCTAAATATAAAAAGTAACTTGTTTCTGTTTTTGTTCATTTTATTTATTTTGAGACAGGGTCTTACTTTCTCTCTCCCAGACTGGAGTGCAGTGGTGCGTCGCACTCCCAAGCTCAAGTGATTCTCCTGCTTCAGCCTCCCAAGTAGCTGGGATTACAGGCGCGCACCACTACCACCCGGCTAATTTTTGTATTTTTAATAGAGATGGAGTTTCACCATGTTGACCAGGCTGGTGTTGAATCCCTGACCTCAAATGATCCACCTGCCTCAGCCTCCCAAACTCTTGGGATTACAGGCCTGAGCCACTGTGCCTGGCCTTTTTTTCATTTTAATGCATACAATCTGAATCTTGAATTCGGTAGGGGTTCTTTGCTGGAAGCCTGTTTCTAGAATTAGCTTTCAAGATTCTTCTACAACATGGGAAAAGTTACAAAAATGAAACAAAAATGACTTTGTAGGCTATTTGCAAGTTCAGGTCACTTTTCCCCTTTCTACCTTACTGTGACCTCTGAGGAAGCTGGCCTCGGGGGCTGCATTATCTAAACTTCATTGGACTCAGAGGTCTGTTTGCATTTGGCCAATGAGAAGCCCTGGCTGAGAATGGAGAGTGGAAGAAGGGAGTGTAGAGCATTGATCACCTCAGTTCCTGCTGGGCCAAAGTGGCAATTTGGTGATGGCTGGAGGGCCACAGACCCTGTCCAGCAAATTTTTCCAAAAGGCATTGCTCTGTCTGAGCTCCTGATGCTCATCGCTCCCTTTGATTCTTCAGGTTGAGATGGGTTAAGAGCAATCTGGCTCTTGCTGTATTATTTCTTGTTGGTTGAGTTGTAAATAGACCTATTATTAAACTCTTCCTCATTGTCCCTTTTGGTTTACATCTATTTCCTGTTAGTATCCTGGCAGCATATCCAATTCAATTCAATCTGCATATGAAAATATATACGTGGATAGTATGTAGACTCCAATCTGGCTATTTCCAAAGTTCATCTGTTCTTATATTCAAAGAGGATTTTGTTTTGTATATAAAAGAAAGTCGATTAGGGAGACTTGATTCACACAATCACAAGGTGAAGTCCCACAATAGGCCATCTGAAGGCTGGGAAGAAAGAAGCCAGCAGTGGCTCAGTCCAAGTCCAAAAGCCTCAAACCCAGAGATTTGATGCTCTTCTTGTTTAAAGCAGTTTTTTTAACAATATATGTAAAAGTACTATTTTAATAGAAATATCATGACTTTAATTTTTCTTACATGATGCAAACATATCCCTAGAAAAGGAGGCAGGTATCTCCTCAGAAATTGGCCTTTTAGAACACATACCAAGCAAGTATAATACCATATCAACAGAAATACAAAATATAGTGATAATGTGCTTAATAGATAATGCGCTAATGCGCTTAATAAAGTTTAATTGGAAATCAAGTGTCAGACTGTCCTGGGGGAATAAGTTAACCTTCTAGGGAATGCAAATATTTCACTACTGCATGACTAAGATATACAGAGATACAAATGTAAGAGGAAAATAAGTTTAAATTTTTGAAAGAACCCAATAGTGCTACCATTACTAACAATAATATCTAACATTTATTGAGTGCTTAAACTTTGTGCTTTACATGTGTTACCATGTTTAATTCTCATAATAACCCATAAAGCAGTTACTATCCCCATTTTTTTGACACAGAAACTGAAGAAAAGGAAAAGAAATTTATCCAAGATAGGAGTCTACAGAATCTGGCTCTCTCTATATATGATGATGATTTTACAAGGTCAGTAAAAGAAAACTAATGTTCACTTAAGAAAAAATAGTTTATGCATTAATATTTTTTTCTTTAATTCTAAGGAGTTCATCTCAGCAATTACAATAGAATTATTCCAGAAAGGGAGAAAAAAGAGCTCTAGGAGTCCTGTAAGACATATTAAAGGGATACGTTAGAAAGAGAAAGGTGGGGGGGGAGGTGGCTTTTCAATAGTTAGAATATTTGTATGAAAGTCATTTTTGAAGCAAATAAAGGAATCTTTTAAAGTAGAGACCCAGTTGTCCAAGGTCTTTCCCAAGCTGGTCCGTATCAACCAATAGTCTGGAATACTTAATGGGCAGAGACAAATAATTCAACCTAAGTTTACAATTAGAAGTAAACTTGAAAATCTACTCCCTTTTAGAAATGGTGAAATCTCCTGGATGTTTAAAACATGTCACATTGGCTCTTATTTATCACATTCAACTGTCAGTTTTGCCTAGGAGAAAACAAATACAGTTGGCAAACTGTGGCCCTAACTGTTGTTGGGGTAAGTGATTTATCCTGCATGGAACAAAGGGAAAGGGCCAGAGTGCTGAGTTCTGGTCTATTCTGATGCTGAGCAGTCCCCATCCTTGCTCTCAAAATCTGGATGTCTTTTGGCCAGGCTATATTGTAGATCAAATACATTCCAGCAGAAGATCTCTTACTAACCTCCTAGGATTACCCTGCATTTCTGAGACTGAAGTTCAGGCTCTGGAGAATTAACATTTCCCATAGAATGAAGAGTGTAAGATGTATCAAAAGAGGAAAAAAAAAAAAAAAGCAACACAAGAATGCATGTCATGTGAGATCATTATTAAGAACCAGAAGAATTTCTGATGGAAAATTCCAAATTCTCTTTGAACAACTGCCTTGGGGAATGTCCTTTAGGAAACACTGGACTTACATATAATATGTCATTAACTGTGCTTATGATTTCCTTTCAGTGTTTATAGGTAGGAGTTAAGGCGTGGAATGTACAAATGTAACACAAAAATTACAGTACAGTGATTGCTTCCTTTGCCAATTCACTCTCCAGAAAGTCATGAAATTCATTGCAGCGTCATCTCTGGTATGAACAGCATACCAGAAACTTAAGCTTTTACCTTTCTTTAACCTCACAAGTTAGATCTGACCCAGAGTCTGTATTGTACACATATTGTGACAAGCACTTTGAGTGAATTTGGAAATGTGGGGCACTCCTACTGTAGACAAGTCCAAAATCTCTCTGTACCAGAGACATCTTCCTCAGCCTTACTTATGTATGATAGGAGGAAGAGACATTGTCTCTGGAAAAAAATAATAATGTGGAGTTGGATTCCTGGGCTGTTCTCCACATTAGCCATTGCTGATTTGTCGCGTTTGGGGACTGTGGCTGTGGAGAAATTATGGGTTGAATTGGTGAAAGTCCAGTGCTAATGGGGCCAAAGTTCACTGGCCTGGTTTGTCTCTTGGTGGCTGTCATAACTGTGACCCCATTTGGCACAGTTATGCCCTTTGCCGCCTGGGTGATTTGGTTCTCATCGCACACATGGGGCTGAGAGGGTTGAGCTTAGTGCTCTAATCTGATGACAGAACTCTGGTGTCAGCCTAGCTGCCTTTACTCTGAGACCTTGAACAACATGTTTAGGTTCTGTCTAGGCTTCAGATTCCTTTCCCAAAGGGCTTTGGAAAGCATTTGTCATGATTTCACTAACTAAATGCTTAGACCACTGATGGTAGGAAACACAGTTTATATTTCTTCTCTTTCCCATGCAGTGCCTTACTTACTGCCAAATATAAAGATAGAAGTAGAAAATTTTAAGGAAATTGATTCATACTGGGTCACCAGAATAGACTCAATGGTAAAAAATTTCCTTTATAATATATAGTAGTAATCATAATAGTAGTAATGTAATCATAGCAGTAGTAGTTGTAATAATAGTAATAGAGCAACTAACATTTGTCAATTGCATGACATCTTGTGAAAGGTTAGTATCTAATTTAATATTCGTAACAATACTCTGAATCAGGTACTATTACTGTATCCAATTTATGGCTGAGGAAGCTAAGAGAAAGAATGCTCAGGTTACTTGACTGAGATCAATAGCAAGTAAATGACAAAACCAGGAATTGCTGAAAGTTGGTTCCAAAGTTAATGTCATGTAGCCACTTCATAAACTGAATACTTTTGGACACTGTATATCTTATAAATACAAGCATCTCTACAATCTATTTGGCTTCTGTAGAGTATTTGACATACAGAAATTTCTCATGTGTCAAAATGTTTGAAAAATCAGGGATTAACTAATGGAAAAATAGAGAAAGGAGAAATACAGTATGATTCTACCTGACTACTTTTCTTATCATCGGGCTCCTACCATGAGAGAGTTTCAGAATTTAGAAAACATAAAACTTTCCAGAACCGATTTCTTTGGTCTTCTTTATAAACAGAGTAAATTAGATTGCCCTGTGTTTATTTATTCTCACTGGGAAAACATCTCATTTGCTCCCATTGAGATTTTCAGGTTAAAACTGGTTTTCCTCTAAAGGCAGATTGGTAAATTAACAAAGGAACTGCAAGCAATCCTCAGACTAACTGCATAGTTGAGAAAAAGCATGAATACTTCTAGCTCCTTTCATTCCATGAGGATCAATTTCACCTGTGGTTCTTTACGCCTTAAGGGCATTATTGATCCAGCTTCCTGTTTCACCAGGTCTTCACTCAAAGCTGCCTAAAAAAAAAAAATACACAAACAACAACAACAGCAACAAAACCCTTTTCCATCCATCTCTATAACTAGAAGACCAGGAGGCAATCCACTGAAAAATTTAGTAATGTTTGGACATGTTTTAAATCAGCAATACTGGTACTATGAATTGCCACTCCCCCACCCCCAATTCATGTGTTGGAGCCCTAACCCCTAAAGTGATTGTATTTGGAGACTGAGTTTTTAGAAAGTAAAGTTAATTGCAGTCATAAGGGTAAGGTCCTAATCCGATGGGATTGGTAGCCTCATAAGAAGAGGACAATAGATCTTTTTCTTTCCCTAGGAACATGCACCATGAAAGGCCATGTGAGCACACAGCAAGATGAAATCTTCCATCTGCAAGCCAGGAAGAAAGCCTTCACTAGAACCTAACCATTATGGAACCCTAACCTTTGACTTCCCGCCTCCAGATTGCCAGAAAATGTCTGTTGTTTAATCTACACTGTTTATGGTATTTTATTACAGCGGCCCAAGTAGACTGAGACAACTGGAGAGCTACTTTGTTTCCTGTGTGTATGTGTTTTCAGTTCAGCTTTTATTTGCTTTTCTTTCTCTTTCCCCTCTCCTTGCTCCCTTTCTCTTTCCACTTTCCCACTTTTTTTTTTTTTTTTTTTTCTTAAAATTAGACCCAAAAACCTGTCCTTGAGACAGCCAAGTTGGCCTTTAAGGGCAGCGTTTACATGACTTCCAGTCTTTTCTTAATTGACTATCTCTGAAAAATGTAGTAGGCCACTTTAATTTTCATACTTTTAGTCTTTCTTCCCACATATTGCAGCATCACACCTTCTATTCCTCAATGCCTCTTGTCCTCCTTGCCCAACATGTTCAGAATCTATGCTAAAGAAAGGGCTGTTCCTATGTGAGTGCATGCTATGTGCATAAGAGAATGGTACTTTCTCATTGCAGAGAAAAATAGATAAATAAATAAAACCTTTTTCCTCTCTTGTGGGCTGAAATATGTTCTCCCAAAATTTACATATTGAAGCCCTGATCCCTAGTACCTCAGAATGTTACTGCATTTGTAGGTAGTACATTACAGAAGGTAATAAAGTTAAAATTAGGCCATAGTGTGAGTCTTAATGGTATCTCACTAGTGTCCTTACAAGAGAAGATTAGGGTTTACAGAGAAACACTAAGATTTCACAGGCACACACTAAGAAAAAAAGACCATATTAAGGGACAGTGAGAAGATGGTCATTTCCAAGTGAAGGAGAGAGGCCTGAAAAGAAACCAAACCAGCTGATACCTTGATCTTGGACTTCCAGCCTCCAAAATAAATTTGTACAGTTTAAGCCCATCTTGTCCATGCTATATTGTTACAGCAGCATGCGCAAACTAGTACCTCCTTTTTAAGGCATTTGGAACATTGATGAGAGAGGGGTGTGATTTTTGAGGGCAGAAAATCTCAGCACGTTTGATATCACATCAGTAAACAATAATCTACTCTACATTGGCTTTGATGAGCAAGTAGGATTTTTATTCTAGTTTGGCTTAGAATCATAAAATCATAATAACCTTAGATACTACCTATTTCAATCTCCTCATTTTATATGTAATGATACAGAGGTGCATATGGAAGAACTGACTTGTCCAAAGCCCCACATTAGTTTTTGATCAAGTCAGGACTACAGTTCAAATACTTCAACTTCCAGTGCTCTTTTTGGCTACTGTATAAAATGTCATATCTCATTTTTATGTTTTTCCATCAATTCTGTTGTATTTACTAACCATCATAGTCTAAGCATTTACCTTTTCAAAATATTTTTGTTTTCTCTCAAGTATTTATTTTGGAATACATATTTTTTCTACCTGAGTTTACTATCTTGTAGGCTGAAAGATTTTCAGGGAATACACCAACAAGTTTTTCCACTTCTTGGATTCTTTTCCTCAGTTTTTAAATTATGATGGTTTTCACCTATGCTTCCCAGCTCCATTAAAAAGTTGGTTTTGCTGAAATAAACCTGCATATTTTTGTTTACTAAATGTACTGAATTTGTAATTGTAGACCTTAATTTGATTATAACCACTGTCCTTGAATTTTCTTCACTCCTGTATTACTAGATTTCCTCACCACTACCACCACCAACACCACCACCACACACATAAAGTCCCTGGCTGTTTCCATTTTTAATTCTGCTTTCCTGAGCTACAAAAGAGCCTTTGTTATATCCTCACAGGGAATGTTGATGCCTTGTGAAGTCTAAGGATGGCTTTGTCAGATAGAGTCTTGGCACAGCCTCAAATAAGTACTCAATCTTCATATGTTGATGCTATGTATAGACATGTGTGGTACTTTGTAGGCATTTTGAAGACCATCTCTGATCTTTTTTCAAATAAGATAGTTCAATTTTAACATCAGATTGAAGCTGTACAGAATTTCATTTTCAATGGTTGAAAGTGGATTTTAATCAAAGGGTTATCATGATGATGAAAGGAATTGTTTCTAGGAGACATAAAAGTTTACAAAGCAATTTTATATACAGGATTCCATATGCTCTTTACATTAAGCATGTGGAAGTTTACTGTATGAATGTTATATTCATTTTTCAGGTGAGCAAATGGATAACAAGAAATCTTTAACAACTGACTCAAAGACAAACCACTAAATTGAAACCCGTAATCTTTGTCTCTAGTCCCTTCCATTTTATTCTCTTTTGTTTTTGTTTTTTTTTTTTGCACGTTGCATTTTTGCATTTCTATATCAGTTAGTGTATTATTTTATTTGTGAAACATTTTAATGAATTTTTCTAGGACACAAGGATAGAAAAATAAGCTGGAACTAAATGAAATTAATGGTTAGTTCCAGTTAATACTCAGATACTTAAAAAAAATCACCAGTTAATTAATTTAGTTCTGTCTTCAAACTAATTTATATTTTTGAATATAGTTTCAGTTACTTATGACCTAGAGTTTTTAATGCCTAATTCTGACCTACAGTGCTCTACTGGGTAAGAAATACAGCCCCACACCATATCTGAACCTTCCTTAGTGGTCATGAGGGTCTGTTTGACAATATAATACAGCTTAGAAGCTTGGAAAAGGCCTGATATTTCAGAGGTTAGTAGCTTCTCAGACCAGGCTTTGGAGCTTGTCTTTCACCAATAAGGCAACAATATACCTAACCTCTAAGGCTCATTAAAAAAAAAAATTCTAAAAAAGGAAATGACTAGAGTATCTCTATCATGTGTTTGTTAGAAACATCTAATAAAATAATACATGAACATTGCTCAGCACTGTGTGATACCTTGCTCCTAGACACTTACCTTTCTAAAATCAAAACGAAAAAATCAAAGTTTCAAATGTTTTGTGCCTTCATTATGAAAACCAAATTCTGTGTGCGTGGCTTCATACTCAAAATCATTCACAATTTCAATTTGTCTTAGCATTTCAATTTCACCTCCCACCCTGACTGACAAGTTTCTTCCCAACCACTCTAAAGTAACCACCATCCTTTGTTACCTAATCTGCTCTACAATTCCTGTTTCACTAAGCATTTGCATTTTCTTTATCCTGCTGCCATTTTTTGGAAGATCCTCTCCTCCTGCAAAAGTCCCTCAATTCTTCAATTGAAGTACAATGAACATTTATTGCTTTGCTCTTCATTCCCAAGCTGCTTCACCCCAATCCCATATCCATAGTAATTTTTGTTATATTCAGGCCTTCAGCTGATTGGGAGGGCATTACAGAGGGCAGATCACGTTAAGGACGGCAAACTCCTTTACTCAATCGACCAATTTAAGTGTTAATGTCATCTCAAAATGCCCTTGCAGGAAGACTCTGAATGTTTTACCAAATATCTGGGCATCCCATGGCCCAGTCAAGTTGACAAAATAAAATTAACCATCACAGACTCCTTTGTTGATCTTGCTCATGTAACTTCACCCAAATTGTTTTTATCCCTGTGTTCTTTGACCTGGGATTGAGAATAACACATCCAACCCCCTGCTTTGATGTTAGTGTGCAAGATGACATCATTTTAGGGAATTCATTGTATCTATTAGTAAGATTGTTCAATAGAAAAGTAGTACTTTTTTCATTATCAGCTTACAAAGATGAAAATAAAAAAATAAAATAAATTTTATCTCAATGACCCTGAAGCCAAGATGAATTTTCATCTTTTACATGAATGAATAAAAATAATTTCCAGGCTGAGTGTAGTGCCTCATGCCTGTAATCCCAGCACTTTGGGAGGCTATGGCAGGTGGATCACCTGAGAGGTCAGGAGTTTGAGACCAGCCTGGCCACCATGGCAAAAACCCATCTCTACTAAAAATACAAAAAATTAGCCAGGTGTGCTGGCAAACACCTGAAATCCCAGCTACTTAGGTGGCTGAGGCAAAAGAATCACTTGAACCAGGAGGCAGAGGTTGCACTAAGCCACGATCGTGCCACTGCACTCCAGCCTGGATGACAGAGAGAGACTCTTTCACAAAAATAAATAAACAAATAAATAAATAAATTCCACATATATCTTATATTTCTAAAATGAAAATATTAAGAGAAAATGAAAGAGATAAATGTCTGAGATCAGGATTTCTTAATCATTTAATGTTTTCTGTTGTAGACATATCCACCAGACCTACCTTTTGCCACTCTTCATCACTGTGAGATCCTCCTAAGAGAGAGAGAATCACAGAAGACTAGATAAAGCAATGTTTTAGTATTTGGTCTCTCCAAGCTTCAGTTTACATATTTAAAATGGTATAATATTAATCATTACCTTTCACCTGTTGTGAAACTTAAATCATACCATCAACATAACTAAATAAATAGTAAGGATTAGATTTTAATATTAAAGCTAGTCTTTTAATGACAAACTTTGAATAAATCTCCTGCTAGTATTTAATCTTTGGTTTTATTGATACTAGTGACAATCCTATATTGCTTTCATGAAATACCTATGACTTGAATCTGTGATAAGGCATTTACAAAGAAGACTGGCAGAGAAATGGCTTTTGGATAGAATCTAGAGGCCTATGCACTTATTCATGCATCCACTTGTCCATCCTTCAGTTCATCTCAGATTTTCATTTATTTGCTGAATACATATTTGACTTGTAACTTTATCATGCCAAAAAGGTATGTTGGTTTTGGAAATGTGTCAATCTGCCTGAGTTAAACTTTACTTTCCAGAATTTTCGTTCCTGTATGTTTTCTATCATACAGGATGGGAAACATCATATTCTGGTGTGGGCCACAAGACAGATTCTTGCATGACATCTGGGGGGTGCAAGTGAAAAAGCAGCCATGAAGTGTCTCACATGCATTGTCTTTCATCTCCTGGTGAACCACATTGACGTAAGGCAACGTAGGGCCAGGCTTGCAACTATACCACCACTTTAGCCTAGATCCACGTTAGCCCCTCTGCCTCCTAGACCAGGTGTATGTGTTTCTCTGTGTGATAAGGGCCTTGCTTCTGGAGGGCATCCATACCATAAAGGTAGGAGTCAAAAAGAACTGGTATGGGCTTTATTCTGTCCTCATAGGCTCCAGCTGTTGCTCGTGGTTTCTAGCTTAATCTTGTCCTCCCCAGGTTTATAACCATCTTCCTTTCCCAATTACATTCCCTGTAGACTTCAAGCTCTAGCATCATCAGACATGTAAGCAATACCCTTACAGATACTGCTTAACTTGCCTCCACAAGTGAATATAGTCAAATCTGTGTCATAACTTCTTTCATACAAATATATATTCTAGAGTTCCTGCTTCTGATTAAACCCTGACTGATGTGCAAACCTAGTCCTGGGTCTGTTATCAATACTGTTAAAGGTTGAATCATCTTTTGTAGGTTAAAAGAACATTAGAATTAATTTTATTTTATTATGTTATTTATTTATTTATTTTTGAGACAGAATCTCACTCTGTTGCCCAGACTGGAGTGCAGTGGCACGATTTCCGCTCACTGCAACCTCCACCTCTTGGGTTCAAGTAATTCTTGTGCCTCTGCCACCTAAGTAGCTGGGATTACAGGTGTGTGCCAATAGGCCCAACTAATTTTTGTATTGTTAGTAGAGATGGGGTTTCATCATGTTGGCCAGGCTGTTCTCAAACTCCTGGTCTCAAGTGATCTGCCCGCCTTAGCCTCCCAAAGTGCTGGGATTACAGGCATGAGTGACCAAACCTGATCTAGAATTTATTTTAGATAAACTCACTTGAACATGACATTGTCATAATCAAAATGTATTTGTTGTATGAATCAGAAATACTTTAATTGACCTAAGTAGTTTTTAAAAAATTTTTGAATTCCCTAGATGCTTCAATTCTTAAAACTAATAATTTTTTGAACTAGCTTTAAAACATGTATTTCCAAATAGTTCTTCACTTTTTGACCAGCTTTAAACATTGTGAATATTCACATTCGAACATTGTGAATGTTTGCTTGAGTGGTTGCTGTTGCTACTGCTTCTTTTTCTTCTTCTTTTGTCTTCACCAACACTTAAATTATATCTTCCCTGTTTCTCATCTGCTTCAAAGTATACTTCATCCTCTTATTGCACTTATATCTGTTTGCTACATAACTGGTTTTGGGGTGTTAAAGCAAACTAAATATATGGCCTGACAAGGACTCTTTACTTCTACATTTGAGTCCTTGTGGACAAACCGTAACCTAGCTTGATAGTAAGAAAAGACTGAAAACCTAACTTAGGAGTATGTGCTTGTAACAATAGCTGAGTCTTAGCCCATCCCAGAGGCCACACTTCAACCACTCATAGACTGCTAAGTATTCAAACTGTGTTCAAATAAGGCAAACGCCAACCTGTAACCAATCCAGCTGTTTCTGTACCTCACTGCTGATTTCCTTATATCACTTCCCCTGTCATGTCTATACATTTGTTCTGACCACGAGGTATCTCTGAAGTCTCTCTGAATCTGCTGATTCTGGGGGCTGCCTGATTCGCAAATCATTCATTACTCAATTAAACTCCTTTACAATTAATTTGCCTGAAATTTTTCTTTTAACGGGGGAAATGGGATGCAAATGATAAATGGGAATGAATGTTAAATATCTTCTTCAGTTCATCACTTGCTTTAATAAGGAAATTTATATAAATATAAATTTTAATTTAGCTATTAAGAAGGTAGAAGTTTTCCAATTTCTTACAATCATGGCATTACAAAAAATCAGGGGAAGAACCCAAACTAACAAAGTTAGCTAATATTATACTCAAGAATGTATAAATGTTTAACTAAACATATGTAAGTTTCAACTCTTTCCATCTTTTTTTCATTCTTTTCCTTAATCTATTATTCATTCATTTCTTAATTCACTTATTTAACTAATAGAACTAGATATCCAATACTAGGTAGGAACAATATTAGGTGTTGGAAATAAAATCTTGCTGCACATAGCTAATGAGGAAAACAAGTAACAACAACAAAAATACATTATTACACCATGTGTTAAGCATTATGCTAGAGAGAAGTACAGAGAACACAGACTGAGAGCAAGGTCATCTTCACCCACAATGGGGCAACCTCAACTAACAGGGCTGTCAGGAGATGTTTGTGAAGGATAAAACCAGCACTGAGTTTCGAAGCAAAAGAATGAATGAGTGAGTACAAATAGAAAGATGTTGCAGGGAGGCATAGAGTGGCCTGTAGCCTTTTGAGAACTGCAAACAGGTATCAGCGTGGATGAATGTTGAAATATGTAGGTGGGGGAAAGAAAAGGTTTTGTGAGCACGGCATAGGTTCTGTCAACACGTTTGGACTTTATCTCAAGGGCAAGTAGTGTCTAGAAAGATTTTTAAGTGCAAGAATAATAACATCACATTTAAGCTTGACATCTAAACATATATAACTAATAATCATCTCAAGTTCAACATAGGTCAAAAGATATCCATCATCTTCTCCTGAACTTCACTGTTCCCCCAGGCTTCTTCATTTCAATAAATAGCAGCGCCATTATCTATTGGAACCTCAAGCCAAAAACTTAGGCATCATTCCTACTTTTCTCTTTTACTCAAGCTTCAGATTCAATTCATTAACCAATTCACAGACACTAATTCTTAAACATATTCTGAATCCTTTCACTACTCTCCATGCCCACCCCTACAAGCTTAAACTGACATTTGTTTCATTGCCTCTGCAATAGCCTTCTACATAATTTGGAGTACCTATCTAGTCTTTTTTTTTCACCACATGTATTTTAATTCTCTGCATAAGATCTATAACTCTCTGACGCTGTATTTTTTCTGCTTATTTGCTTGTTTTTATACATCTCTTTCTAGAATGTAAATTCCCTGACACGAAACACTGGTCTTGTTCACCAACACATAGAACCCTATCTGGCAATTAGAATGTACTTACAAAATGTGCACTACATTAGGGCACATTTAAAATGTAAGAATTATAAAAATATAAAAAATTAAATATAAAAATATAAGAATTATTATTCTGGAGACCATGTAAAATATAGTTTAGAGAGGGGCAAGCCTAGAGACAAGAGTGGTTAAAAGGTTTTGTTGTTGTTTTAATAAAAGTTCTTCTTTTGGCCGGGCGCGGTGGCTCACGCCTGTAATCCCAGCACTTTGGGAGGCCGAGGTGGGCGGATCATGAGGTCAGGAGATCGAGACCATCCTGGCTAACACAATGAAACCCCATCTTTACTAAAAATACAAAAAATTAGCCGAGCGTGGTGGTGGGCGCCTGCAGTCCCAGCTACTCGCTACTCGGGAGGCTGAGGCAGGAGAATGGCATGAACCCAGGAGGCGGAGCTTGTAGTGAGCCCAGATGGCACCACTGCACAGCCTGGGTGACAGAGAGAGACTCTGTCTCAAAAAAGAAAAAAAAAAAAGTTCTTCTTTTGCCCACTGCATTAGTTTCAACTACAGCTTTGATGGGCAGTTCCTGCACCCTTGGCAGCAGGCTACTTCAAGTGTTTCACTTAATTTAGTTTTTCTGCCTCCAGGGATATGTGTAGATTAGCCCAGAAGTTAAGTAGAGTTAATGCACCTGGGACCAGCCTTTCAGCTAATGATGGAAAGGAACAGGAGATAAAAACCTGCTCCCCATCCTTCAGGGACACCTTTGAGACACACTCTACGTAGTTCTGCAGAACTTCCCCAGCACCATGAGCCCCATTGCTCACAGTGGTAGTCAGCACAATAACATATCTGTGATTGACTTTTCTTCCTTCCTTGTCTCACTCTTCCATCTACCTTAGTCCTGCTCTCCAATCAACTGAGGTCACTTCACCAATCACAGGAAACTCAGACTGATACAAGCCTTTCAGACGCTTTATCTCTCTGTACAGAGAGATAAAGATTTTCAAGCTCTTTGGGTGGTGAAATTGACAGGAATGTGAGATTGCTGCAATGGTAAGATGGGAAGAAACTATGTGAGGGAAGAGTCAAGAATGATTCTCAGGTGTATGTTAATATAATCCATATTAGCATGAAAGAAGAAAGGGAATACAGTCAATAGCTCAATATCTCAGTTTTCTTTTTTAAAAAACTTTTATTTTAAGTTCAGGAGTCCAAGTACAGGTTTGTTTCATAGGCAAACTTGTGTCATGGGGATTTGTTGTATAGATTATTTCATCACTCCGGTATTAAGCCTAGTACCCATTAGTTATTTTTCCTGATCCTCTCCCTCCTCCCACTCTCCACCCTCTGAAAGGCCTCAGTGTGTGTTGTTCCCTTCTATGTGTCCATGTGTTCTCATCATTTAGCTCCCGCTAATAAGTGAGTCAAGCACGTGCACAAGTCCAGAAAGTAGCCAAATGTGAAAGTATGGAGCTCAGAAAAAATTCTGGAACACAACTACGGATTCTTGGAGTCAGCATCAGCTTGGTGTGGAAAATAGTTGAAGCAAAGGAGAAAAGAAGGTATTAAAAGAGAAATCGGTAGAATGAGAAAACAAGAAGAAAAAAATAGACCCTTGTACTAATTACCCCTTGGAGTCCTGAAATGAAGACAATAAATGGCCACATCTGAATGGTCTCAGTTATTCAGTGGTACAGTGGTTTTACTACTTACTAACTGATGTTTTGTACTTTTATTAGTCTATGGTCAAATATTTTGACAGCTTGTTTAAGCACACATAAGCATAGTTCCCATTGTAAAAGAGTTTTGAAACTTTAAGATACTAACATGCTTTGAGAATTTTCAAAAAAGGGAAATATAATATGCGGTATTTTCCAATATTTATTTGATGTGTTTTTTTCCTCAAAGAACCACAGGAAATATTTTTTGGCATGTATTTACTTAGCTGTACTTGAAGGTTCTTTCTAGTTAGGGTATCCAATAATTACATTATCTAAAAGTTGAACTTGTCTCTAGGAATAGTTTTTTTCTGACCCTAAGGACAATGAACTCTTCACATCTCAAGGGTCCTATAAACTGCAATAAATGTAGAAGCCGAAATTAATTTGCCAAAGCAAATCATGGTATTAAAACATTCTTAGTGAAGCTTAAAGCATGAGAGGGAACATGAGAAAATATTCAGAAGTTCACAAATTTAAGAAATAAAATGTTAAAATAAACTATCAAAAAAATTAGCCGGGCATGGTGGCGGGCACCTGTGGTCCCAGCTACTCGGGAGGCTGAGGCAGGAGAATGGCGTGAACCCAGGAGGTAGAACTTGCAGTGAGCTGAGATTGCGCCACTGCATTCCAGTCTGGGCGACAGAGTGAGACTCCATCTCAAAATAAATAAATAAATAAATAAATAAATAAATAAATAAATAAATAAAATAAAATAAAAATAAACTATCATGTCTTGCATATTTCTGCCAGATGACATGACGAATGCATGACTCTGGTCTTATCTGGGCTCTCACAGGCTAAGCACCCCCATCCTTGCCTTCTCTAACCCCAGAGAGATTCAGCTACTGCAGGTTTCCAGGCCTGCAGACTCAGGCAAGTTTTGATGCCTCAACTCGGCTCACCCAACAAGGTCTGAGGATGAAGATCTTAGTCCTGCAGAAAATTTTCAAACCCCCTAGACGATATAATTGACCAAGCTGTGGCCTGAGTCTTTTTCCCCAGCTCTGATTGCTCCCTCTGATTGTCCCATTCTCTGATTGACACTTCCATTTTTATCTAGATAAGAAGGCTTGCCTTGGATTCTAGTTTTTTGCTTGTGGCTCTGACAGCCTGAAAAGCTCTTTGCTGGGGTCAGAGATGGAGTGTATGTAATCTGTGAAAGCTGTCCTTATACTGTAGCGTCTGATTTGTTTTAAACCAGATGGATTCTACTGTAACCAAACTCTAGCATTCCACTGAGTATAAATATGCCACTACTTCGAGGTGCCTACTGCTATGCTCATCTATTTTAATGGCTACCCTAATGGAAGCATAAAATAAGACTGATTGCCAATGCTGTCAAGGACATTGTGATGTGAAGGCTATTAGTAAGCAAGCAAAATAGCTCTATATACAGATAAACATGCATACCATTATAGTGCATCCCCTTCATAGATGAATCACTTATCCAGATTTTCCTAATAGAAACAGAGAGAAAAGACAGAGGGTGAGAGAAAAAAAAACAAAACCTTAAGAACATATTGCCCAAAACCTAAGAGTGAGAGAGGGCAATGACACATGATCCCTTTCTGATTCATTCAACAGACTTTCACTGAGAACTATACATCAGACACTTCTATATGCAGGAAACAAAATTACCAAAAGAGAAATAAAAAAGCTCTCCCTTTATGCGCTATTCAGCAAGTATATTCATACCACATCTGCTCTTAAAGTACATTCAGCTTATCTGGATAGACCCAATTAAGCACAGTCCATTTGTTTAAATATCAGATTTGAAACTTGCTTTTCTATAGTAAATAAGAAGACTAAAACCAAGAACAATTTTTGTTAGACAAAGAATATGGCCATATAAATGTTTTATTTATGTCTGTTACATTTACTAAGAATTGAATGGAGTTTTAATGTGGAAATTTTAGAGACAAAGGAAAATAAAAGGTTTAAATTTTTTTTTTGGAGAAATGGGGTCTCACTATGTTGCCCAGGCTTGTTTTGAACTCCTGAGATTAAGAAATCCTTCCACTTTGGCTTTCCAAAGTGCTGGGATTACCCCTGTGAGCCACTGTGCCCAGCCAAGAAATTTTTTTGAATGCTATGCTGTCTAAAGAATTAATTTGTTCACAAGCATGATTAATTATAATATAAATAACCAATAATAACTTTTATTTAATCGTCAATTTCAGTTCATGAGAAATTGAAAAAACAAGAAAATAGACAACTCAGGTGGGTGCCATAAAAATTCTAAACAAAACCTGAGGAATCATATGTATTTTCCTCTCCTTGAACTCCTCTTTAGTATCTGGAAGGCTGTTTCCTTCTTTGAAAGTTTGTGATCTGTGAAGACTCTTAGCTGCTCTTGGAACAAATATAACTTATTGCTCGGGGGGAATATTCCCTCATAACTTGATCCTGCTAATGGTTATCTAACCTATTTGATATCTCTTTGGTATTTGTTAGTTTATGTCATCTTCTTTTATAAAAATCTCATCTTATTTTGCTTTAACATCACCATTATTTCCCATTCTCCTTTTACTCATATTCTTTCTCAATCTATTTTTAATGTAACCATATCTTGAACATTTATATTACCCACACTCTTTAATTCAGTCCCTTTGTTATTCATTAATGAAACCTGGTTTCAAGATGCTTAGCTGATATAAAAGATATATAGATAGATAGATAGATAGATAGATAGATAGATAGATAGATGGTTTGTAGCTATGGCGTCTACTCCATCATTAATTAATTAATTTCTTAATCCAATTAAAATTTTAATGAAGTGGCCCTTTCCTATACGTGATCATCCCTGGTCCAACATGTGGCCTTGTTATTCCACCATTTTGTCTGGAAAGATAATTAAGGTTAAAAGTATTTCAGCAGAACTGTAAATGTACTAGAAGTGAATGGATGACAGATAATAAAATCTTTTCTACTGAGCTTAAGAAAACAAAGGAAAAAAACAGATTAATTGAGGTAATGCTGTGGCGGCAGTTCAGAGATTCCAAGCATAGGAAGGTAGTTGGAGCTTGGGAACAAATTAGAACCAGATAGTTAAACGTCAGTTTCTGTCCCTTTGTATCAATCCAATCCTCAGTGGCAATGAGTGTCACAATAATGTTGCATAAAAATATTTTTTTGAAGAGTGCATACGACAGTAATTTATTTTTCTTAGTCATAGGTCTGCAGGTTAGCTCGGGAAGCTTGCTTCAGGCTGCGGCTTGGCTGGGCTTGGTTGGGCTTCCCTGGGCTTCTCTCTAGGCTGAGAATCGAATTTAGGTTCTTTCCCATTCTGCTTGGACCAAAGGATACCTGGAGCATGTACTTCTCGTGATGAATCCCTAAATTACATGAGGCTGAGCAGAAATAAGGGGTATCTATTACAGCCTAAGCCTGCAAGTGCCATTCTGACCCTCCAATCTATATTCCATCGACCAAAGCAAGGAACATGGCCCAACGTCTTGGAGGACAAGAAAATATAATCCAAGTAGGAAGCACTACAAAATTACGTGGCAAAGGATTAGTCATAAAAATTAGTGAATAATGATCCAATTCACCATATCCCTCATTCTGCCTTTTCATCCTGAATTATATAGAATAATTAAGGGCATCACAAGCCACACAGCCTCTCAGGCTAAAAGACCCAGAATGCCTTTGACATATCCACATCCACAATTCCCTTTATCTAGTCAGTTACAGTTTTCTGAATTCTTTACTCTTACTTCCATCCCTTCCTTTGTTTTTATTATCATTGCTTGACTGTAGGTTTTATTTCCTTTGTGTTATTATATAAGTTTATGTTATCTTATAATACAAATGTGATTTATAAACATATATATAATTTAAATGTAAATATTATTTATAAATAATTGCTATGTGCTCTAAACTGGTTTCTCTGCCCCCAACTTCTCCCCACTGTTACCCACTGTTCACATTTCACTTTCTGAGGTACAATTATGGTATTTTATACTCTTCTGAAAGATCTCTATTTATCATTTGCAGAGATTAAAATTCCTTTGCATGGAGTACAAGTCCTTTCATAATCTTCTCCCAACTTATTTTTCAAGTTTAATTTTCTTCAATCACTCAGCATGAGCTCACACTCCAAATATAAACAACTACTTGTCATTCCTGTATAATATGTGTATCTGTATATAGATTTTACCTTAGGACTTTCTCATAACTACCTCTTGAATTTCTGTCTGATTTCTTTTGACTCCACATTTCACGTTTCTGGGAAGTCTTAACTGAGTTAGTCATTCCTTCCCCTGTCCCACCACAATATTCTATGTATCTCATGTATTGTTTGCAATATTATGTGAATGCCTAGTATTAAGCATTATATATACCATATTTTTATCCCTGCTTTGAAATATATGAGCTGGGCATTATTATCTCTATTTTACTGATTAAGAAATTAGGGTTAATAAAACTTAAGTAACTTAGTCAAGGCTGATGTACTTTGTAAGAGAAAAGGACAGTGTTCAAAGACAGGTGCTTTTGACCCCATGGAATGAGTTTTCAAATGCTATGTTATAATGCTTCACAATGTATAATTACAGATTTTTATGTCTATCTACTTTTCTACTTGTGTGAATTAATCAAAACAGAGACCTAGTTTTATTCATTTTTGCAATGTTACCAATCAGTATTCTTGTCTCCAGATATTTGTTAGATAAATTATAGAATGAATAAATAAAAAGTAAAGCAAAGTATAGAACAACTGATTGTCCATTGAAAGGTACCTAGGAGCATAGAAAAAGGAAAACAACAACAACAACAACAAAAGTGAAATATAAAGAAAAGACCTGGAATTCTGGAATTAGAAAGATTAGAATTGAGAGACAACTTAGATGGGGAGAAATTAGAGGTCTTTTCCTACTGGATACCAAGAGATATTGCCTTATAGATTCAAACATGTGCCCTCCAGAATTTCCAACGGGCTAAAGAAGACAATCTCAATGTATTATAGTGCATGCTTTGTTTCATTTTCTTCCTGCTATAAAAATGACTCTGTTCTGGTTTGAGAGAGAAAGTGTTTACTTTTGCTTTTTGAATAATTTTCTGGGGAAAACTTTTATGTTTATGGTGGGGGAGGTGATGGAAAACTTTAAAATTGGCCTTATGATGCAGAACATTTTTAAACTGCTGTAAATAAATTATAAAGTGCTTTTCTTTTTCAGAGGTCTGATTCCTACTTCTCAGACTGTAATTGTTAACATAAACCCTTTAAGGCAGTTTGCCGTCATCTCCACCTGAATGTTCTATCTTGTTTTATCTGTGATTTTTCTCTTGCTTTATTACCTTAAAGAGCCCCTGGCTACTCTCTAATGAGAGAAAATCAGGTTTCTATAGCCCAGGTCACCCTCTATTGCTTGAAGGTAGGAAGAAGAAAGTTCATTGGAAGGTAAAAAACAACAACAACAAAATCTAGCAGACCAAATCTCCTTAACATCCTATTGTAATTACCAAGAATTGCCTGTCTGATACTAAATTTTATTTTTGCTTGACCAAAATTTAAAAAAAAAAAAGAAGAAGAAGAAGAAGAAATAACAACAGTATAATATTTCCCCTTGGGGAATTAGCCTTATCTTGGTATTCTCTATCTCTCCTGTGATCTCTAAATGCTGACAAATCTGCTAAACAACAAGCCCTGGTGTTTCCTTCTGAACCCCCAAGTTATTTCCTTACAGCAGTTGGCCTGGGGCAAGGTTTTTCAATCAGTGTCAGCTTCAAGCCAGCAGCTTGCATCCTACTGCAAAATTTATGGAGCATGTTGATGAGAACAATGTGGCTGCCCGGGAAGATGACTGGGAATTGGCAGAGGAGTTTTGTAGGTCTGAGCTCTGCAGCTGGGCCATTGATTGTTCCTTCATCTGGTTGGACTTCAAAAGGTTGCATGCCTCGTTATCTGTTTTGCACTCCTAGCCAAAAGCTACTTTGGGAGCACAAGATTCCGCTTAAAATACGTTAGTGTTTTCCACAACCCATCTCCGCTTTACAGAGATCACTCCTTTTCCAAGCTTCAAGTTACTAGCGTGATAGGGGAGAGAAGAGAGTGAAGTATTTGACTGGTTAGGTACCTGATTTGTCTTGATGCAAATGACCAGGAGGTAAAAGAATGGGGTGTACTGAATGGTAGCAAAGCATCTGGCACACTGCCTACCATATAGTATACGCCAAGTGAGTACTTGGAGAGGAAATTAAGTGTAGACTCTGGATTTAAATTCTGGCACTATTCCTTTTCAGCTGTGTGGATGTTAGCAGGTACTTAACCTGCTAGTGTCTCTGTTTTCTTAGCTAAAACAATATTAATGCTTCCTAGGAATGATTTAAAAACTGTGTGAGAAAACGCATGCACATTCTTATAAGTATACATAGCTAGTGCTAAATTCGTGTATTTGCTGAAGAAGAACAACAAATAGAAAAAATTGATTCTAGCCACGTTGAAGGTCCATTTTCCCTCATTCTTCAAATAATATTTGAGATATGGGTAGAAATACCCACACTTTTTTATAGCCATTGCATCCCTGAAAGAAGGTACCTAAGAGAAAAAAGATCTGTCTTCTATGCAAACTATATATATATGGTGTTTCTGTGTGTCTTTTATATATATATATCTCACATGTGTCATATACATACATCTCACATATATATTATGTTGTGTATTTAGTATATGCTATGTTATATGTTTCTATATATATAAACATTTATTTCTTATATGTAATACATATAAATCTGATTTTTTAGGTATAGACACATTGCATTATACAATATTTTATGATAACTTATTTTTAAGTCTACTTTTGATACTTCTGCTAAGTGAAATTGGTATGTTTGTAGAAAGGAGAATAATTTAAAATCTGAGTGTCTAGATTGTGGTTATATTTGTGTTAGCTGCCTGAGAGCTGACGTTGTGATATAACCTGGTTTTGAGAGTGTTTCATTAACTGGCTTTTCAGGAGACTATTTCATTTGGTTCAAAATATTATTTTCTGAGAAATACATTCTGGCTTTCTGATTCAGCGTGAAGGTGGAAACCATCAGAGTTTAAACATAAGATAGGTGGGGATAGTGAAAGATTTTACTTTATAATTTGCTTGGCTCATATTATCAGTGTGAGTTTGCAATTCAGTTTTTGGTTAGTTGATTTAAATTCAGGTCTTCTCAGAAATAAACTGATGAAAAACCATGAGAGTTATTGATCATCTTCAGTGATATATACAACAAAGCAGTCCAAGGAATCTTTAGATGTGTCCAGATGCAGTCAGTTCTGATTAGATACATGCTTTGTCCAAATTATAAATCAAAAATGTCATCTGCATGTAGTAGAAATGGGAGAGGGGTTGGAATCAGATAGAGCTAGATTTGTTCTTGCTAAAAACTGAGTCACCCTGTGGCCCCAATTCATATGTTGAAATCCTAACCCCTGATGTGATGGTATTAGGAGGTGAAGCATTTGGGAGGTGATTGTTCACAAGTGCTCATATATGGGATTAGCGCCTTTGTAAAAGAGACCCCGAGAGCACTTCCTTGCCCTTTCTACCATGTAAGAACACAGCAGCAAAACATGACCTATGAACTAGGAAGGAAACCCTCAGCAAATATCAAATCTGCAGGCTTTTTGATCTTGGACTTTCCAGCCTCTAGAACAGTAAGAAATAAATTTCTGTTGTTTAGAAGCTACCCAGTCTGTGGTATTTTTGTTATAGTGGCCAGAATGAACTACGACAATTCTTAACTTCACCATTTGCTGGCTGGTGACTCCAAAGTTTTAGATTTTTGAGTTTCCTTGTTTATACTTAGTGACCTTAGTATTATCTCTCTAAACCTCACTTTCTATATAGAGATAATTATACCTCCTTGCTGTTGAGTATTCAATGAAATACTGCTTGAGAAATTAGCCAAATAGTCAACTTAAAATGCTAAATGACGAGTTAATGGGTGCAGCACACCAATATGGCACATGTATACATACGTAACATACCTGCACATTGTGCACATGTACCCTAAAACTTAAAGTATAATAATAATAAAATAAAATAAAATAAAGAATTTAAAAAAAAAAGAACTACAGCTGTCAGTATCTACAATCTTAGTCTGGACTATGCAGACTTGTACACAATATATATGTGTTTCCCTGGCACAGTATCTGTAGTGAGATTAACAAAAAGATCATTTGTAGGATTTACATTAGATAACCTGAAGTTAAAAATATTCTACATATTCTAGTATCCTGGTATTCACAGAAAATTAATTAAGTCAAATTAATAAGGGAGCCAGATATTTCTCATTAAAGTCAGCAATTTAAAACTTTAAAAATAACATCGTTTTCAACCATATATAGGAGAAACAAAATTTACTGACCTCATTTGATTGGTTATCTATTTTTGTAAGTCCCTGAAGTAGCAAACAATTACTCTTGTCAGTTTTTGTTACAGTCTTGGAAAGATCTAGGGCAACCCTTTCTCATTTTTTTTTTCTTTCTTCAACATGTTTAAATGCAGACGACAAGGACACTTCACAGGCTTATGCCAAAAACATCAATCGCTTTTTAATGAGGCCATCACCCTGAGTAGGTCATGGAATATTAAAAAAAAATGAACATATTGCTGTCATTGGGGATTGTCAGTGGGGCTGAAGGGTATCGATGAGGAAACACAATACCAGGACACAATACACTGAACTGCCTACTTTTCAAAAGGCAGTTAATTAGAAAATGCTATATGAACGACCCTTGCCCATGTCCTTGGTGCACTCAAGTTATGTCTGTGTGAATAAGAGAACCATGCTCTGCTTTCCTCAACAGAGGACTAGTTGGCTGAGACACATGACCAGGCATTATCTACACAGTCAATTGGGAGAATTAAAAGGTCATTCATTCAATAGGAAAGATTTCCCTTTTAGTGGCCCTGTCTAGCTGGGAGATTATCATCATGAATGAGCAAGAAGGAGAACAATAGTTTGTGAGAACCTAGATCCAATCAATGAGAATACTGAGGAAAAGAAATTGAAAGATAAGATAAGGTGTTACTATAATGACATTTAAGCTCTTCATCTTCAGCTTCTCATTTGCTCCTCTAGTCCCATCTTTCACTGCTCACTATTACACAGTTAGTGCAGAAGCAAGATAGAAATTGCTTATTTTCCTGTTTACACCTCCTCTATTTCATCTGCAGGCCATCGCACATGTTGTTTACTTAAACTGGGACATCCTCTTGCTTATCCTACTGGAAAATGCCTATTTATTATTCAAGTCTGTTCATGTGCTACCACTTGTGTAAAGCTGTTCTGACTCTTTCAGCCGAGCAGTGCTGGCCCATTGTGGAGATCTGTGGCAAAAATGATTATGACTGTCTACCAAATTTCCATTAGCAAGGTGTTTTCTCTGGGAAGCAGCTTCTTAAGGAGGAACTGCAATTTTCAGATTCCCTGTAATCTAGGTGGAATCCTTTAATTAGCCTTTGCCATAGACTGTGAGCCGAAATCATATGCATTACTTTTTGCTTAAGATGTTTAGGAAGTTGTTGTAACCTTTTCCCACATCTTCCATCTGAATACAGAGACTGAAAGAGTATAGGAGATGCCTGAGGAAGAAGAAGAGTGAATAATACATAGAGGAAAACCACCTTTCTGCTATCTGGGAACACCTGCATCCAAGCTATTAAAATATAGAACTCATTAGTTTTACCGTCTAGGATTTCCCTTAATAAGGTGATATACAAGACTTAGGTTAATACACATATGCCATAGAACTGGCATTTTAAAACTGATTAGTTACTTCTTTGCACACCTTCTTCTTTAGTAGACTTAGGAAACATGTCTTGTTACTTTTGTAGCTCAACTGCCTAGCAAACTAGTCACACTGTACAGGGATACAATAACATAGGATGAATTAATGATGATCTCGTAACTACTCTTTAATGAGAACCTTTACTGCACAGCAGCATATGACATTTATCTCCTTTAAATCTGCAACATCTGTGCAGTGAGCACTAAAATCTATGTTTTCCAGAAGGTCATAATCGTTTATTCATCTGAGTATACATTGATTCCTGATGCTGTACCATACAATTTCCAAGGACCAAAGACAAAACCATGAAAAGAGAGGTGTTTTTTGTTGTTTCAAAGTCTATAGTTAATACAGTTCATTCAGTTACAAATTTTGTCTTCAGTGTTGCTGGGGACACTTTTTAAAGCATAGATCTCCACTGCTCTGTAAGTTCAGAGTCACATAGTCATACAACATATTCTCCAAAGCCAGTGCTGTTTCTGAAGTAAAGAATTATCAGGTTTTCTTTTGTTCTGTGAAAAACGTTGACAGTGAGGTCAGTCGATGGGGCTTTTTAGCTGTCATAATTTGTTTTCAAAATTATTTTTTGTTCAAAAAATGTATGAAGTCATTGCTATATACTGATATAGTGAGAAGAGTTCCCAGTGTATTAGTCTTGGTGTTGAAAGAACCAGTTTATTATGTAAATTTTAATTGCATTCTTTTCTTGTAAATAAATGTTTACAGGTGACCTTCATGTCTACAAAACTAACAAATGGTATAGTACCTAATTTCTACCTTGCCCAGGTCTATGCAAGCTCATAATGCTATTCCTGCACCCATGTAATAAACTTCTTTTTGCTTGGAGTCTGAAATTCAATTGCTTAACAGATAAAATTCACAGCACAAGGTCAATCATTATGGATGATACTAGTTTGAAGCTAAGCTTTCTCCTTGTCTTTGTTTGGTATCAGCTGAATTTCTCTGTGACTGTAAATCTTATCAATACCCATCCAAAGAAACTAGCTTGAAGAATAATTGAGAGTGCATTTGGGCAATGAACACACAAAGCTTTTTGTACTTTGAGTAAATTTCAAAGAGTGAATAGCAAATATCTCATTTCAACAGGTAAGTGCAAGCATTTATATAGTAGGGTAGACTGCAGATATAGGCTCTTTCATCAAAAGTCAGGGAAGATGGTTCCAGTAGCTGCAACTCCCCAGGAAAAGAAATATAACATAGTCTTTATGAGTACAGGTAGCTCAGTGGCTTCTGTCATTCGCAACTAATGAAATTCAAATTATAAAAATCATCATTACAAGACTTAAACATGATAATGGATGGGTAGTTCTTTTTTTTAAATAAATTCTTTATTTTATTTTATTATTATTATACTTTAAGTTTTAGGGTACATGTGCACAATGTGCAGGTTTGTTACATATGTATACATGTGCCATATTGGTGTGCTGCACCCATTATCTCGTCATTTAGCATTTTTTATGGCTCGTTGGTCTAGGGGTATGATTCTCGCTTAGGATGTGTAGTTCTTACCTACAGTGACTGGATGCGTATTGAGTTCTCAGTAAATGTTAACTTTAACTATTATCCTATAATACATTGTAAAAATGTAACTTTCTAACATATTAGAAATATATCAGATGAGATTGAGCAATATTTCAGGACTTCTGCTATTGAATACAAACATTCAAAATTTCCCAAATCCTATAGGTGGAGTGTCCCTGATCTGAAATGCTTGGGACCAGATGTGTTTTCAGATTTCAGATGTTTTCAGATGTTGGAATATTTACACAGACATAATAAGATGTCTTAGGAATGAGCCCTAAGTGTAAACACAAAATTCATTTATGTTTCATATATGCCTCATCCACATAGCATAAAGGTAATTTCATACAATATTTTTAATAACATTGTGCATGAAACAAAGTTTTGACGGCATTTTCACTGTGACCCATTATATGAGGTCAGGTGTGAGATTTTCCATTTATGGGTTCATGTTAGTGTTAAAAAAGTTTCAAATTTCAGATCATTACAGATTTCAAATTTTTGAATTTGGGATGCTCAATTTATATTATCAGGGTTCCTGAGTCTTACTTGATTCATATGCTACTACCATGAACAGAAGTTTCTCTGAGGAGCATTATGAAAGGGTAATGCCTGAGCATCTGCTGCATGGCAAAGCAGGGGAGATGAGCTTCTCTGTAGAGTCTGTAACAATGTCTTTGTTAATTGTTTTCATCAATTTGGAAGAAAGACTTTTTGACATATTTAATCTTCACTTTTTTTTTTTGCTATAACAGCCTTATATATACCTTATTTCTTGAAAAGGAAAAAACAATTTCTGTTAGTCAAATTATTCACAGATCTGCTCAGTACTATCTATAACATCTTAACAGTGTCTCAGTAAAGGTATTTTTATTTTTGACTCTAAGAAATAGTTTCCATTAACTCAAAATAATAATAATGAGAGAGAAAAAAGAAAGAAAAGAAGGCAAAGGAGAAAGGAAGAGGAGAAAGAGAGGAAAAGGAAAACGCAATTACAGTAACAACAAAAAGAAGGAGAGGAGAAGTGAGGAATATGTCAATGAGAGTATTTTTTTGGAGAGTCTAAGTAAAACCATCTTTGAATTACTTTTTCCATTGCCTGAAGCTTTTATGTGGTTAAAGTCAGATCATCATTTTTCTCAGGAAACAAGAGGCTACAATCAAAAAAAAAAAAATTTGATATAGGTAGAAAATGTTCAACTAAATTAAATTCTATGATAATTAATGAACCTTGTATATATTCAATATCCTATGAAATATAAACAAAAGTGTACAATTCCTCAAAGAAAATAGAGTGGATTTTGAGTCACAATTAGGTTCAAAGCCTAGCACCTACTTATGACTTTCCCTTAGGAAAGTGACTTTAACTGATTCTCTTTCCATCTAATGGGAGTAAACTTGCCTATTTTATAGATTCGTTTTAGAGAAAAACCAAACAGTGCATAACAAACACCGAGCAGAAGGCCACACACATAGCAGATTTGCCAGATATTTTAGTTTTTTTTCTGCCCACCTTCAAGAAACTTGACTTTTCATTGGGACAATGTGGCATGAACATATTATTTCCTTAACCATCTATCAGGCTATCTGGGATTATGGAGCAATGTAAGCTACTCAGATAGGAAGTTACTCAGAGAACTCATGAGAAGGACAATGCTGGGGCCTTATGAAAAAGCAGGGATTGGGGTTGGTTGCTGAAAGGAAAAGTGGGAAAGGCTTTGCTAAAAGAGACACTGGTGTTTTAAGGAGCGGCAATGGAATTGGAGGTGACTGAGGAAAGAGGAAGAAGGAGCTAACATTTTTTAATTGCTATAGTTGAAGAGTTTCATATACAGCTTCTTTGGCAGGATGCTTGACTCAGCTGGTGAAAAGAAGAATGTCCTCCCACAGAATACAGTAAAATCCTCATACAGGAACCAAGGAGAGGGGAAGGATTCTGTGGACTTTTGTTCCTGGAGGAGCCTGCCTTCTTGAGGCCAGATCATCACACCCTATAATTGGGAGAATCTGGACATAGGACAAAGGGAGCTACATCTATATTCCTTTGAAGACAATGGTCAGGATTTATAACCATTTATTGTTTCTATTTTTTAGTCATGATGCTGAGCACCTCATAGTATTTACCATTAATCCTCACCACATGCTACAGGGTAGGTATTTTTAATTAATTGGTAATTAAATATAGAAAATTGATGATATAAAAGTTTAATAACTGAATAACTTGATCAAGTTTCCAAAGTTGTAATTGGCAAAGTCAATGACTTGAGATTTCCCCAACCCAGGATTACTAAAATTTCATTTTCTTGGGTGGATGGCAAGATGGCCGAATCGGAACAGCTCCAGTCTACAGCTCCCAGCAAGATCAATGCAGAAGGCAGGTGAGTTCTGCATTTCCAACTGAGGTACCTGGCTCATCTCACTGGGACTGGTTAGACAGTGGGTGCAGCCCATGGAGGGCGAGCCAAAGCAGGGTGAGGCATTGCCTAACCCGGGAAGCAGAAGGAGTCAGGGAACTCCCTCCTTTAGCCAAGGGAAATTATGAGGGGCTGTGCCATGAGGAATGATGCATTCTGCCCCAAATACTATGCTTTTCCCAAGGTCTTCACAACCTGCTGACCAGGAGATTCCCTTGGGTGCCTACCATGACTGGGGCCCTGGGTTTCAAGCACAAAACTGGATAGCCATTTGGGCAGACACTGAGCTAGCTGCAGTTTAATTTCATACCCCAGTTGTGCCTGGAATGCCAGCAAGACAGAACCGCTCACTACCCTGGAAAGGGGGCTGAGGCCAGGGAGCCAAGTGGTTTTCCTCAGTGGATCCCAGCCCCAGCAAGCTAAGAACCACTGCCTTGAAATTCTCACTGCCAGCACAGCAGTCTGAAGTTGATCTGGGATGCTTGAGCTTGGTGGTGGGAGGCACATCTGCCATTACTGAGGCTTAAGAAGGCAATTTTCCCCTCACAGTGTAAGCAAAGCCTCCAGGAAGTTTGAACTGGGTGGAGCCCACTGCAGCTCGGCAAAGCCGCTGAAGCCAGACTACTTCTCTAGACTCTTCCTCTCTGGGCAGGGCATCTCTGAAAGAAAGGCAGAAGCCCCAGTCAGGGGCTGATAGATAAAACTCCCATCTCCCTGGAATAGAGCACTTTGGGGAAGGGGTGGCTGTGGGTGCAGCTTCAGCAGACTTAAAAGTTCCTGCCTGCCAGCTCTGAAGAGAGCAGTGGATCTCCCAGCACAGTGCTCAAGCTCTGCTAAGGGACAGATTGCCTCCTCAAGTGGGTCCCTGACCCCTGGCCTCCTGACTGGGAGGCAGCTCCCAGCAGGGGTTGACAGACACCTCATACAGGAGAGCTCTGGCTGGCCTCTGGCAGGTGCCCCTCTGGGAGGAAGTGTCCAGAGGAAACGAGCAGGCAGCAATCTTTGCTGTTCTGCAGCCTCTGCTGGTGATACCTAGGCAAACAGAGTCTAGAGTGGACCTCCAGCAAACTCCAGCAGACCTGCAGCAGAGGGGCCTGAATGTTAGAAGGAAAACTAACGAACAAAAAGGAATAGCATCAACATCAACAAAAAGGATGTCCACTCAAAAACCCTATCAGAAGGTCACCAACATCAAAGTTCAAAGGTAGATAAATCCATGAAGATGAGGAAAAACCAGTGCAAAAAGGCTGAAAATTCCAAAAGCCAGAACTCCTCTTCTCCTCCAAAGGATCACAACTCGTCGGCAGCAAGGGAACAAAACTGGATGGAGAATGAGTTTGATGAATTCACAGAAGTAGGCTTCAGAAGTTGGGTAGTAACAAACTCTTTCAAGCTAAAGGATCATGTTCTAACCCAATGCAAAGAAGCTAAGAACCTTAAAAAAAGGTTAGAGGAATTGCTAACTAGAATAACCAGTTTAGAGAAGAACATAAATGACCTAATGGAGCTTAAAAACACAGCACAAGAATTTCGTGAAGCATACACAAGTATCAATAGCTGAATCGATCAAGCGAAAGAAAGGATGTCGGAGACTGAAGATTAACTTAAAGGAATAAAGCATGAAGACAAGATTAGAGAAAAAAGAATGAAAATGAATAAACAAACTTCCAAGAAATATGGAACTATGTGAAAAGATCAAACCTACATTTGAATGCTGTATCTGAAAGTGATGGGGAGAATGGAACCAAGTTGGAAAACACTCTTCAGGATATTATCCAGGAGAACTTCCAACTTCCCCAGCCTAGCAAGACAGGCCAACATTCAAATTCAGAAAATACAGAGAACACCACTAAGATACTCTTTGAGAAGAACAACCCCAAGACACATAATCACCAGATTCACCAAGGTTGAAATGAAGGAAAAAATGTTAAGAGCAGCCAGATAGAAAGGTCAAGTTACCAACAAAGGGAAGCCCATCAGAATAACAGTGGATCTCTCTGTAGAAACCCTACAAGCAAGGAGAGAGTGGAGGCCAATATTCAACATTCTTAAAGAAAAGAATTTTCAATCCAGAATTTCATATCCAGCCAAGTAAGCTTCATAAGTGAAAGAGAAATAAGATCTTTTACAGACAAGCAAATGCTGAGGGATTTTGTCACCACCAGGCCTGCTTTACAAGAGTTCCTGAAGGAAGCACTAAACATGGAAAGGAAAAACTGGTACCAGCCACTGCAAAAACATACCAAATTGTAAAGACCATTGACGCTATGGAGAAACTGCATCAACTAACAGGCAAAATAACCAGCTAGCTTCATAATGACAGGATCAGATCAACACATAACGATATTAACCTTAAATGTAAATGGGCTAAATGCCCCAATTAAAAGACAGACTGGCAAATTGGATAAAGAGTCAAGACCCATCAGTGTGCTGTATTCAGGAGGCTGAACTCACGTCCAAAGACACACATAGGCTCAAAATAAAGGGATGGAGGAATATTTACCAAGAAAATGGAAAGCAAAAAAAAAAGCAGGGGTTGCAATCCTAGTCTCTGATAAAACAGACTTTAAACCAACAAAGATAAAAAAAGACAAAGAAGGGCATTACATAATCATAATGCAACAAGAAAAACTATTCTAAATATATAAGCACCCAATACAGGAGCACCCAGATTCATAAAGCAAGTTCTTAGAGACTTACAAAGAGACTTAGACTCCTACACAACAATAGTGAGAGACTTTAACACCCCACTGTCAATATTAGACAGATAAATGGGTCAAAAAATTAACAAGGATATTCAGGACTTGCACTCAGCTCTGTACAGGGTGGACCCTATAGACATCTACAGGACTCTCCACCCCAAATCAACAGAATATATATTCTTCTTAGCACCACATCACACTTATTCTAAAACTGACCACATTATTGGAAGTAAAACACTCCTCAGCAAATGTGAAACAAAGGAAATCATAACAAACAGTCTCTCAGACCACAGTGCAATCAAATTACAACAAAGGATTAAGAAAATCACTCAAAACCACACAACTATATGGAAACTGAACACCTGCTCCTGAATGATTACTGGGTAAATAATGAAATTAAGATGGAAAAAAAGAAGTTCTTTGAAACCAATGAGAATAAAGAGACAATGTACCAGAATCTCTGCGACGCAGCTGAAGCAGTGTTTAGAAAGAAATTTAAGCACTAAATGCCCAAAGGAGAAAGGGGGAAAGATCTAAAATCAGCACCCTAACAATACAGTTAAAAGAACTAGAGAAGCAAGAGCAAACAAATTCAAAAGCTAGCAGAAGACAAGAAATAACTAAGATCAGAGCAGAATTGAAGGAGATAGAGACATGAAAAACCCTTTAAAAAAATCAATGAATCGAGGAGCTGGTTTTTGAAAAGATTAACAAAACAGACTGCTAGCCAGACTAACAGAGAAGAAAAGAGAGAAGAATCAAATAGACACAATAAAAAATGATAAAGGAGATATCACCACTGATCCACAAAAATACAAACTACTATAAGAAAATACTATAAACACCTCTACACAAATAAACTAGAAAATCTAGAAGAAATGGATTAATTCCTGCACACATGCACCCTCCCAAGACTAAGGAAGGAAGAAGTCAAATTTTTGAATAGACCAATAACGTGTTCAGAAATTGAGGCAGTAATTAATAGCCAACCAAAAAAAGCCCAGGACCAGACAGATTCACAGCCAAATTCTACCAGAGGTACAAAGAGGAGCTGGCACCATTCCTTCTGAAACTATTCCAAACAATAGAAAAAGAGGGATGCCTCCCTTGCCAGGTCTGTCTCACAGACCCTGGCCGAGAAATGGATAAAAGGAGTACTCAGACACAGGTATGCTGTGAAAGAGCAGCTAGGGGACTGCCGGCACTAGGGGCCGAAGAGAGTTAGCAGTCCTGATAAGCCAGAGCTGCTTGTATTTATTCAGTACTGGTATAATGTCAAAGGCCTGTAGCCAACACAATATGTGGGTAATTAACATGGTCGTCCTCTCTTACAGGGAGCAGTCTTGCACGTGGATGATCAAAGGTCAGTCTCCAGATGACATAAGTAATAAACTTATCTAGATAGATTTCTTTACACTCCCTTGTTACCTACTCCTCGCCCTTAGCCTCAGGGTAAGAGAATTAGCTGCCTTCAGCTTTAGTCTCTCCCAAAGCTTTTGCAAGACTTTCCAACATTTCAAGAAGGTTTGTGTCTTTCCTTACAGCTTCTCCCACCACCCTGACTGATCTCTTACACCCACTAACTGATTTTATGAGGCCAGCATCATCCTTATTCCAAAATCTAGCAGAGACACAACAAAAGAAGAAAATTTCGGGCCAAGATCCCTGATGAACATCAATGCAAAAATACTCAATAAAATACTGGCAAGCCAAATCCAGCAGCACATCAAAAAGCTTATCCAACACAATCAAGTTGGTTTCATCTCTGGGATGCAAAGCTGGTTCGACATACACAAATCAATAAACGTAATCCATCACATAAACAGAACCAATGACAAAACCACATGATTATCTCAATAGATGCAGAAAAGGCCTTGGATAAAATTCAACACCCCTTCATGCTAAAAACTCTCAATAAACTAGGTATTGATGAAATGTATCTCAAAATAATCAGAGCTATTCATGACAAACCCACAGCCAATATCATACTGAATGGGCAAAAGCTGGAAGCATTCCCTTTGAAAACCGGCACAAGACAAGGATGCCCTCTCTTACCACTCCTAATCAACATAGTGTTGGAAGTTCTGGTCAGGACAATCAGGCAAGAGAAAGAAATAAGGGGTATTCAAATAGGAAGAGAGGAAGTCAAATTGTCTCTGTTTGCAGATGACATAATTGTGTATTTAGAAAACCCCATCATCTCAGCCCAAAATCTCCTTAAGCTGATAAGTAACTTCAGCAAAGTCTCAGGATAGAAAATCAATATACAAAAATCACAAGCATTCCTATATACCAATAATAGACAAACAGAAAGCCAAATTATGAGTGAACTACCATTCACAATTGCTACAAAGAGAATGAAATACCTAGGAACACAACTTACAAAGGATGTGAAGAATCTCTTCAAGGAGAACTACAAACCACTGCTCAAGGCAATAAGAGAGAACACAAACAAATGGCAAAATATTTCATGCTCATGTATAGGAATAACCAGTATCATGAAAACGGCCATACTGCCCAAGGTAATTTATAGATTCAATGCCATCCCCATCAAGCTACCAATGACTTTCTTCACAGAATTGGAAAAAACTACTTTAAAGTTCATATGGAACCAAAAAGAGCCCACATTGCCAAGACCATCCTAAGCAAAAAGAACAAAGCTGGAGGCATCACACTACCTGACTTCAAACTATACTACAAGCCTACAGTAACCAAAACAACATGGTACTGGTACCAAAATAGATATATAGACCAATGGAACAGAACAGAGGCCTCAGAAGTAATGCCACACATCTTCAACCATCTGATCTTCGACAAACCTGACAAAAAGAAGCAATGGGGAAAGGATTCCCTATTTAATAAATGGTGCCGGGAAAACCGGCTAGCCATACGCAGAAAACTGAAACTGGATCCCTTCCTTACATCTTATACAAAAATTAACTCACGATGGATTAAAGACTTAAATGTAAGATATAAAAGCATAAAAACCCTAGAAGAAAACCTAGGCAATACCATTCAAGACATAGGCATCAACAAAGACCTCATGACTAAAACAGTAAAATCAATAGCAACAAAAGACAAAATTGACAAATGGGTTCTAATTAAACTAAAGAGCTTCTGCACAGCAAAAGAAACTATCATTAGAATGAACAGGCAAGCTACAGAGTGGGAGAAAATTTTTCAATCTATCCATCTGACAAAGGGCTAATATCCAGAATCTACAAGGTACATAAACAAATTTACAAGAAAATCAAACAACCACATCAAAAGTGGGTAAAGGATATGAACAGACACTTCTCAAAAGAAGATATTTATGTGGCCAACAAACATATGAAAAAAAGCTCATCATCATTGGTCATTAGAGAAATACAAATCAAAACCACAATGAGATACCATCTCACACCAGTTAGAATGGCAATCATTATAAAGTCAGGAAACAACAGATGCTGGAGAGGATGTTGAGAAATAGGAGCCCTTTTACACTGTTGGTGGGAGTGTAAATTAGTTCAACCATTGTGGAAGACAGTGTGGTGATTTCTCAGAGATCCAGAGCCAGAAATACCATTTGACCCAGCAATCCAATTACTGGGTACATACTCAAAGATTATAAATCATTCTACTATAAAGATACATGCACACATATGTTTATTGCAGCACTGTTCAAAATAGCAAAGACTTGGAACCAACCCAAATGCCCATCAATGATAGACTGGATAAAGAAAATGTGGCACATACACACCATGGAATACTATGCAGCCATAAAAAAGGGTGAGTTCGTGTCCTTTTCAGGGACATGGATGAAGCTGGAAACCATCATTCTCAGCAAACTAACACAGGAACAGAAAACCAAACACTGCATGTTCTCACTCTTAAGTGGGAGTTGAACAATGAGAACACATGGACACAGGGAGGGGAAGGAACATCACACACCGAGGTCTGTCAGGGGGTGGGCGGCTAGGAGAGGAATAGCATTAGGAGAAATACTTAATGTAGATGACCGGTTGATGGGTGCAGCAAACTGCATGTCACGTGTATACCTATGTAACAAAACTGCACATTCTGCACAGGTATCACAGAACTTAAAGTATAATAAAAATTATTTTTAATTGTCATACAGTAAAATGAGTCTTTTTTATTTTGATAAATTAACTATAAATTTTAAAACATGTATAGATTTGTGTAACAGCTCTATAGTTAGTATTCGGAACAGTTCTCCCTCACCTCCAAAAATTCACTTGTGCTATTCATTATGATCATCTTCTAAGCTCTGGTACAATATTACACAAATACACAATTGTTTGAGATTGACTAGCTTCTTTCATTAAGCATAATGCCTTTGAAGCCCATCCAAGTTATTGTATATATCAACAGTTTGTCCCTTTTTATTGCTGAATAATATTCTATGGCATCAAAATGCCCCCACATATTATTTAATCTATTCACTCACTGAAGGCTGTGAATCTAGATTCATTTAATATTTCCTGTCACCAAGATAAGGAGAGTCTTCCATAGCCTTTAAGAAATTTCTGTATCTCACTAATAATTTAGAATGTTGATTTTTTTCTCTGTCCTACATTTTTCTTTTCTAATATGCTATCTCTTCTTTATCTTCTTATGCAAATAAATAAGTAATGTGATATATTGGTTAGGGGTACAGCTTCTGGAGCCAGATTTCATAGGTTGAATTTCGACTCTACAACTTGCTCATTGTACAACATTTGCATGTTACTTAATTTTTATGGACTTCAGCTTTTCCATCTGTAAAATAAAGATAATAATTTCTACCTGTTAATTTTCTTAAGATTAAAAGAAGTAGTACATGCAAACTTTTTGAAAACTGCTAGACACATAATTTTACTTAAAAATATTAAGTATCCCCATACTTCTATAATTGGACATAATTAAAATAATATATCAAAAAATTTCAAACCATAATTTTATATGTGTATACATATAGGTACTTAATAGGTTTTAGTTGAGCTTCCAGTGTTAAATACTAACCATAAGGCCTAAAATTAGGTATGTGACAGGTATAATGCTTGCAGGGTAGACAGATCATGGGAAAATTCATCAACACCACCTGGAAAACTGCTGTGGGAACTAATGATAAGGAGTTTTAAATGTTATATTGGAATTTCTTGAACTAACTACAGTTGAATTTTCAGCAGCAAAATATATGCACTGATTTTTGTTGCAGTTTGACAAAAAGGACCCAACTGCAATCCCAGTTTATATATTCCCATGATCCTTCCTTTTTCAGAGGAGAAAAGAAAGAATGTGTGATTATAAAAGCAAAGAATCCTCCATTTTTCCTGCTCATTGTTAAAAAATACTGTTTTTATTTGTTTTTTTGGACATTGATCTTTTAGAAATATTTATATTTGCTTTTTCTTCTTATTCAGAAGGGCAAGGGTAGGCTCAGGGTTTTGTGCAGAGATAATATTAAGTGTTTGATATTTAACCAAAGCTTACACAAATCTGTTTGGATCACTAATATGTTGTGATTACAGTGAAAATCTGTTAAGATACAGATTTTCCTTGAATGTCCAAGTGCCTCTGGCTTATAAATAAAGCCACAACATTTAATCTGAGCACTTTTGGAATAAGATGGAAAATGACAAATTTACGCTCCTCCTGAAAACAAACAAAATTAAAACTGTCTTCTCTCATCTCCTCAAAGAAAAAAAACAAATACAGACAGAAATAAAATACACTGCCACACATATATAACACAAAAGTCATAATCCGTGGTGACTCTTCTTCACAAAGACAAAAGTACATATATTCCTTTATCCGTGTCCTCTTTTTTTCTGGCACAATTTACTTAGGATTTGTCATATACTTTCACAAATTTTTCTGTTCTAATGGAATGCCATTTGTCTACCTTGGACTATAGAACTCTTGACATAGTCTATATGCCTATCTGTGTAAGCTATGACCATATTCTCCAATTTACATGACTCTTTTTGATATGTGACATTGTCATTTATCTCCTCTGACATTTTCTTTGGCTTATACATTTTCTTTCTTTTTTTTTTCTGCCATTTCTTCTGCAACCACTCTTAAGAAAACCAGATAAACATTGTAATTGGATTTGAATGTCTTCCACTAATATTTCTGTTAATTTCTCCCTTTTCCATATCCTATTCATTTGTATCAAATATATTTCTAAGTCACTTCTTTCTCATACCTCTGCTCAAAAGTCTATTCCTTCCCCATATCTGTTTGTATTAGTCTGTTCTCATGCTGCTGATATAGACAAACTGGAGACTGGGTAATTTATAAAGAAAAAGAGGTTTAATGGAATCACAGTTCCACGTGGCTAGGGAGGCCTCACAATCATGGTGGAAGGCAAAAGCCACGTCTTACAGGGCAGCAGACAGAGAGAATGAGAACCAAGCGAAAGGGGTTTCTCCTTATAAAACCATCAGATCTTGTGGAAGTTATTCACTACAAGGAGAACAGTATGGGGGAAACTGCCTTCATGATTCAATACTCTGTCACCAGGTCCCTCCCACAACACATGGGAGTTATGGGAGCTACAATTCAAGTTGAGATTTGGGTGGGGACACAGCCAAACCACATCACTGTTCCATGTATAGTCTGCCAACAACTTATATGATAGCAAGTCCTATCTCATTATTGTTTCAGTAAAACATTTGTAGTCATCCTTAATTCTTGCTTTGTCTTTATATCTACTTGTACACCAATCAATCAGATAATAATTTTTTTCTCTTAATTGATAATATTGAGAAGGCAAACTATTCTGACTTCTCAACTGCTACCTCCTTGTGGATTAACCACAACACTTCATGTATGTATAACTGCATAGATTGTTCCAAATTATCCTAAAACTGTGTGACTTTAAAGCAATAGCTTATTTTTCTGCATTATTATTTGGGTTGAGGTGGCTAGCTGAATGGTTCTCACTAAGGCCTTTCAGGCAGTCAGTTGATGCATGAGCTCAAATGTCCAAGACGGCTTACTCCCTTGGCTGGCAGTTGGTGCTGGCTATTGAAAGAAGCTCAGCTGGGACTGTCCACTGGACTGTCTACATACGGACTTTCCATGAAGCTTGGTTTTCTAACAGCCTGGGGGCTAGTTTCTAAGCTGGAGCTTCCCAAGAATGAGTTTCAAGAGTCTTAGTTCAAAGTTGCAGGACTTCTTATGAAGTCCTTCTTCAACTTCCATTTCATCATACAGTCAACCCCAGATTTAAAGGTAGAGGAATGAGACTCCACTTCTTAATAGTGAAGACCAGCATGTGCATGACACAGGGTAGGAAGTAATTGGTGATCACTTTGGGGACTCTTGGCCATAGCCTCTCACTTTTCTCTTTGTTTCTATCTTTGCCCTCTTTCACTCTATTATTGCTGAGTCCTCAAGAGTAGTCGTTTCTATACACCCCAGATTATGTTAGTCCTTCGTTCAAAACCCTGCAGTGGCTCCTCATTTCATCTGAAGGCCAAAGTCCTTAAAATGACCTAGGATACCATTCACACTTTGGCTCCCTGTTACCTCTCTAAACTTATTTTCTATGACCATTCTGCTTTAGCCACACTGGCTTCCTTATAGCTTTTCTTAAACAATTCAGATATTCTTCTGAACAAGGACATTTTCATTGACTATTTCCATTGTCTGAAATGTTCTTCATTCAGCTAACTATATGATTATATCCCTCATCTGTTGCAAGCCTTTGTTTAAATGTCACGTTCTCAAGGAGGTCTAACTTGAATATCCAATTTGGAATTGCAACTCCATCCTAGGACAGGGGTTCCCAGTTTAAGGTAGGATGCTTCCTTAATTTCTTTTTTTTTTTTCTTTTTTTCATACAGAATTTCACTGTCACCCCGGCTGGAGTGCAGTGGCATAATCTCGGCTCACTGCAACCTCCCCCTCCTGGGTTCAAGTAATTCTCGTGCTTTAATAGGGACCTTGATTTGTTGCATGGTCTGATGCATTTTTGCTCCTCTGTAAGCCATTAGAGGTGAGTTTTGGAGAACAATAATTTTGAATAACATTGAAAATCTAAGAATAATTTTGGCTTGGTTTTGAAGGACATCTCATTATTTGGCATTGTATGTACCTGGGCTGTATTCTGAGTCACCTGTACCTGTACTCGGCTGCTGTCTCACTGAAGAGCTCTGTCAGCATTACCATATCTGAAGAGATTTAGCTCCCTTAACATGTTCTACATTAGTCAAGCACCTTATTTCCTCCATTCCTTGCCCCACTGTAAGAAATGTCCTCTGCTCTTTTCAGCATTTCATTTGTTTTCAAATGTCTTCTCAGCTTGTATCCTTCTTTCTGTCCCTGCTCCACGTATCCGTGTTACAATTTCCCATTGTTAATGTAGTCAGTTTCATGGGAATATCTTTTAATACAATGGTCTGAAGCTCTTGCAAGAGGTCCTTTGGATCAAAACAGCTTTCAAAATAGTACCAAAATCTTATTTGTATTTCATACTCTTGTTCTATAAAAGGGCAGCGTTAAATTCAGATCTGTTGATAAATTAGGTTCTGCAGTGCATCACAGGATATCATATCCTGTGGTTTCCAAATAGGGTAAAAAAAATCACACTCATGTTTTCCAAATAGTGTGGACAAAATAAGAAAAATAAATACATCGCAAACTTGGGTTAAAAAGTATAATTGCAAAGCCAGGTAAAAAAGTTCTAGTGTGAAACTCTGAGAAACAGACTACTAAAATGTTTTCTTTAGTCAAAGAAATTCCAGCCCTAATTATTAGCACCTAATCATGATACTTCAGCTGATGGGTGTGATTCCTGATTGGACCATTGTCAATGATATATGAGGTGTTAGACTGAGAACAAGGTTAAGACAAGGTGTCAACTGCCACATTTGGAATAGATTGAACTCTCCTTCCCAGCCCTATTGTTAACAGCCCCTTAACACCTTTTTTTATACTGCCTAGGCCTGGGAGGAGTAATTTGGAGGCCAGGTAAGACAGTACAGCTGGAAGTACTTGTCTACTGTACACATAACCTTCTTCATACAAAGAGTTATGCTGTACTCTAAAGAGACTTGAATTCTGCTGGATGAACCATTTTATCCATTTAACTACAGCCCCCCTCTCCTTTTGAAAACTACCCAACCACACAATAATTCAAGGAAACAATTGAATCAAATACATTGATTAAATACCTCTTTTACAGACATACTGAGAGATCCTATATCAACAAATTACTGAGATATCAAACACAAACAGGACCTAGGCTTTAAATGGCTTTACCAGAAAAGATAATGGAATTATACTAAATAAACCAATTTTAATTTAAAGGGCTTCTTGTAAAATCAACTATTCATATTTGCAAGGTGACTTAAGTGGTACATGAGAGAGGCTGTAATCTAAAAAGAAGAAAACAAATCTACTTCTTACACTAAGGGTGTATGTATCACCCCAGCTGCCCTGGTTCAAGGCTATGAAAGAAGGAAAACATTAAGGGACTATAGAAAGAGCCTTGTTTCCGGAGGTGCTGAGAGCCAGCAGATGGGAGTTCAATACTAGCCCTGACACCAGCCAAAAGTGCTCCTTCACTTCTGTAGATGCCATTTTCTTTGACTATAAGATTAGGAAAAATCGAATCTCCCATGCAGATCTGAAAATCCTATGGCTTTAAGTAAATATGTAATTTTAAGCCCATAGATGTGGTGGAAATGCCAGCTGCAGGCACGTGTCCTCTGAAGCATATCAGTCTGCGATGAGGGGCTCTCTTTTGAACTAAGTTGTCGCTCCGATTTCTGACTGTCTCCCAGGCCCTGTCCCTGCAATCATTCAAAGAACAGACTCCCTCAACTGTGCAATACAAACGAAAGAGAAGTGACAGGCACTCAGAGGTCTTGGCCACCAACATACGTTCTTGTGGGACAGTGCCACAAACCTTCAACCCTTACAGCCACAAGGTCAACAAATCAAGTAAAAAGAGGTGGATGCATCTACGTAATCAAAGATATGACTGGCTAACACTTTTATAAGGGACCATAAAGGGAAAGGAGAAATTTGGTGATCTAAAATTATCGCAGAATTGGCCGTGCGCGGTGGCTCACATTTGTAATCCCAGCACTTTGGGAGGCTGAGGTGGGTGGATCACTTGAGGTCAGGAATTCAAGACCAGCCTGGCCAATATGGTGAAACTCCATCTCTACTAAAAAATACAAAAATTAGCCAGGCATGGTGGTGCATGCCTGTAGTCCCAGCTACTGAGGAGGCTGAGGCAGGAGAATTGCTTGAACCCAGGAGGCCGAGGTTGCAGTGAGCCGAGATAGTGCCACTGCACTCCAGCCTGGGGGATAGAGTGATACTCTATCTCACACACACACAAAAAATAATAATAAAATAAAGGAATGTATGTTCTAGGGATACTTTGGGTTCCACGATAGGACATTATCATTACAAGGTAAATAAAAAATAATTGGTATTTTTCCTTTGTAGTTCAATGTATTCATATTAATCACACGAATTCTTTAGAATGCATTTTGACATAACCTGACCCCATAGAAACCTTATTGTATGTTAGTCTTAGTTTAAATGTTTTCATGCAATATGTGACTGATATTTTTAATCAGAACCACATTCATTTGTGTACCCTAAATCCCCTGAAGCCCTCATTAAAAATGAAAAGTCTTCTGTCTAATAACTCTTGAGGTTGTTGCATTTCACAAGCTCACCATTACCTCTTCCTGAATTTTATTTTCCTGCTTGGTCAACAGGAACTGTTTGCTGCCTTTGGATTTTTCAGGTCCCCAAATATGTCTAAGGTAAAAGTTGGCACTGAATTCTAAGCTAGATTTGCCACTTGAGATCCTGGGTGAGATGAAATAATCTGCTAAGATAATAATACTCTCATAATCTCCACTTATTAAACTGTCAAGTGTGGCAACAGTCTTTGTTAGCATTTGCTCTTTTTACTTCTTTTCTAGTAGTCAGCAATGAAAGTTCCCTCCCACCTCCAACGCATACATATAAGTTTATCATTACTTCTATTTCTTATGGGAGGGATTGTAAAATTTTTTTTTGCTGAGATACTTATGTCAGTTTTTAAGAAAAATACATATATCAATATATGAGGCATTTGAAGTGTTTTTCTTTCTGTGTGCTGGTGTAAATTAGTTGACTCCTTTTAATCTTCTGTATTTACCAAACAATTTTATGTTCATATACATTATTTACAAGGTTTTCTCTAGTTTCCCCAGAAGTCTTAAACATGTATTCATATTTATTGCTGAAAAATTATCTAAATAGCCATCAATGATGCAGATAGTTTTGGTAGTTGGCATAGGTCTTCACACAAAGTTGAAAGTTAGTGACAGAGTTTGCAATTCAGAGGTGAAAGAACTGGCAACTAACAGCAAAAATGAGGATGTTTTTAGATAGGCATGATCAGAAACATCCTTCTTCCTTTGCCTTCCAATTCATCTCAGGTTAATGACATTAATTCCACAGGAAAGAGTGTGTCTGCCATCTCAATAGTTAAAAGAATTAGCTTGACTTCCAAGGGTAGCTGCACAGGAGTACCAAGCAATAAAGAGCCTGGGAGCTGGGAATGAGAAACAATTAGAGAACACTTCATTAATGCTTAATGATGCGGAGCGGGCACACAGCAAAGCTGATTGTGTGCTCTGTCTTAGCCAATGATGCTCACACAATGCCAGGGTGGTGTTATAAATGCCTCTGCTCTATAGGCTATGGATGAAAGAAGGCAGAAGATAAAATTATCTGGGGAAACTTAGTATGACAATTTGGAGAGAAACCAGAAAATGACCACTGTGGATTCTACTGCCAATCTCAGTGCAGGGTTAGAACATTTTATATACTTTTCATATTTGGTTCTCTAAGCCTAATTCCTAATAGGCATGGCTAAATCCCACTGAGGATTTCTGTTCCTAATAATGCATTAAGCATCTCAGTTGGAAGGTCCCATAAAGCATTTCCCCCTGCTTTTTTCTCTATCACACTGTGGCGAAAAAGGATTAAAAAAACACTGCACAGGTGCAACTTGCAGCTGTTGAGGGTAAACTCTGTTCTAGTATATTAATTTATATCCCACCAGGGGAATTGAAGAATAGTTTAGTTCCCATAAAAAGAAAAAAAAAATTGTCTTCATCAAAGAAGAAAGAAATTTCCCATCCAGATTACAAAATTATTCCTGGTCAAAGGGGCCTTTATAAATGCAATTTCCTAATCCAATCAAAAGACCACAAAAGTAAACAGGGAATTTCTCTGCTTTGGTTTAAAATTGTTTGTTTAAAATTACATGTGTGTGTGTAGGTATATACACATATATAAATATATTATAGACACTAGTGTATGAATACATATAAAACCCCAAGAAGCCCCATTTTAGTAAAAGTTTAAGTCGTTAAAGATAATCAAGCCAGACCTATGCCATCATAGTCTTTCACTGTGCTTAATTCCTGCAGCAAAATAAAAATTAATGACAACATATACATTTATATTACACAGTGATTTTTCAAAAAGTAAATCACATATTGTGTATCCCTACTATAAAAAAAGAGGCTTTATCTTCTTTACTTCCTATAACTTCATCTAAAGCTGTGTATGTTTACCACTAGTGTTCAAAACTATCAAAACTATGACCACTGAGGTATAAATTTTAAACTATTAAATGAAGACTCACATAAGCTCAGTCTGGTATAGTGGAAATAGCAATAGAAAAAAAGAAAGAGAAAAAAAGAAAAGGAAGAAAGAAGGAAGGAAAGGGAAGGGGAAGGAACGGAAAGAAGGAAGGAAAGGAGGGAGGAGGGAAAAAGAAGGGGAATGGGCAGAGAAAGAGGAAGAGGAAAAGGAGAGAGAGATGGGAAGAGAGCAGGGGAGGCAGAGGCCTGTTATATTGACCCTCCCATAATTACTGGCTCCAGGATGATTTTTAACTACTGGAAGTTTCATTTCCTTCCAAATGGACAATAGTTTCTAACTTGCTTACCTTCCAGAATCATCATAGAAATTCACTAAAATAATCATCAAAACCCTATTGTAATCTGTAAAGAATTATGTGAGCCTATTATGCTCTTTGTAACCCAGATCATCCTGTCCTTTGATATTTTCATAAAATTATTTTGGTTCCTCTATCATGCCTTGTGAAAATCCGTTGCTTCTATAAAATTTGTGTAGCTGCTACATATTTATGGTCACTTACATCTCTGTGTTCTTGTGGTTTACACTAAACTCTCTACCTAATTGGTGTCAATGATTCTTGTGGCCATTCTCTTCTCTTTGACCTGACTCAGAGTGTAGATGAAATTCCTTATTATTCACGAAGTATTAGCCATGCAGGGCATGTTTTCCACAGAATCTGGCATTCAGCACCTATAATGCTTTGGCCTTTCCTGGCAGGGTGAATTCTCACGCCTCCTATTTCTTTATCCAGCTTCCACTAAGTTATCTCCCTGTATTTTCGTTTTCTCTCTTCCTGTCTCTCAGCCGCCCCCAATTTAAAGTTTATTTTTTATAGAGCCATATATCTGTTACTGCTTTATATTCTCTTCTAAACAAGGACGTGTGAGAAGCTGAAGGGCATCTCAATTTTAGCGCCCAAAATGGAAAATAGAAACAAACAACAACAACAACAAAACAACAACAAAAAATGCTTTCTAGAAAAAGATGGTGGTCCTCCATTTTGGATAGAAAAACTGATTTAAAATGTTTCATACAATGTTTTAGTTGCCCATTCATAAATCTAGAAATCACAAGTATATGGTGCTTATATCCTAATATCCTCTTACAAACATGATCCTTTGTCCTGTGGAACTCAGAAACACCACTGAGGTTCTGGTTGATACACTGCTGCTTTCCAACCCTGGAAGACTGGGATTGGCACAGCAGACAATACCTCTTTGCTATCTACATCTTGTCTTAGAATGTAGGGACTAAGGCAAGAATGAGAAACATTGCATTAATTCTTTCGCTGAGTATATACCAGTGCGTTGGGCTCTTTAATGACTGCTCAGAATACACACATGATGGCTTTTGTAAAGATGACACTCTAGTGAAAGAGGCACAGGTCAATAAATAAGTGAAGGAAAGTTTAACCTCTTACTTGGTTGAAGTATAGTTGAGGCTTTGTGAGAACACACAAGAAGGTCTCAGTGTACAGCTGAGCTTACGAAAGACTTCACAAGGAGGGAGCACTTTAGATCTGCCTTGAGAATAAACAATTTAAAAGGTGGATAAGTAAAAGGCCAGAAAAGTCACTCTAGGAAGGAGGAACTATAGATAGACATCTATTATCATATTATATCCATAGATATAATAATACATAACATTATATTATTATATAACATTATAATACTATAATGTATATTATAATTATATATAATATACAATATATAATATAATTATACATAGTAACATAATATTATCTATCTATAATATTACCTATCATGTCTTATCTATATATTACAAATATAATTGTAATATATATATAGATATTTATATATCATATATAAATATCTATCTATATATAGAGATAAATACCTAATTAGATATTAGATATTTAGATAATTAGATAGATATTTAGATAATATCGATATATGGAATGTTACAATTATATTTAATATATAATCATAGATAATTTTAGAAATAAATGCTACAACTAAAGTAAAAATTGTAATTTTCTATTAATATTTTACATTAAATTACATGATTATGTAATTCCATATACTTCTCTAGTATAGAGAGTTTTAAAGTATTGTTTACTAGTGTATCTTTAATGTCAATTGCAGTATTTGTCACGTAGAAGATACTAAATATTTGATTAATTGAATTAAGGGGTAAGTGAAAAATCTCCTTCCTCCCTGGGCCCCATTCACCCAGTTCTTACACCACTCTAATAGGAAACTATTATTTTGGGTTCTATGTACATTCTCACAGAGCTGTTAGGCAGAAAAAAGCAATGCATAATGCTTGTTTGTTCAATTTTTGACAACTTTGTTAAGGTATAATTGGCATACAATACATGATACATGTTTAACATGTATAATTTCATAATTTCTGACATAAATACGTCCATGAAACCCTCCCACAATCAAGAGAGTAAACATATCCATCAATCTCAAAAGCTTCCTTGCACTCCTTTGTCATCTCTCTCTCCTGCCCTCCCATGTCACTCCCACCTCCATCCCCAAGCAACCACTGATTTGCTTTTTTTTTTTTTTTTTTTTTTTTTTTTTTCTTTTTTTTATTTTTTTTTTTTTTTTTATTTTTTTTTTTTTTATTATACTCTCAGTTTTAGGGTACATGTGCACATTGTGCAGGTTAGTTACATATGTATACATGTGCCATGCTGGTGCACTGCACCCACTAATGTGTCATCTAGCATTAGGTATATCTCCCAATGCTATCCCTCCCCCCTCCCCCGACCCCACCACAGTCCCCAGAGTGTGATATTCCCCTTCCTGTGTCCATGTGATCTCATTGTTCAATTCCCACCTATGAGTGAGAATATGCAGTGTTTGGTTTTTTGTTCTTGCGATAGTTTACTGAGAATGATGGTTTCCAATTTCATCCATGTCCCTACAAAGGATATGAACTCATCATTTTTTATGGCTGCATAGTATTCCATGGTGTATATGTGCCACATTTTCTTAATCCAGACTATCATTGTTGGACATTTGGGTTGGTTCCAAGTCTTTGCTATTGTGAATAGTGCCGCAATAAACATACGTGTGCATGTGTCTTTATAGCAGCATGATTTATAGTCCTTTGGGTATATACCCAGTAATGGGATGGCTGGGTCAAATGGTATTTCTAGTTCTAGATCCCTGAGGAATCGCCACACTGACTTCCACAATGGTTGAACTAGTTTACAGTCCCACCAACAGTGTAAAAGTGTTCCTATTTCTCCACATCCTCTCCAGCACCTGTTGTTTCCTGACTTTTTAATGATTGCCATTCTAACTGGTGTGAGATGATATCTCATAGTGGTTTTGATTTGCATTTCTCTGATGGCCAGTGATGATGAGCATTTTTTTCATGTGTTTTTTGGCTGCATAAATGTCTTCTTTTGAGAAGTGTCTGTTCATGTCCTTCGCCCACTTTTTGATGGGGTTGTTTGTTTTTTTCTTGTAAATTTGTTTGAGTTCATTGTAGATTCTGGATATTAGCCCTTTGTCAGATGAGTAGGTTGCAAAAATTTTCTCCCATGTTGTAGGTTGCCTGTTCACTCTGATGGTAGTTTCTTTTGCTGTGCAAAAGCTCTTTAGTTTAATTAGATCCCATTTGTCAATTTTGGTTTTTGTTGCCATTGCTTTTGGTGTTTTGGACATGAAGTCCTTGCCCACGCCTATGTCCTGAATGGTAATGCCTAGGTTTTCCTCTAGGGTTTTTATGGTTTTAGGTCTAACATTTAAGTCTTTAATCCATCTTGAATTGATTTTTGTATAAGGTGTAAGGAAGGGATCCAGTTTCAGCTTTCTACATATGGCTAGCCAGTTTTCCCAGCACCATTTATTAAATAGGGAATCCTTTCCCCATTGCTTGTTTTTCTCAGGTTTGTCAAAGATCAGATAGTTGTAGATATGCGGCATTATTTCTGAGGGCTCTGTTCTGTTCCATTGATCTATATCTCTGTTTTGGTACCAGTACCATGCTGTTTTGGTTACTGTAGCCTTGTAGTATAGTTTGAAGTCAGGTAGTGTGATGCCTCCAGCTTTGTTCTTTTGGCTTAGGATTGACTTGGCAATGCGGGCTCTTTTTTGGTTCCATATGAACTTTAAAGTAGTTTTTTCCAATTCTGTGAAGAAAGTCATTGGTAGCTTGATGGGGATGGCATTGAATCTGTAAATTACCTTGGGCAGTATGGCCATTTTCACGATATTGATTCTTCCTACCCATGAGCATGGAATGTTCTTCCATTTGTTTGTGTCCTCTTTTATTTCCTTGAGCAGTGGTTTGTAGTTCTCCTTGAAGAGGTCCTTCACATCCCTTGTAAGTTGGATTCCTAAGTATTTTATTCTCTTTGAAGCAATTGTGAATGGGAGTTCACCCATGATTTGGCTCTCTGTTTGTCTGTTGTTGGTGTATAAGAATGCTTGTGATTTTTGTACATTGATTTTGTATCCTGAGACTTTGCTGAAGTTGCTTATCAGCTTAAGGAGATTTTGGGCTGAGATGATGGGGTTTTCTAGATAAACAATCATGTCGTCTGCAAACAGGGACAATTTGACTTCCTCTTTTCCTAATTGAATACCCTTTATTTCCTTCTCCTGCCTGATTGCCCTGGCCAGAACTTCCAACACTATGTTGAATAGGAGCGGTGAGAGAGGGCATCCCTGTCTTGTGCCAGTTTTCAAAGGGAATGCTTCCAGTTTTTGCCCATTCAGTATGATATTGGCTGTGGGTTTGTCATAGATAGCTCTTATTATTTTGAAATACGTCCCATCAATACCTAATTTATTGAGAGTTTTTAGCATGAAGGGTTGTTGAATTTTGTCAAAGGCTTTTTCTGCATCTATTGAGATAATCATGTGGTTTTTGTCTTTGGCTCTGTTTATATGCTGGATTACATTTATTGATTTGCGTATATTGAACCAGCCTTGCATCCCAGGGATGAAGCCCACTTGATCATGGTGGATAAGCTTTTTGATGTGCTGCTGGATTCGGTTTGCCAGTATTTTATTGAGGATTTTTGCATCAATGTTCATCAAGGATATTGGTCTAAAATTCTCTTTTTTGGTTGTGTCTCTGCCCGGCTTTGGTATCAGAATGATGCTGGCCTCATAAAATGAGTTAGGGAGGATTCCCTCTTTTTCTATTGATTGGAATAGTTTCAGAAGGAATGGTACCAGTTCCTCCTTGTACCTCTGGTAGAATTCGGCTGTGAATCCATCTGGTCCTGGACTCTTTTTGGTTGGTAAACTATTGATTATTGCCACAATTTCAGAGCCTGTTATTGGTCTATTCAGAGATTCAACTTCTTCCTGGTTTAGTCTTGGGAGAGTGTATGTGTCGAGGAATGTATCCATTTCTTCTAGATTTTCTAGTTTATTTGCATAGAGGTGTTTGTAGTATTCTCTGATGGTAGTTTGTATTTCTGTGGGATCGGTGGTGATATCCCCTTTATCATTTTTTATTGTGTCTATTTGATTCTTCTCTCTTTTTTTCTTTATTAGTCTTGCTAGCGGTCTATCAATTTTGTTGATCCTTTCAAAAAACCAGCTCCTGGATTCATTGATTTTTTGAAGGGTTTTTTGTGTCTCTATTTCCTTCAGTTCTGCTCTGATTTTAGTTATTTCTTGCCTTCTGCTAGCTTTTGAATGTGTTTGCTCTTGCTTTTCTAGTTCTTTTAATTGTGATGTTAGGGTGTCAATTTTGGATCTTTCCTGCTTTCTCTTGTAGGCATTTAGTGCTATAAATTTCCCTCTACACACTGCTTTGAATGCATCCCAGAGATTCTGGTATGTGGTGTCTTTGTTCTCGTTGGTTTCAAAGAACATCTTTATTTCTGCCTTCATTTCGTTATGTACCCAGTAGTCATTCAGGAGCAGGTTGTTCAGTTTCCATGTAGTTGAGCGGCTTTGAGTGAGATTCTTAATCCTGAGTTCTAGTTTGATTGCACTGTGGTCTGAGAGATAGTTTGTTATAATTTCTGTTCTTTTACATTTGCTGAGGAGAGCTTTACTTCCAACTATGTGGTCAATTTTGGAATAGGTGTGGTGTGGTGCTGAAAAAAATGTATATTCTGTTGATTTGGGGTGGAGAGTTCTGTAGATGTCTATTAGGTCTGCTTGGTGCAGAGCTGAGTTCAATTCCTGGGTATCCTTGTTGACTTTCTGTCTCGTTGATCTGTCTAATGTTGACAGTGGGGTGTTAAAGTCTCCCATTATTAATGTGTGGGAGTCTAAGTCTCTTTGTAGCTCACTGAGGACTTGCTTTATGAATCTGGGTGCTCCTGTATTGGGTGCATAAATATTTAGGATAGTTAGCTCCTCTTGTTGAATTGATCCCTTTACCATTATGTAATGGCCTTCTTTGTCTCTTTTGATCTTCGTTGGTTTGAAGTCTGTTTTATCAGAGACTAGGATTGCAACCCCTGCCTTTTTTTGTTTTCCATTTGCTTGGTAGATCTTCCTCCATCCTTTTATTTTGAGCCTATGTGTGTCTCTGCACGTGAGATGGGTTTCCTGAATACAGCACACTGATGGGTCTTGACTCTTTATCCAACTTGCCAGTCTGTGTCTTTTAATTGCAGAATTTAGTCCATTTATATTTAAAGTTAATATTGTTATGTGTGAATTTGATCCTGTCATTATGATGTTAGCTGGTGATTTTGCTCATTAGTTGATGCAGTTTCTTCCTAGTCTCGATGGTCTTTACATTTTGGCATGATTTTGCAGCGGCTGGTACCGGTTGTTCCTTTCCATGTTTAGTGATTCCTTCAGGAGCTCTTTTAGGGCAGGCCTGGTGGTGACAAAATCTCTCAGCATTTGCTTGTCTATAAAGTATTTTATTTCTCCTTCACTTATGAAGCTTAGTTTGGCTGGATATGAAATTCTGGGTTGAAAATTCTTTTCTTTAAGAATGTTGAATATTGGCCCCCACTCTCTTCTGGCTTGTAGGGTTTCTGCCGAGAGATCCGCTGTTAGTCTGATGGGCTTTCCTTTGAGGGTAACCTGACCTTTCTCTCTGGCTGCCCTTAACATTTTTTCCTTCATTTCAACTTTGGTGAATCTGACAAGTATGTGTCTTGGAGTTGCTCTTCTCGAGGAGTATCTTTGTGGCGTTCTCTGTATTTCCTGAATCTGAACGTTGGCCTGCCTTGCTAGATTGGGGAAGTTCTCCTGGATAATATCCTGCAGAGTGTTTTCCAACTTGGTTCCATTCTCCACATCACTTTCAGGTACACCAATCAGACGTAGATTTGGTCTTTTCACATAGTCCCATATTTCTTGGAGGCTTTGCTCATTTCTTTTTATTCTTTTTTCTCTAAACTTCCCTTCTCGCTTCATTTCATTCATTTCATCTTCCATTGCTGATACCCTTTCTTCCAGTTGATCGCATCGGCTCCTGAGGCTTCTGCATTCTTCACGTAGTTCTCGAGCCTTGGTTTTCAGCTCCATCAGCTCCTTTAAGCACTTCTCTGTATTGGTTATTCTAGTTATACATTCTTCTAAATTTTTTTCAAAGTTTTCAACTTCTTTGCCTTTGGTTTGAATGTCCTCCCGTAGCTCAGAGTAATTTGATCGTCTGAAGCCTTCTTCTCTCAGCTCGTCAAAATCATTCTCCATCCAGCTTTGTTCTGTTGCTAGTGAGGAACTGCGTTCCTTTGGAGGAGGAGAGGCGCTCTGCGTTTTAGAGTTTCCAGTTTTTCTGTTCTGTTTTTTCCCCATCTTTGTGGTTTTATCTACTTTTGGTCTTTGATGATGGTGATGTACAGATGGGTTTTCGGTGTAGATGTCCTTTCTGGTTGTTAGTTTTCCTTCTAACAGACAGGACCCTCAGCTGCAGGTCTGTTGGAATACCCTGCCGTGTGAGGTGTCAGTGTGCCCCTGCTGGGGGGTGCCTCCCAGTTAGGCTGCTCGGGGGTCAGGGGTCAGGGACCCACTTGAGGAGGCAGTCTGCCCGTTCTCAGATCTCCAGCTGCGTGCTGGGAGAACCACTGCTCTCTTCAAAGCTGTCAGACAGGGACACTTAAGTCTGCAGAGGTTATTGCTGTCTTTTTGTTTGTCTGTGCCCTGCCCCCAGAGGTGGAGCCTACAGAGGCAGGCAGGCCTCCTTGAGCTGTGGTGGGCTCCACCCAGTTCGAGCTTCCCGGCTGCTTTGTTTACCTAAGCAAGCCTGGGCAATGGCGGGCGCCCCTCCCCCAGCCTCGTTGCCGCCTTGCAGTTTGATCTCAGACTGCTGTGCTAGCAATCAGCGAGATTCCGTGGGCGTAGGACCCTCTGAGCCAGGTGTGGGATATAGTCTCGTGGTGCGCCGTTTCTTAAGCCGGTCTGAAAAGCGCAATATTCGGGTGGGAGTGACCCGATTTTCCAGGTACGTCCGTCACCCCTTTCTTTGACTCGGAAAGGGAACTCCCTGACCCCTTGCGCTTCCCAGGTGAGGCAATGCCTCGCCCTGCTTCGGCTTGCGCACGGTGCGCACACACACTGGCCTGCGCCCACTGTCTGGCACTCCCTATTGAGATGAACCCGGTACCTCAGATGGAAATGCAGAAATCACCCGTCTTCTGCGTCGCTCACGCTGGGAGCTGTAGACCGGAGCTGTTCCTATTCGGCCATCTTGGCTCCTCCCACTGATTTGCTTTATGTTACTGTAGATTAGTTTATATTTTCCAGATACACTGGTTTATTTTACTCAGCATAATTATTATGAGCTTCATTCTTGGTGTTGCATGTCCATTCCTTTTAATTACTGAGTATATTCTATATTAGTGGAGATCCATTTGAGGGTTTTACGCAATTGGATGAAATTCTTATTTTACATGTGTTAGGTCCTAAATGAGCTGAATCTGATTCTATCTTTAGGCTAATCTCCTACTACTCTTTGATCTTCTTTATAGAAGTATTAGAATATCTTTTGTTCCACAAACTATGTTGGTTAAAGGGCTCTTATCTTTCCATATGCCAATCACTATGCTTAGAACAAAAAACTCCCTGTTTATGTGATACATGCCTATTTATCGTTCTGAGCTCAGCATTTGAGTACCTTTTAAAATGCTTTCTCTATCTATGATCGAGATATTCTCTTCTATGTTGCCTCAGGATTGTACTGTCATCTCCTTTAATTGATTACACTCTATACTCATTATTTGTTGGCCCCATGTGCTTATTCCCTACTAGAATACGAGTTTTTTGAGATTCATACCATGTCATGGTTATTATTTTTTATAAACATTTAGCACAGTGCAATAATTACAATTGATATAAATATAATTTTGTTGAACTTGCATTGAGATTATAATTTGGTTGGAATGAATGAAATAGAAATCTTGGAATTGCTTCTTTTCAAGCCCTGGAATTAAATAGAAGTGACAACAAAGATGACTTTTAGTGAATCATATCAGTGTAATTACCAAACAGACGGAGGCTCTCTTTGGTTGTTCTCAGTTTAGGAGCGTGAAGGCAGAGGCTGGCCATGCACACATGGCAGACCCACAATCCTCCACAGTCATGAGAATCAATACTGGTGGATTGATGATACTCAGTTACTTATTTTTAATCATACGTGAATAGTTTATTTTCTTTAGATGTTGTTAGCTCAAACAAGATTATTTGAGTGACTCTCATGAAATAAGTACAGTCATGCACCTCAAGACAACATTTTGGTCAAGAATGGACCACATATATGAAGATGGTCCCATAAGATTATAATAGCATGTTTTTATTGTATTTTTTCTATGTTTAGATACACAAATACTTACCATTGTCTTACAGTTGTGTAGAGTATTCAGTACAGTAACATGCTGTGCAAGTTCATAGCCTAGAAGCAATAGGCTATACCCTATAGCTTTGGTGTATCATGATGGAATATACTATCTACATTTGTGTAAATATACCGTATGATGTGCACACAAAGACAAAATTGCCTAGCGATGCATTTTGCGGAACACAACTTCTTCATTAAGTGACGCATGACTATACCACAGTTTTTTAAACAGGTATTTTACCACATACTTAATCAATTAACAGTACACAGATACAACAAAGTAGTAATTTTTAAATGTGGTGGTTCTGCCCTAATAAGAAGCATTTGATAGCCAGGGGTATTTATTTATTTATTTGTTTAGGCCTGGTGATGACAACATTTACTTATTGTGGATAATGAATAGAGACAGTAAACATTCTACATTCTTGGGCCAGTCCTCTGTGAGGAAAAATGTTCCTGCTCCCAACCTTAATAATTGTGAAACACTGATATCAAATAATAAGGGAATAATTATGAGGACATGCTTAGAAAAATTATCTTGGTACTGATTCTTTTTCATTGCCAGGTTCTGCTTCCAATGTGTGTCTTCTTCGGGGCTCTGTGTAAATGCCCAATCCAAAGGCTAATGTCCTGGGCACTTTCTTGTACCAATAATGTTATTTGAAATGCAGAAAGTCTTCGAGGTCTCCATATGCAAATTCTTAAACCTCAGTTTTGATGGCATAACTTTCCTCAATAATAATACTTCCCTTCTTAAGCTATTTCTGCCTTTATTTGTAATTTCAAAAACACGTGAAGATGACAGAATTACCAAAGTCCTCTAATTCTGTGAAAATGCTGCCTGGGAATTTCTGTGCATTTCTTGCTTACAGGCCGCTGCAATGGATAGGGTTTCATGGTGCTCCAGAGACTTTTTTCTCAGGAAATAGAACTGCATTTTCTCAATTTAAAGATACTTTATACACAAACACACCACACATACCACACACACACACACACACACACACACACACACACACATACATTATTTATTTCAGGATTTTGTATTTACCTTTATGGGCTAGTAATTCCTTATCTGTGAATAGTAATAATGATAAAGCTATCATTAAATTTACATTTGTCCTAAAATGAATTGCATTTGAGAATTAGAGAAATGCGTTACATCGGGAATGAGTGTTGCCTATAGGAACATTCTATTTGACCTCTGTTTGACCTCATGACTTTGGACTTGAATGTCTGAGAACAGATGTCTAAAGCAATATCTGTGTTCATCTGTCCATCTGTCTGTCTGTATGTATGTTCAGGGGTTAGCTCGGTACCTGGTATGTATTAATACTAGACACTTCATAATCGATAACTACTATTATTAATTTCACCCATTTCTGGCCTCCACCTTCCAGCTTGTACACAAGTTGAGCACACTTACGTACATAAGCATAGAGCTTGGACTGATTGGCACTCTGGCAAACTCCCCCAGTGCTGTGTGTCTTTTTGCCCCTCTCCCAGTTTTGTCTCTGCCTGCTCTCTTAGATTGTTAATATCCACAGGGAACTCAGATGCCTGTGTCTAGTGCATGCAATAGAGGCAGTCTCCACAGAAACATTAGGATACAGAGCTGAAAAGGCCTCCCTTCCCCTTGACATCTTTTTCCTTTCCTCTCTTCAAGCCAACACACTGGTTGTACAAGTATAGATACATTTACATACTGACCGTTTCAGCAGTGACACTCGAAAAACAAAAGCAAACAAAAAACAGTGAGAGATTTGTGTGTACAATGCAGAAGGAAGTCAAGGAAGCCTTCAGCGTAGACATGGGTCCTCCTACTGTGATTTGTCCCCCCAGTGTTGCCTTGGGTAAACTGGCTTCTTTACTGCTGGTGTCACAACAAATTTATTTGCAGTCCAAATCCAGCCTGAAAAGTTAAGAGCCTGAACAAAAATTAAGTTGTGAATAATGAATTTTTTTTCCAATTTAAAGGACTAAATTTCAGTTTGTGTTTAAATATTAGGAGATCTGGCACTGATAATCTTATTTTGTCTTGGCAATGATCGCCTTTACTTACTAGCAACTGCCCTATTTTAATTACCCACAATTCCCATCAATATCCATTGTTATACATCAGGGCTGCTTCACTTATTTACATTATCATCTGTCTGCTCATGTAAATAGAAGGTAGCAGTAAATAGTCCAGATTAAAACATGTATTTGTAAAGGAAGTGTTTCTTAATTAGCAAGGTAACTCAGCTTTCTCTAGATTCAGTGCTCTCATTATTAATTCTAAAGAGCAATGTTTCTTGGGGTGTACCTCCAGTATACACTTGGTCAAAAGTTCCTCGGGTGCTTATTAAAATGATATTTCCTGGGTCTCAACCAGGACTAATAAATCAAAATATCTGAGAGTAAGGCCTAAGAATCTGAATGTTAAACTCACTCCTAAGATAACTGCACACTCAAATTTAAAGGCTGCTATCATCTAAAATCCTTTTAAAATTGACTCTCTTCCATTGCTCTATGGCTTCACCTTGCCCGCTGCCTAGAGAGAACCTATTTACCAAGACAGGAGAATTGCAATAGAGAAGAGTAATTCACACAGAGCTGGCTGTGTGAGAGACCAGAGTTTTACTATTAATCAAATCAGTCTCCCCGAAGCAAGCATTCCGGGATCAGAGTTTTTAAAGATAATTTGGGGGGTAGGGGCTTGGGAGGTGGGGAGTGTTCATTGATCAGGTTGGAGATGGAATCATAAGGGGTCGAAGTTAGGTTTTCTTAATGTGTTCTGTTTCTGGGTGCAATGGCAGAACTGATTGGGCCAGATTACTGGTCTGGGTGATGTCAACTGATCTATCGAGTGCAGGGTCTGCAACATATCTCAAGCACTAACCTTAGGTTTTACAATAGTGATGTTACCCCCAGGAGCATTTTGGGGAAGTTCAGACTCTTGGAGTCAGAGGCTGCAAGTCCCCTAAACTGTAATTTCTAATCTTGTGCGAATTTATTAGTCCCGCAAAGGTAGACTGGTCACCAGGCAAGAAAGGGGTCTTTTTGAGAAAAGGCTGTTATCAATTTTGTTTCAGAGTCTAACCATGAACTGAATTCCTTCCCAAAGTTAGTTCCCACCATATCCAGCACCACGGTATTCCAAACAGCATTGCCTCAGACCAAGGCACTCACTTTATGGCTAAAGAAGTTCAGCAGTGGGCCCATGCTTATGGTATTCACTGTGGTATTACCATGCTCCCCATCATCCTGAAGCAACTGGAGTGACAGAACGGTGGAATGGTCTTTTGAAGTCACAATTACAATGCCAACTAGGTGACAATACTTTGCAGGGCTGGGGGCAAAGTTCTCCAGAATGCTGTGTATGTTCTAAATCAGCATTCAAAATATGGTACTGTTTCTTCCGCAGCCAGGATTCATGGTCCAGGAGTCAAGGGGTGGATGTGGAAGTGGCATCACTCACCATCACCCCTAGTGACCCACTAGCAAGACTTTTGCTTCCTGTTCCCATGGCATTATGTTCTGCTGGCCCAGAGGTCTTAGTTCCAAAGGAAGGAACACTGCCACCAGAATACACAACAATGATTCCATTCAACTGGAAGTTATGATTGCCACCTGGACACTTTGGGCTCCTCCTGCCTCTAGGGCTAAGAAGAGAGTTACAGTGTTGACTGGAGTGATTAACCCAGACTATCAAGATGAAATCAGACTATTACTTGCAACGGAAGTAAGGATGGATATGTCTGGAATACAGGAGATCCCTTAGGGCATCTCTTACTATTACCATGCTCTGTGATTAAGGTCAATGGGCAACTGCAACAGCCCAATCCAGGCAGGACTACAAATGGCCCAGGGCCTTCAAGAATAAAGGTTTGGGTCACTCCAGCAGTTAAAAAACCATAACCAGCCCAGGTGCTTGCTGAAGGCAAAGGGATTACAGAATGGGTAGTACAAGAAGGTAGTTATCAACACCAGCTACGGCCATGTGACCAGTTGCAAAAATGAGAACTGTAATTGTCATTAGTATTTCGTCCTTATTTTGTTAAGAATATGTTTGTGGATGTATACACTTGTACTAAGAAAATATCTTCATTTTATTTCTTTTCTTTTTTCTTTATGATGAGATATAAGATTTATTGACTTCATATCAGCATTTAAGTCTTGTTAACTTTATGTAATATCATTTAGGTTAATAATTAGTGCAATTCTGGTTGTACAAAGGATAGCTATATTATGTTAGACATAATTATGACCTTATTATTGCCTTTTTTGGAGATTAAGTAGGATTTCAGGAATTGTGTATAAATGCCAAGTTGACAAGCAGTGGACTTGTGATGGTTAATATTAGATGTCAACTTAATTGGACTGAAGGATGCCTAGATAGCTGGTATTGTTTCTGGGTGAATCTGTGAGGGTGTTGGCAGAGGAGATTGACATTTGAGTCAGTGGACCAGGAAAGGAAGACCCAACCTCAATGTAGGTAGGTACCATCCATTGTACTGCCAGCAAGGCTAGAACAAAGCAGGCAGAAGAAGGTCAGATAATCTGGCTTGCTGAGTCTTCTGGCTTTCATCTTTCTCCTGTGCTGGATGCTTCTGTCTGTTCCCCTGCTCTTGGACATCAGACTCCAGATTCTTCTGCCTTGGGACTCTTGGACTTACACCTGTGGTTTTTCAGGGTCTCTTGGGCCTTTGGCTGCAGACTGACAGCTGCACTGTTGGCTTCCCGCTTTTGAGGCTTTTGGACTTGGACTGAGACACTACTGGTTTCTTTCTCAGTTTGCAGATGGCCTGTGGTGGAACTTTGCCTGTGATCCTGTGAGCCCAATAAACTTCCTTTCATATATACATATATTCCATTAGTTCTGTCCCTTCAAAGAACTTTGACTAATACAGCATCCAAAAAAGTTCTAATATCCAGGATCTATAACTTAAACAAATTTACAAGCAAAAAGCAAACAACTTCCTTAAAAAGTGGGCAAAAGACATAAACAAACACTTTTCAAAAGAAGACATACATGTGGCCAGCAAGCTTATGAAAAAAATGTTCATTATCACTAATCATTAGAGAAATGAAAGTCAAAATCCCAGTGAGATACCATCTCACACCAGTCAGAATGGCTATTATTTATTTTGGCTATTAAAAGTCAAAAAATAACAGATGCTGGTGATAGATGCAGGAGGCAGATAAGGGAGGATCCCAGAGAATCTCTGACCCACCCCACGAGAGTTTACATCAGATGCTTTTGTGCAGATGAGGAAACCTGCCCAAGGCCTTGTGTGGGCATCCACAATGGACTTGGGCCCGCCTGCGCACTGCGAGAATGGAGTGGAATCACTGGGAATTCACGCCTTATGCAGCGGGGACGAGCCTGGCCTCTTTAGCTTGTGTGTAGTTGTCTGGAATTCAATCTGTGAGGTGGGAGACTGTTGGCAGGACCTTGTTTTTTCACCGAGAGCTTTCTTTTAATAAACTCCATTCTCCTTACCTTTTGATATGTCTGCATGCCTCATTTTTCCTGGTCATGTGACAAGAATCTGGATTTTAGCTGAACTAAGGAGCAAAAAATCCTGTATCACTTACAAGGTTGTGGAGAATATGGAATGCTTATGCACCGCTGGTGGTAGTGTAAGTTAATTCAGCCATTGTGGAAAGCAGTGTGGCAATTCCTCAAATAACTTGAAACAGAATTACCATTCAACTCAGCAATCCATTTTTGGTTACATCCCCAAAGGAATAAAAATTGCTCTACCCTAAAGATACAAGCATATTTATCTTTATTGCAGCACTATTCAAAATAGCAAAGACATGGAATTAACCTAAATGTCCATCAACAGTAGACTGGATAAAATTTGGTGCATATACACCAAGGAATACTATGCAGCCATAAAAAAGAATAAGATCATGTCCTTTGCAGAAACATGGATGGAGCTGGAGACAACAATCCTAGGGAAAGTAACACAGGAACAGAAAAACAAATACCACATGTTCTCACTTATAAGTGGAATCTAAACAACAAGAACACATGAAAACCAGGAGGGGAAAACAGACACTGGGGCCTACTTGAGAATGGAGAGTGAGAGGAGGGAGAGCATCAGAAAAAATACCTATAGGGTACTGTGCTTATTACCAGGGTTATAAAATTATCTGTACACCAAACCTCTGAGACATGCAGTTTACCTATATAACAAACCTACATATGTACCCCTGAACCTAAAATAAAAGTTAACAAAAATCAATTCTCCTTGGGTGACACTGACTTTAATGAATGTTCTTTTTGTTATCTTGTAAAGGTTCTGAAATTAACTTTTTAAATTTCTGGATTATCTCTGGGGGAGGGACACCTCAAGGTCTTTCAGTTAAATTATTACAAGCACTTTCTCTTCTTTGTGACATAATCATCATTGTCAGTTTCATCATCATCTTTGTTCTAGTATATACCCATTTCTTTAGAAGAATTTCCTATCCAGCCTCAACCTTGATATAGTGCTGCTACCACTAAGGATATATATAAAGTACCACTGCCCAGCAGTGCAGTGACAGCCAGATTGTACATCTTAGTTTGAAAATACTTTAGTAGAGAGTTGTTCTCGACTGGGGCAAATTTTCTTCTCTAAAGAATATTTGGCAATGTCTGGAGATATTTTTGGTTGTCTTATGATGGGAGGCAGGGAGTGGGTGCTACTGACATCTGGTGGGTAGAAACAGCAGGGATGCCATTATAACCATCCCACAATGCACAGAAAAGCCCCCAAACTGAAGAATTATCCAGCTCAAAATGTCAAAATTGCTGAGCTAGGGAAAGCCTGCTTTAGAATTTTCTTTCAAGATTGAAATGCTCTAGAAGCCAGAAACATCTACTTTTGCCCATAGTTCCACTTGTAAGTGACAGCAGCTGAAAACCATCCTGGATCTTGGGATACAGGGACATGGGAACTTGAGATGTGGGACTGGACAACAATCCCTTCAGTGGTCCTCTGTCACACAGAGTTTATAAGTCAAAGTCCTTACCCTGTGGTCCTTAAGCATTAGCATACATCAGAATCCACTGAGGGTTTGCTAAAACACAGATTTCTGGACCTTATCTGTGGGGTTTCTATTTCGGAGGGACTGAGGGGTTGCCAAAAGTTTGCATTTCTTAAAAGTTATTTGGAAGTGCTGATGCTTCTGGCCTAGGGACCACAGTTGAAACACCACTGCCTTAGCCTGTTCCTCTGAGCCTGGTCTCAGTCTGTCCTTGGAACATTTTTAACTGTCATCAAGCGTCTGCAGCAAAGTCAGATGAAATTCCTCCTTGATTTCTGTTTATATCTGCCATTGATTTGTTTATTTGTTTGCTTACTTTTACATTGGATCCATAATTCTTTTCCTTTTGTTCAGAATGGCTTCTATTGCCAGTTTTCCACAATAACTCCTTCAAAGAAAATAGTGCCAGAAGAAACAAAATATGCAAATGAATAAGCAAGAAACAAAAAATCTCTGGTCTTTTCATTTAACTGTCTTATTACTGTTGATATAGTAACTGGTAGAATCTTTGTCTTCATTTGGTTAGAGGCAAATTGACATCTAACTATACCATGAATTCTGATTTGCTGATTTTATGTATGCCTTTCTTGCTTTATTTATTTATTTATTTTTGCTCATTAATATTTTTTAAACCCTGGTTTCTGCACCTCGTTATTTTTTAATTTTGTTGCATAAAAATTTTTATAAAGAATTTTAAATCTTTTGGAAAACAAGGCAAGATATAAATAATGAATTACACATCCTTCAGGGACTTTTAAAAATGCTACCACACATACAAGAAATTTCCTGCTCTCATATTCTTAAAATAATATTGTAATGATGCTCTGTTCTGAATTCCCTTAGAATATTATTCATGCCCCTCATGTCATGACTTTTTATGTTTTGATGTTTTAAATAATGCAGTATTTGATAGCTTAGTAGAAAATATGCAATGTAAATAGAAGTCAAGACACATAGCAATAGAACAGAAGTCCCTGAGTCCACCTTCTAACTTAAGTAATTTACTGTTACAAACACTGCTGAAGCCATCCTTGACATGTGTCCTTGTCTCATAAGCAGGAATTTCTGTAGGGCTGATTTAAAACTGTATAGTTGAGTGGAATTTCCACATTGTAAGGTACGTGTACAATCATTTTTACATGATACCCTGAATTGTTTTCCTAAGTGAATACACCACCTATACTTCTCTTAGCTTCAGGAGATAGTTATTCTTTCTTTCGAGCTTTACCAACACTTTGATAGACTCTTATTTCTTAAATTTTGCCAATACATCCAAAGGTGCAAAACAGTACTTCATCATGGTCTATCTTTGACTGAGTCTTTTTTTTTTTTTTTTTTTTTTTTTTACCTATCATGTTTCTGCCTGTGAAATACTTATTCTTGCCTTACAAACTTTTCAGCTGGGTTGTATGGCTTTTCCCCATTGAATTTTGTATGTATGTTTGTTTATTTGTTTGTTATGATAAACTCTGGAGAGAAATATGTACAGTTATATAAACTGCAAATTTCTTCATGTCATCTTGATGAACAGAAGTTCTTAATTTTAATATAATTGAATTTACCAATCTTTACTTTTATGCTGAATGGGTTTTGTTTGTTTTAGAAAATACCTGGTTATACAGATCTTCAATATTTTTGTGTAGATCTACGGATTTAGCAAGTCTTTGAAGTCATTAGAATCTATCATGGAGATTCTAACATGCATTAGAATAATGAAAGTCTGCGATGAAGCAAATAAAGAAATCTCTACAATAAATATGGGTAAAGGAAATGGCTCTTATCAGTAATGTATGTTAAGGATTTCCCCCCTGGAAGAATGAGAGATAATAAATTGGAATTTTTTTTCTATATAGTTTATCAGGCAATCATCAAACATAAGATATGAGTACATAAGAAATGAGAAGGATTAGTGGTTGGGATAATAAGAGTGCTGTGTTTGGAATGTTGCTTATAAAAATGAGCCTTGTAGAGAAAAGTTCAGTCAAGCAGGCATTGAAAGGAAATATTAGGGGGAATTTAGTTTAAGTGGAAACACTGAACAGAGATTTCGTTTCTTTAGCTCAAGACCTATTCAAATCCCTCTACATTTCACAGAGTGAGTAAAACCCACTCAACCTTTCCAAAGGATTATGGTGTTCAGAAATTCTTAACAATGACAGAGAAAAGAAAAGGGGCTGAAATTTGTCTTGCTTCCAAGAAAGGAGAAAACTTTGACTCCTACACCAGGGGCATTATCCTCTGCCACTTACGTGAGTGAGTAGATGTCAGATGCTAAAGGGTAAACTGTTAAAGAAAAGAAAAATACCATACTCGTTTAAGGATGAGAAACCTCAAGTTCAAAATGTGGTACCAGGGACCCAACTACAGTGTCTTCAATTACTTTTTGAATTTCTTGTCCTCTCTGGGCCTCAGTTACACTGTCTGTAAAATGGATGAACTGGGAGCGTATCGTTCCTTCTGGCTGTAACATGAAACTACTCTTAATAAAAATGCATCTCCCAGCCTGTAATGATCATTGTTTTGCTTTTGGCTTGACTAGCATCTACACTCTTTTCTTAAAATAATGATTTAGATTTAATTTGGGAATTGACTGCCCCATTCTGTGTTCATCATAACAGAAATAACTTAAGTGTAGACACTGATGTGTACACTGTACCCCAACATGTGGTATATGTCTGGCACATGATAGGTGTGTAATACAAATTTGCTAAATATTCGTTGAACAGTGTATTTCAGGTGGGGCTCCATTTTCCACTTCTGAGGAGAAGGCTGACCCAAGTCTACCTGATAAAAAAAATTTGATGTTTTGGTTTTGTTTTGTTTCTGTCTTTTAAAGGGATGAGTATGTGAGCTAAGTAGGTCTGATGTGGTTCAAATGTAGGATTCTATTAGCACTATTAAGATAGAATACTCTATTTCTCCTAAATTTGAAGATAATTTCAAAGATTCACTATAAGAAACCTGAGAACTTTAGCCAACTCACAGGAAGACAGAACTAAAAAGAGGAGAGAGAAGGAAGAAAGAAGGGATGGAGGCAGAGGAGAAAAAGAGAGAAGAAAGAGAAGGAAGAGGGAATTGATGATATAGAGCAATGCATGATGTTATAATTTGAACACCTAGATACCTATCCCCAAAGCAAGAGATATCTCACGGACTTTTCAGTTAAAAGTGGCACTAAATTCTCTAGTCTGTTTAAACCTTTTTGATTTTCTATAATTTGGATTTTTAAAAAAAATCTCAATTTCTTAGAAAACACTTGGGAACCAAGATGAAAGTAAAATGCTTTCATTTGAGAAAGGAAAATATTGCAAAGTTTAATAGATAATAACTGACATGAAGAAACTTTTAAATCAATGTTTTATTACAAAAACAATTAGACTTTGGATCTGGGGGTTAAATAAAACTGCACGCAAATCCCAATTCCATTACATACAGGCAGTGTAGCCCAGTGCAGTGCCTAGCTGCACATAGAAAGTGCTTAATTAATTATGCAGAATGAATAAGCCAATCGACAAATAAACTTGGCAAGGATCCATAACTCTCCTGTAGAACGGGTTATAAAAATGATAATAGTGCATTGTAACCTGAATGTTAAGCACCATGCAATTCCTGAGCACATATACAACAATAGCTTCCCTTCCCTACTTCATAGAGATGAAATTGAGTGAAAATTAACATATCTACAGCAAGCTCAAAATAAGAGACAGAGAGAGAGAAAGAAAGAAAACAAAGGAAGAGAAAGAAGAAAGGAAGGGAGGGAAGGAGGGAGGAGGAAGGAAGGAAGGAAGGAGGGAACTAAGAAAGCAAGCAAGCCCATTGCCTCCGAACATACTTGTAGCAATACAACTAAGCTCAGTGTTTGTGGAAAGGAGTTTGCATATAATCCTAATACTATGTTCAACAATCTTCTAGAAATGCCATCTACCCTTCCCAGCAGTTCACCCTGAGTCAGCGTCAGTTTCTTTATGTAGGACTCAGAGCAAAAACAACATTATCACATAGAAGTAGGATTCAGATTATCTGCCATGGGAGAAGTTGGTTTGATATTTCATCTACAGACTTCATCTGTATACACTTCACCATCCTTTATGGGTGAGCAATGAGGCAGCATTTGCTGTGCTGCATAGAAAATTAAATAGTCTACAGACTGATAAGATCAAAAGCAAGGAGCTAAAGTGCAAATAGTTACTAGAGGTGTTAAATAAAGTGACATGCTAATTAATATATACACATATTTGGGATACATTTATAGAAGAGTATTGCATGTAGGGTGTTGCTTTGTGTGTGGATTTTGGCAATAAGTTTGTTTTATCATTTTCTGCTTGTAACCCATGTTTCTGAATTATTTTTAACAAAGCAGTTGTAAAATTGCAAAGTGTAGATGTGTCAATGTGCTTTAAAAATAGCCTGTCTTGGAACTGAAAATATATGATTAAGAAAATAAAACCAGACTTGTAATAGAATGAAGTTGATTTAGAAGATTTTAGCAAGCAGGCTGGGATAGACAAGCATCCTCCGTTTCATTCTATAAATGACACAGAGAAGCAATGAGAAAATTGTTTCCTGAAGTGGCAGGCCAAGTCTTCATTCATGCCTGTACCATCGGGAAATTTATCTAGGTACATAAATGCCTTGTGGGGAATTAGGAGTAGGCCAGGAGGCAATGCCAGACCCCGGTTTAGTGCTTCTATCTATATAATTCTTCTTACAATACCAATAAGTGTCACTAAAACCCATCACAATTACCTTGCACTCTTTAAAATGACAAGTCTATGTTTTAGAGAACTATTTCTTCAAATATGGTCCAGGGACAGCCTCCCTCACAATCATTTAGAATGCTACTTTAAATTGCAGTTTCTGAGTTCCACGCCAAGCCTGTGTCACCTCTGGTACTGCCCTGAGGACAGCTGCAGTGGAAAATTTGTAACTTTAAAACCATTATCAGAGGAAATATGATGCAGTGCTGTGTAGTGATTAAGGAAAAATATTAAAACCAACTTTTCGGGGGTTTGAAGTCAGGTTAACGCTGTGAAACATTGAGCAAGTTACTTAACTTCATTACGCCTCAGCTCCTGGTCTTTAAAATAGGCACAGGTACAGATTATATAATAATACCGACATTACACATATATTATGAAAATTAAGTAAATCAATAGTGTAAGCAGTTTAGAGAAGTGCTAAGAACTAAACACATATTAAAATTAATTTGGAATTTGCCACATAAGAGAATTCTATTAATCCAAACAGTTTTCCCATTCTCTCCCATTGCCTCATAGTATTTTCTTCATTTTGATTACAAGCTTTCTGAGTTAAAAGACTATGTTGATTTGTTCACTCCCTTACACAGTTCCTGAGATATTACACTGTAATTTTTAAAGTTTGATTCATTTTAATACTGTCCTTTTCCCTTGTTAGAACCAAAGGCAAAGGAACAATGTTTAAAAGCTTTCCATCTCATAAAAAGTTAACCTTAGCATCTTAGACCAAAAAAAGGTTGTGAACTCTTCAAACACAGAAAGGTTTTAGATTGTATTAGAACTATTTTTATGCAACATAGGCTTGTGTTTCTTTATCTCATTGTTGCTTTTCTTTTTTATTTTTTTAACATAAAAATAGAAGGTCTCTCATAGTCTCATCTCTGCTTGCCTTCCCTCATCGGTTGCTATGGCCCTCCATTTTTGGGCTAAGCTCCAGGCACGTTGAAGTACTTCTATTTTCTACCAAGTGCCATGAGCTCTCTTAGCTGAGAGTCACTAAACATACTGCAATTTCTACCTGAAAAACCTTCCCCAGAATCTTCCCCTTCTCTGTTCTAAATGGTTTCTCAGTGGGTCTGGGTTTCTGTCAACTCCATGGAGCATCTTGCTGACAGGAGCCTTCTCTCATTCATCCCTAAGTCACCAGTGCCTGGTAGAGGGCACATTTCTATTGAAGGAAGGAAGGAACAAGGGAAACTGCAGCCTATGATTCTTCCAATTTGCTTGCATTCTCCAGTGGAGCATCTGCATGAATATTAATCCAGATTGTTACCCACCAGACACATGACTCTGGATGTGCTACAGGCAAGACTGGATAGATAGAAAGTGACCAGGCTGAAGAACATTCAACCAGGGAGAGCATTCCAAGAAAGCCCTACAGAAGCTCCAAGGCTTCACCTAAGCTAGCCTCTATAGTCACTCTACCACACTTCTATTGCACTGTCTCTGTTGTGGGCTAAGGTCAGGGCCAGCCCAGATTCAATGGAAGGGGACTACAAAGAGCATGCATGAATACAGGATTCTTGATTCATCAGTGAGGAGGGGGAAGATCTTTTGGAGGCAACACATCAGACTCTTGCTCATCTTTTTCTGCCCCTTCAGATATGTCAAAGAGAAGAGGAAGTGTGTCATGTGAAGACTAAAGAAACTTTTAGATCTGCTCCATCTGGGTTCACAGCCTGACTCCATCAATGACCAGCCACGTTATATATATATTTTTCCCTGATACTATCTCTCTAAGGGAATTGACAATACCTGCTGATATTGTAGGGTTATTGTGAGAATTAAAAATAAAATGGGAACAGCTTTTGCTGTAAAGTAGACCGTGGGCAAATGGTGGTTATTGTTCACATTATTTTCAAAATCTAAGAAATAAAAACTTATTTAACATGAGAAAGAGACGAATCACAAGATTTCACCTATTTCCCCCTCTAAAAAAATCTCTAAATCAGCTCCACTCTGAATGTCATTAAACAGCATAAGAATATATATTTTCACCTCAGTTTCAATTTATTTTATATACAGGCAGCCCTTAAGTCTAAGATAAAATCAATAAAGTTTAAATGCTTTATTGATTTCAATCTACCAACAACAGTGAGTAGCCAGAAACTTGCAAATATTCTTTATCCAGATGAATTGTTAATAATACAGATTACCAAAAATATTTGGTCTTTAAATCATAAAATTACATGCCTTTTGCTAACTCATGAAAATGCCTTGCCTATCTAGAACTTCTGCACCCATCAGCTTTTACAATTTTTTTATGAGAAAATATTGGTAATTCTTCTTCTCCCTTTATTTTTTCAGGAAATTTAGATCTGAGATTAAGTGACTTGACCAAATTCATTCCACAAGTTAATGGTAGGGAGAGGATTAGACTATGTCACTAATTGAGTTTGTGACACTGTTGCTAGAGTTCAAACTGCTATACTAGCTCCTTCCAGATGTTTCCAAAAGTAAACAGACAGTGCTTTGCAAGGCACCATTCTACTTTAGCCATCAGGTATTATATTTTGATTAGATAAGCAAGTAAAAGTCTTGGGAAGACAAAAGGCAAGAGCACATTCTGATAGCATTTCTGAGTTAAATCAGAATCACCGACCCCTGAAGAAGGTTTGTTTTGAGCCTTATGGCAAGATGAATTTCCGATAATTCAGTGTTCCTCAAAGCTAGCAAAAATGTTCATACGTCAACTAATGTAAATCTCCTGTTCTGGAGCAAAATCCACATACACTTCAATACAACAATATAACTTTCTCTTTTTAAAATAGCTAGCAAAAAGTTTCTCTTGGTTCTGTTCATAACATAGATCATGACATATCTAGTCTTGTATCTAGAAAACACTTTCTTTGCCATCTTTCCCAGTTTTCTTCTTCTAAATATGGAGAAACAGAAATTCAAAGTCCTTGCCCAGTACTGTCTCCCAGCGTTAACTTTACCTCCAGTCACTACTTGATATGGTTTTGCTGTGTCCCTACCCAAATCTCATCTTGAATTGTAGCTCCCATAATTGCCACATGTTGTGGGAGGGACCTGGTTGGAGATAATTGAATCATGGGGGCAGTTTCCCCCCCCATGAGATCTGATGGTTTTATAAGGAGAAACCCTTTGCACTTGGCTCTCATTCTCTCATCTGCTGCCATGTAAGACGTGCCTTTTTCCTTCTGCCATGATCGTGAGGCCTCCCCAGTCATGTTGAACTTTAAGTCCATTAAACCCCTTTTTCTTTACAAATTACCCAGTCTTGGGTATGTCTTTATCAGCAGTGTGAAAACGGACTGATAGACTACCACATATTTCCTGGCTGCACTATAGACTCTATCAGGCACTCCCTAAAATGTTTTCAATGTATATTAATAATATCCATCTAAATGTTATAGTATCAATATATCAACAATGTCTGAGAGTTTTATAAAGACAGGAGCCATCTTTTCATCTTTAATTCCCAGTTCCTCTCACGTTGTTTGCTAGATAGAAGACATTCAGAACATGCATGCTAATTGAAAGAATGGAGAATGCCTGAAGTTGTACCTCAACCTTACTACCAGTAGAAAAGACAAATAATTCTATCTGTACAGCTGAAATTTTTACATATGAAGGCGTATCGTGAGGAACTGACTTCTCAGGCAAAATAAACCCTCTGACCAAATAGGTCATCATTATTAAGAAATCCCTCCTTTTGGGGGCACAGCTTTTAAAAGCAGCAGGGTGGTGGGGTTTCTTCTGCATCCTGCTTATGTGGTTAGAGATCTGTAAGAGGGCTAGATTGTCTTCTATGTGGAAGGAAGTGCTGCATCTTCTCCCTGCATTTTTCCGGAGTCATGCTCAGGGTTTAGTGGTCTTTCAAGAGCACGCTCTCCCTTGGCTGGCTCCATTTTACTCCATTCTCTCTAGGACCGGTGGATAAGTTCTTATCACATGACAATGGCAAGTAAGATTGCAACTGGAGGTCAGAGAGGGGAATGAAAATAAAATGTAGGATCAGAAAGGAAAAAAAAAAACATCTTTTGTCATTATGACCTGAACCACTGAAAAAGTGAAAAACAGCTCTGTTAACAACCAGAGTGAAGTGTTTGCAGGAGAACATAAATAATGCTCACACAAGGCAAAGCCTACGACCACACTGACCATGTTTGGATGAGATATAGACAAGGCTCCTCATGACCACAAAATCGACAATGATTAATGTGAAATTCTGCAACTAAGTGTCCTCATCTCCTGATGTATGCTGTCTTTTTCAAGTGATGGTTGCCCCTGTATGTATGGCAATTCAAACCCCACTTTATTTCTCCTGCCTCTTAGATAAAATCTGCTATGATTTCCAGTCATTAAATTCTCACTTTTTGATTAGCTCTTAATACAAACTGGTTCCACTTTCCCCAATCCTGCTTAGAAACCTCTAACCCAAGTCCAAATCCTATAAGAAGCTTCTCCCAATTCTCCCTTTCTACCTAGGTTCCCCTTGGGTGCATTCTTTCTTCCTGCAGCAGGCTGAATAACTTAAACCTTCTTAAACAGCAGTTCCAGGGACATTTAGAGGTGGGTTTCCACACTGTGTTCTCTATGTCACACCTCATTCTCCAATGGTGATAGCAGTTCCACATCATGGGGTTCTGGGTCCTTGCCTAGCTATAAATCAAAATTATACATGCTTTTCTACAGGATTTTTGTGCTTCACAGTATATCTCCTATCTTACTTGGCTCAGGCTGCTTTAAAAAAAGAACATGGTAACCATCATTGTACTCTTTATCTACTTAAATTCAATTGTTTTAATTTTTAACTTCCACAAATAAATGAGAACATGTGAAGTTTGTTTTTGTGTGCCTGGCTTATTTCACATATCATAATGTCCTATAGTTTTGTTCATGTGGCTTGGAAGGGTAGTTAGGGGTCGGGGGAAGTAGAGATGGTTAATAGACACAAAAATATACTTAGAATGAATAAGATATAGTATTTGATAACAAAACACTGTGACTACAGTCAACAATAATTTGTTGTACATTTTAAAATAACTAAGAGTATAATTGAATTGTTTGTGATTCAAAGAAAGGATAAATGCTTGAAGTGATGGATACCCCGTTTACCTTGATGAGATTATTATGCTTTGCATGTCTGTATCAAAATATCTGATTTGCCCCATAAATATATATACCTTATGTATCTACAAAAACTAAAAAATGTGCCATGGACTGGGTGGCTTCTAAATAACAGAAATGTATTTCTCCCAGTTCTGGAGGCTGGAAGTTAGAGAACAGGATGCCAGCATGGTTGAGTTCTGGTGAGGACACTCCTCTAAGCATCAAACTGCCAAATTCTCTTTGGATCTTGACATGGTAGAAGGAGAGCTGGCTAGCTTTCTAGTCACTTCTTAGAAGGACACTAATCCCATTAATGAGGGCTCCACCCTCATGAAATAATTATCTCGCTAAAGTGCAATCTCCGAATACTATCAGTTTGGGATTAAGGCTTCAGCATATGAATTTTGGGAGACACAAACTTTCAGTATATTGCAGTCTCATTCGTTGAAAAGTTGATGAGAAAAAAGACGAAATTGGTGATATTCAGAATCAAACAGCATCCTGAACTGTAAGGATCAGCAGTTTCTTTCCATTTGTCCTGCTTTTCATTCTTCTGTCTTTGGTTGGGAGGACCAGATTAAGAACTTTAGAGGTGGAATACCCTAAACATATTCCTGTTTCCTTTTATTTGTTGCTGCTCAGCTCTTTCCACGAGCACTTGCTTAGTCTGAGTATCAGTTAATCAGCCCACGCTGCTGTACAAATTGAGAGGAATTTTGCTAATACTGCTGTGGTAAGGTCATATCCTCCAGACTGGGGGATAAAATAGGACAGAGCAAAACGCTCCACTTGACCTTGGGCCTAAGCTACTGCACCTTTTTAACTGTGAAGCACTGTGTGGACCTGAGGCATGTGTTTTTGTGTGTGTGGAGGGAGAAGAGAGATTATTTGATACTTGATTAGCCACTGACAAAATGATTTGATTGTAAATAGAAGGGAAAGGGAGTGAACGTGAGATTCTGAATCTGTGATTCTGCAGCTACATGTTGAAAACATACTTCAGAAGGCATTTTGTGTATCAGCAAAGGCAGACATTAACCAAATATTCAGAATAATATGTGATTAGTGCTTGTGGGCACATAACAGAAACTAGAGCAAAGGGATTTAATTTAGGGCCTCCCAGGGACATGTCAGGTGAGATACAGAAAATAGGTAGAAGTTCTACCTATTTACTTTTTAAAAAAACTTTTGCCTCATAAAAAGGCTGAGGGTACACACAGCCTATGTGGTAGTCAACAAGCAAGGGAGGGCTTTGAGGGGAGGAACAGAGAGTAGCTTGCTCTGGTCAGAATGTTATGTCCCCACAAAATTCATATGTTGAAATTCTCACTCCCAAGGTGATAGTATTAGGAGGTGGGGCCTTTGGAAGATGATTATGTTGCTGGGGGGCACCTCATGAATGGAATTAGTGCCTTTATTAAAGAGGTGCCAGAGACATCTCATACCTTCGACAATCTGAGGACAGTGCAAGAAGGTGCCATTAGTGATCCAAAAAGTAGACACGAAATCTGCCTTGATCTTGGACTTTTCAGCTTCCAGAACTATGAGAATAACCTACCCAGTGTATGATATTTAGTTATAGCAGCCTGCACACACGAAGGCAAAGCTCCATCACATGAACAACGAGGCATACTTCCTTAGGATAATGCTGAGCCGTGGTAAGGAACATAGACCCCCTTGGTACAGTCCAAATACGAAAACCTTTTGGATAAGGGAAGAAGGCCTCTTACTCATCCTCATTTTACTCTCTATCAAAAAAAAAAAAAGGATTTTGCACCGAGTCCCTCTCTCTCTCTCTCTCTCTCTCTCTCCCTCTCTCCCCCTATGCTCGTCAGCTGTCACATGTCTACTCTTCTTACCTACAGTATTCTTCTTCTCTCCTCATCCCTGGGCTGGTTTCTGACTGCTTGATGCTGGTGTGCCCCCTGTATCGTAGGTTTGAAATCTCACCTGGTATTTCTCTTTGGTCTCACCTTGCTTGGCCATTCTGGAGCCCTCCAAATGAGATTAGTGTCCTAAGCATCATAGTCATGCTCACTGATGCTCAGGATATGTGAGCAAGGCAGCATTCCACATGTGACTTGGGAGTTGAGAGAAATTACTGAAGTGCTCTGCACCCCTGTAAAATAGCTACAAAAATCATCCTTTCACGTAATGTTATTGTAAGGATGAACTGAATTGTTTTTTTGTAAAACAATTACAATAATAGCTAGCACATAGTAAGCACTCAATAACTGTTATCTCGAGTCATCTGTGAAACAAATCTTTCATTCTGTGCCTGCTCAACATCCATTACCACTTTAGAGAATATTTTTCTCCACTTTAAATCCTTGGCCTGGTCCTACATCATGATTGCAGGTGAAGACACTTTCCCTAGATCTGGCCAGTTCAAATCGTAATGATTCACTAATGAATGGACCTGACCAACTTGAAATTAATGAAACTCTACTCTTGGCTTTTTGCCAAAACTGCTAAGAAAAAGAATGCCCTTTGGGAGGCTGAGGTGGGCAGATCACCTGAGGTCAGGAGTTTGAGACCAGCCTGCCCAACATGGCAAAACGCCATCGCCACTAAAAACACAAAAAATTAACAGTGTGGTGGTGCATGCCTATAGTCCCAATTACTTGGGAGGCTGAGGCAGGAGAATCGCTTGAACCCGGGAGACGTAGGTTGCAGTGAGCTGAGATTGCACCACTGCACTCCAGCCTGGGCAATAAGAGTGCAATTCCATCTCAACAAAAATTAAAAAAAAAAAAAAAAAAAAGAAAGAAAGAAAGAAAAAGAAAAAGAATTCCCTGTCTACATTGGCATTGCTAGGTGGAGTGGAATATAAATTCACCAAGACAGGATTCCCTTCCTGAGAATGAAACTATACAACAAAGCAGACCTGAAGGATGGAGACCAACAGATTCTGACTACCTGTCAGCACTTGCAAACACCTAAGCAGACATTTCATTTACATTATTTGTTAAGTTAGTGAAATCCCGTGTCTGAGTTTCTTGTCAGTTTAAGTGAGATGTCTTATGTCCAAAAGAGCTCTAGCTGTCTGACTTCAACCAAAAGCTTTTTGATTTGTGGGATGCTCAAGGAGAGATGGGTGTATGTACAGTGTTCCATAAATTGACCTGGGGGAACACTGCTGAGCGCAGTTATTATTGATGCATACATTTTATATTCCTTCACAAAGGAAATATCTTTCTCTTCTCACATCAGCTTTGGTCTGTGGCCCTAATAACTCACAGTTCCAACTTACCAGAAACCTCTGCTTCTGTTATCCCTCATGTCCTGGGCCCTTTTGTTCTCTTGGGTTATGCTAACTTCTCTAAGTTAGTATTTATGCTTCCATTTCAGGCAAAGAAATCCTCACCCTTTGTACCCATTTCCAGTTATATTTCTTCCTTGTTCCTTGCACTCTACCGCACTAATTTAATCTTTCTCAGATCAAAGGAGAAAAATGTTTTATTCAAACTTCAACTAAGACAACAGAAGGATAGTTTTGGCCACCAGAGAGGCTGAAAATGGACTGAAAAGGAAAACAGGAGCATTAAGCAATACTAAAAATACAACCAGAATCAGTAAGAAGAAACCACTGATATAAGTGAAATGAAGAACAAGATGGGCAAGGTATGTCAGTGCATTATGGAAAATTAAATAAGACATCCACCTTAGATTTCTGCTATAGTGAAAATAGAAGAAAATGCATTCATCAAAAAGGTAGACATACTTGAAGGTGGGCAAATGAATCCAGAAACTTGTAGCACTGAAATCAGAATCAGTCAAATTAGCAGTTGTATTTTTGTCCACTCTGTTCAGAGACTAGTGAGAAGAAAAGTCTTGCTTTATCTACATAACTTCTAAAAGGATACACAAAGGCTGAGTTTTCCTTCATTAAGAGCTATGGAGTCATTCTGACCTCACTTTGATTCCCTGCTCTTTCACCTACTAACTGCATGACTTTGGAGAATGTACTAGACCTCCTTGGCAATCTACATGTATAATAGAAAAATGATTGTCATCATTGCCTGACTCTGAGGGATGTTATCAGAACTAAACATGACACTGAATATGAATATATTTTCCAAATAATGAAGTACCAGAAACATAGTAATTATGGATTTTAGTAGTATTATAATTACTGCTATTATTGGGTGGTACAACAATCAAAGCACAGAATCAAAAGATTTCAATGAATCTCTATCAGGCAGATTGTTTCATATCTCTCTGTGTTAGTGGGCACATTCTTTTCAAAATGACAAAAACAATGCATTAGAAATTTGAATCACTTTTTTTCCCAAGGGGAAGGTACTGAGTTTATGATGATTGATTGTGACCTTGAAAACATAATTATTTCAATGGTGCTGAAAATGCAATTTATTCTTTTCTGTATTTAGGACAGGTGGAGGAGTTTCACACTGATGTGCAGAAATAGTGAGAAGGCACCTGCAATTCAAAATAAATGTGAGACCATTGTAGATCCATAGAGCTAATTCTCTAACTGTGCCTTGCAAATAGGTTCAAATGTGCATCTTTAAAGTATCCACATTTTTGATCATATAGGTTATTTATTATTGAATTTTGTCAACCAGTAAAGTAAGAGAAAAATCAAAGGGATCCCTATGCCTAAGTATTTCCACCTCAGTTTGATGTGACCCCACCAGAGATCTTCCACGTTACAGACTCCAAAAGACTGAGAGAAAAATAAAAATTTTCAATCCTTACTATATAGTATAAGTACATTATTTCAGACATTTCAGGGTAGAAAGTGTAAGTCCAATATTTACTGGATTTCCCTTCTCAAAGTTAACAGCAACTATTTTGGGTCTGAGGTTTGTATTTATAAATTTGAAACACTAATACATTCTTTGCAGACTCATATTTGTAATGAGCTCTATACATAATAGATGTTCAGTATGTGGTAATTATTATTAGTAGTACTTCCAAAACTGAGAACCAAAAAGACATTATCTAACGTTGTATACCTCTGACCTTTACGTAAACTAGAATGTGATTTACTTTTGTAATCTTGCAATAAAGAGTAGTACTTCTTCTTGTTGTCTTAAGGTGCTATACAATCTGACTCTACCTAACATATCCAACTTCAGAGTCTCTGTGCGTTTTCATCTAGTCCATTCACTTTGAAGCATGGGACTTCCTTTAACACAGACCCCTGAGCTCCTATCCATTCCATGCCCTGCACATTCCTGACTCAATGACCCTTTTTTGTAATTTCTCCAAATATTTTCCCTATTCAAATACTCTTCTCCATTATTTCCATCCATCCATATTTTACATATCTTTTGAACCACAGATTCATATTTTCTGGCTTTAGCAAACCCCCTTTTTTTTTTTTTGAGATGGAGTCTCGCTCTGTCACCCAGGCTGGAGTGCAGTGGCATGATCTTGGCTCACTGCAGCCTCCGCCTCCTGGGTTCAAGCGATTGTCCTGCCTCAGTCTCCCATGTAGCTGGGATGACAGGTGCCCACTACCACGCCTGGCTAATTTTTTGTATTTTTAGTAGAAAGAGGGTTTCACCAAGTTGACCAGGCTGGTCTTGAACTCCTGACCTCAGGTGATCCACCGCTTTGGCCTCCCAAAGTGCTAGGATTACAAGCGTAAGCCACCGTGCCCGGCCATCTTTATGTCTCCTTTAGGAACAGAAAATGGTGAAGTGAAAACAATCAACTTTTTAGAAGGTAGAATAGGGGTCAGTGTGAGAGATAGAATAATGACCTTCCAAAGATATTCATATCCTAATTCAAGGACCCTGTGAATCTTTATATTACATGGTGAAGGGGAATTAAGGTTTCAAATAAAATAAAGTCATTAATAAACTGACTTTGGGATGGGAGATTATCGAGACAGGCCCAATATAATATCACAAGAGTTATTAAATAGAAGAGGGCAAGAGATACTCTCAAAAGGACGATCATGAGGGTCCTTAAAAATGGAAGAGGAGGCCAGAAGAATCAGCGTCAGGGTGATGCGTCATGAGAAATGATTGATCTTTGCTGGTTTCAAAGATGGAAAGGGGCAATGAACCCAGTAATACACGTGACTTTTAGAAGCTGGAAAAGACAAGGAAATGGATTCTCCTCTAAACTCTCCAGTAAGGGATGCAGCCCTTATATCACCTTGACTTTAGCCCAGTAAGATCTGTTTGTGACTTCTGACCTCAAGAGCTGTAAGACCTAAATCTGTGTTGTTTTAAGCTATCAACACTGTGGTAATTTGTTATAGAAGCAACAGCCGACTTACACAGCAATTTTTTTTCTGTAAAGGGCAGTTAAAAATATTTGACACTTTGCAGGCCACCCTGTCTTTTGTCACAACTACTCAGCACTGCTATTGTAGTGTGAAAGCAGTCACAGACAATACACAAATAAATGGATATGGTTGTGTTCCAATAAAACATTATTTGTGGCAGGCTGGATTTTGCTTGTGGGCCATAGTTTTCAGAGTGCCATTGAGGTTTTACCGTGACCTGAATTCCAGAACCTTGAATCTATGACCTAGCTATTTAATGTTTTTGAGCCTTAGTTTCCTTACATGAACAATGGAATCGCTTATCTGTGTCAGAGATAGTTAGCTGTGTCCAAAAATTCATGCTCCCCTTTCCATAATGAAAGTTGTGCCTGAGAAGTGACTACCCTGCCAAAACTATCTTTCCTGCATTTTTCGTAGTTTATTACAAGTACAACCTTCTAGCCATGGGGATGTAAGCCCAGGTAATGGGTATCCTTCCCATGTTTCTCCATATCAACTCTCCTCCAGGAGTTTTTCTCCACTGGTTGTAATGGAGGTTACCTAAAAAATGACCTTGAATGTTACATTTTAAAAATGGAAGGCCTATGTTCTTTGGTCCCTCAGTGACTGCATGGAAGACAGGTGCCCAGCCTAACTATTTACTTATCCAAAAACACAATGTGAGCAAGACATAAACTTTCAATCCTTTTGAGTCATTACATCCTCTCAAGTCTAGTGCACTCTAAATAATACTCTATGTTTAGAGTTGTAGTAAAGATTAGATAAAACATGTAAAATGCCATACATGACACATGGGATAGTACTAAAAATATTAATTATACAGTTCCTTATTTTTTGTCATCCAACACTCTATTCTGCACTTTACAATATTAGTTTACTCTGGGATGCTAATCTTATATCCATAATTTCACAAGGAATATTGTCCTCAATTTTTGAGTCAGCATGATATAATATTTAAAAAAGAAAGGCTTTGAAATTTGTTACATTGAGTTTTACTCCTGCATCTCCCCATCCCCCCAAATCCTTACACTTTAATTTAATTTCTATTAACCTTTATCTTATCATATGTAAAATGATATTCAATAAATGACAGATGGCTATTATGTTTAGCTCTTCTATGTGCATTAACATCTGTCAAGGTTTCAGTAGAAGTCAGTAAATACTTACTGAGTCATTCATTTATTTATCAATAATTCAACATCATGAAAGTTTTATACAGTATCTGAAAAACACTATCATATCTGTTTAATTCTTTTGTGATGTATTGTGGCAGTGTAACAGAAATGTCAGTTTTAAAAACAGCCAAGCATGAAATCAATGGAGAAAAATGATAACTTTGAGGTAGAAAACTTAGGTAGAGAGCTTCATGGTCCTATACATACTAGCCATAAGACCACATTTTTGATAGTTGTTCTTATATAGTCTCCTAACTTCAATTTTCACATTCTTAACGTAGAGAAATCTGATAGTTGTAGAGAAAATTAAAGCAAATGTACAACAAATTCTAACATAGAATCTGGTGCATGGTAGATGTTCAATAAATGATTTTTACCATTATTGTTATTATTAAGGTTGAGTTACATATGCTTGAAAATAATCATTTTTAAGATTGGTCCTCATTATCACTATTCACAAAACTATACTGTGTGGCTGATATTTTCTAAATGCTGAATTCAAAGTCCTTGTTCTTGGAGTTGAAGCAATCCCATTGCAACATGCTAAACTTTGCAAGAGAGTAACAGGCTTGACTTGTACGTATTGGCTAAGTCCTTAAGATGATAAATGATTTTCATTAAAATTCACCGCACTGTATGTAAACCCAAATACTGTACACAGTTAAATATTCTGATAAATCAAAAGAGTCTATGTGAAAGCTGAATACAAAATAGAGGTCATTTGAAAAGTGAGACTGGTTAATTAGTTTATTTGCATATATATTTAAACATTCTGTTTAGTTATCCATCAAGCAATCAAGGAAATGTAAATCACTGTTTCATGTTAGTTTTATATTATCAGACACTACACAACCCTGGCACTATGAAAGCCATAGATCATTACCAACAATATTTATTGAACCATCACAGTCTGCATAGGAAAATAAATAACCCGCTGTGCCAATAATGTCAAGAGTCTCAAGAAAGTTCTTTCCTTCTTTCTGGATAGATCAAGGCCACATTTTTAACCTCCTCTCCTGCAGAGACACCAGACAAATCCTTAGTTCTAGTTTTTCATTCTTTCCACACTACAGGTCTCAGTGTCCATTTTCTTTTATGATACCTGTATCTAGAGTATCTAGCATCACTCTGATCTGTGTTTTATTTCCAGGGCTGTCATTCCTCCATTTTCCAAGCTCCAATTTTATCTTTTTCTTCATAACAATTGGCCATCACCTTAGCAGTTCCTATCTTCCAAACATCAGTCACACTGCTTCTTTATTGCCTCTGTCAACTTTCTTGGAAGGTCTTTAACACTTTAACAACAATACTTCCAAAGTGGTCATTGCTAATCTTTACCTATGACATCCTATTTTCAGGAAATGTGTACATGAGTAGCAAATTCAAAAGCCTCTAGGACCAGAGTGAAGCCAGTTAGGGATCTTCTATTAACTCCCCTAAATCCTCTATTAGCTCTCCTAAAATAATTTCATATATGAACATATTCTTATTATATCTACATATTTGATTGTTAGTTTCACTAGTTAAACATTCATAGGTTGGAAGTTATTTCCTCTCAGAATTTTTGAAGCACTGCATTTTGCATATTATACTTGGGAATACTATTCATTTGCACAAATATATATTGTCTGTTCTATTTTTCTAGAAAACATATTTTTCTAATCTTTATTCCTTGCCAATTAAATTATGTTTTTATTAACTTACATTTACATGTCTCAGGATGTCATTTATTACAAAAAATCGTCGTAAAGAAAAATAGTGTTTTTCTGTCCCAAATTTTTCACTCCTAATTCTTTTTCCCCCAAATAAAATACTTTTAGTAAATTTACCTGTTCCTTTTGAGATTTACATGTATATTTATTAAGAAGATTCTTATATTACCATTTTAATTATTCTGTTTTCCATTAATATTCTATTCTGAAAGTGGAGTGTTCAGCTTTTCTACTCTTTCCCAGGATCTGCAGTCACATCTTCCATATATATTTTGAGCAATGGTTTTCAAATAGCATGTATCAGAATCAGCTGGAAGGCCTAATGAAACATAGATCGTGGGCGTCATTCTTGGAGTTTCTGATTCAGTCCTTCTGCAGTGGGTCCCAATGGTTTGATTTCAAATCAGAGCAATGTTGTGATCACAGCTTCTCACGTGGTCCCAACACTAATATTCTGGGACACATTATGAACCACTGAATTTTTGTTGAATCATTATTTATAAATGATGCGATTTGCTGTTGTTATTTTAATGACCCAAATATTATTCAGACTTGTGCCACACAGTGTACTGTAATTCTATTTCTATTATTCTGCAATATTTTCTTATTCTTGTAGTTAATTTTTTTCTATATTTTTATTTCCAAACTCTCCAATAGAACTAACATTAATCAGTGTTCAAAGATATTCAATAATATAGCAATTTATTAAATATATTTATATTTGCCTTATTCCAGCTGCTGGCTCTTTAGACCTTTATCACAACTTTTTGTTCAAAACACCCATGTTTTGAACAATTTTCCTTGCCTCTCTCATGGATCAGATCTTCTGTTTCCTGGGTTGTATTATTTGCTGTTTCAGTTTTTGCTTTCATTTTGCCACAGAAAATCCTTTATTAGCTCCCCTAAAATTAGTTCATATTTGAATATGTTCTTATTATTTCTACATAATCGATTGCTAGTTTCACTAGTTATAAGTTCATAGGTTGGAAATTATTTCCTCTTAGAATTTTTGAAGCACTACTTCATTTTCTTCAGCAACAGTGTTGCTGTTGAGAAACCCGATACCATTTTTATTATGGAAACTTTGTATATGGTGTGGCGGTGATGTGTGTGTGTGTGTGTGTGTGTGTGTGTGTGTGTGTGTGTGTAAATTGAGGGTGTTATATCAGTGAAAAGTTCTGGCATTGTAAACCCAGGAAAAGTATGGCAGAGACTTATAGAGTTGTCAGATAAAAATAACATAAAATGGCAAAACCTCTAAGTTGCATAAAAAGAAAATATATTTCCTGAGAGATGTACTATTTCTCTAGCAGAAGAGTATTGCTGGCTTTGCTTGTTTGTGTGCGTGCGTGTGTGTGTGCATGCATGTGTGTGTGTGTGCTGGATGCCTTCCAATTCTCCAGACTCATGTCCCTTCAAGAAATATGTCCCTGATCCCCTGTAACCCCAGTGAAGCTGTTCATGACAAAATCCTGTTACTACTTCTAGAATGGGTGAATGATTCATGCTGGCTGACGAAGCAGTGTTCCTATATACCAAATTTAGGAATGTGTACATGACCCCACATGACCAATTTATTGGTGTGTAGAGATTAGAAGAAAGTCTTCTTTCGAATGGGTTTGAAAGATAGGGAGATTATGAAGTTCCTGCTGCTGTTTGTCAATACGCTTATTACAGAGTCTTTCTGAGAAGAAAGCAAAATAGAGACAATCAAAGACAAAAATTCAGTTCTGATAACATATTTGAGTCACGGAATCCATTCCTGCCCTTCCTGATATATGACAACAAATTTCCCTTTTACTTAAATATGCAGATCATTTTCTGACAAGTTGGAATAGATAAAGCCTGGAAGAACGTGCTTTGCATCCACTAGGTGGGTGAGTCATTTACGCCATTAAACAGAATATTTGATATACTTGAATTTTATACTTGTAAACAGCAAAATTGTAAAAGGATCAAAGTGGCTCTTAGTAGCATGTTCCAAATGTTTATTTATAATTCACAAAACTTTTCTAATACCTGTATAAAGTCAAAGCTGAACTGATAAGTGATGTGGTGTATGTGTATGGTAAACTACGGAGGTTTTTAACAATTATTATTACTCTTGTAGTTGTTACTATAGTTTTTATTAATATTACTATAATTGTAATGCCGCTGATTTATTAGTCTTCATGCATTCCATTGGTTAGAGCTTATGAGATATTGATCAGTGTATCTATTGTCACGGTGCTTTATTGTACCATCATTTATTAATATGAATAATACCATCATATAAAGCAAATTGTATAACAGACCATTATATTTCTGGAAAGTTTTATCATAACTATTCGCAATGCCACATGGACCCTATCGTTGCTATTATTCTGTTGAACATTTAATGCCTCTACTTTGTATGCCTTGCCTCTTATCCCCTTCAATCATAATCTCACTTTAATTGACTCTTCTCTAGCAAATACAAACATTATCTTCCTTACTCCCGGAATTAATAACTTCTCTGATGGCTTATCATTTTTTTGTTCTCCAGTGCACCTTTTCCAATTAAAATGGAAATTAAATGGAACTGAATACGACAACCAAAATCATACATGTAGCATATGGTGAATTTGGATTTCATTGAATGCTAAATAGAATTATTTATATGTGAAACTTTTTCTTACTTATTGTTTCCCATATATATAGAATTGTGGGAAATATATATATTATATATGCTATATTTATAAATATATATGTGTGTGTGTGTATAATGCCCACAAATATAGTATTGTGGAATATATATACATAATATATAAAAATATTTATATGGGAAACAATAACTAATATTGATAGACAGTATCTATCTACCTGCCTACTTGTGTGGGCATATAAGTAGGTAGTAGATAGAGAGATACTGGAAGGCTTATTATTTACTAACATTTTTTTTTCTCAACCTTAAATTTTCTATTCCATTTTAGCTGGCAATTTAATTTTTCTCTTGTTTACTTATATTTGTTTTTATGTGATGCAATCTTTCTTGTTTCAATAGAATTCTTAGTTCTACCACTTTTGTGTTTATTTAGCTTCACTTATGACAACTCAAAGGCTGCTGAAGTATGCTTCATTTGATCTGCCAATGTCCTTCTCACTGCCCCAACAATTCCCCTCCTATGAACAGGATCTTATTGCCTAATCTTTTGATATTCCTGTCCGCAGGATCAGTGAGGCTTTGACCCCTGAGCCAATCTTGACCAAGGAAAGATGAAGATAAACTACTTTAATATAGGCTTATATACTTCCAGGCTGAATAGGGTACTAATAGTAGGTCATGCTACTGTATCTGGGAGGTCATTGACATCCCCTGAAGGTCCTCCCCATTTCCCTTACTTTCACCTTGGTTAGAGGGCATATGAACCCAGAGTTGACTTTGGGACATTGCATTGCCTCCAGTGGCCAATTTTATAGCCTAGAACTTTAACATTTTCTTTTCTACATTTCAAAATAACTTTTGCTCTAACCCATTCACCTTTATATATCCATTATTACTTTTTACTTATTTTTATTTGAAAAAAGTAATTTATGGGCATTATTAATAAAATGAAAATATAGACATGGAAAAAGAATACATTAAAATCACCAGTAGTTCCAGTATATGAAAGAAACATTATTTAACATTTTGGGGGATATTCTCTCCCTTTTAAAAAAACTTTATGTCCCTAAAATTTGTGGCATACAATTTAAAAAGAATAATAATTTAAAAATTCAGTTTATACAGCATATAATTTTTAGTTAATGGCTTTCATCTTTTCATAATATATTATGAATATTATCTTGAATCAAAGAATAATCTCCATATTAGTCAGCTTAGTTTGTCATAACAAAATACTACAGACTGAGTGGCTTAACCAACAGAAATTTATTTTCTCACAAGTTCTGAGTAATATCGGGGTTGGTTTCTAGTGAGACCTCTCTTCCTGGTCTGCTCATGGCATCCTTCTCAATATCCTCCTATGGCCTTTCTCTGCTGTTAAGAGGAGAGAGGGAGAGATCTGGTGATGCCCCCTCTTATTGCAGGGATACTACCAATGCTACTGAATTAGGGCCCCAACCTTATGATCTCATTTAACTTAATTACTTTCCTAAAGATTCTATCTTGGCCGGGTGCGGTGGCTCATGCCTGTAATCCCAGCACTTTCGGAGGCCAAGACGGGTGGATCACCTGAGGTCAGGAATTCGAGACCAGCCTGGCCAACATGATGAAACCCCCATCTCTACTAAAAATACAAAAATTAGCTAGGCGTGGTGGTGGGCATCTGTAGTTCCAGCTACTGGGGATGCTGAGGTGGGAGAATCGCTTGAACCTGGAACACAGAGGTTGTGGTGAGCTGAGATCACACCATTGCACTCCAGCCTCGGCGACAGAGTGAGACTCCATCTCTAAAAATAAAGGATTCTATCTCAACATTTACTTACATTGCAGGCTAGGTCTTCAACATAAGAATATTACAAAGGACACCATTTAGTTTATAACTATTACTTAAATGAAAATTTTAATAGTTGCAAAATTTTAAATTATATGGATATAGCATAATATTCTTGATAGATTACATTTTTTATACTTGGGCCAAGTCCAAGTCTTTTTTTTTTTAAATATAAATAATGCTGTAATTAACGTTCTTTCTCATATATAACATTTTACATTGTTTCTCATTTATTTCCTTTGGATAAAATATTCCTAGAAATAAAATTAATTGGTCAAATTAGTTTTAAGATTCATACTATCAAACACTTTTCAAACAGATCATACCAATTTATTCTCATAATAGTCATGATCAGCATGTCTTTCTCTTCTACTTATATTTTTAACATTCTCTTTAAATAGCTTTCATTTTGATGCAAGAAAAACATTTTCTTATATCAAACTTTTATTTTTAATTATTTTATTTGCTTAATAATGAAGCTCATCATATTTCAACTTTTCTCTCTCTCTCAAGTGACTGAAGTTACCTCCCTAAAATCTGCTTTTAGGGGAAAGGATTGGTTACTCATAACTGTACTTCCCTTATAACAATCACTCACCTTGCTGGCCCACTAGGAATCCCTAATCCCGTGCTTCATCGCCTGGGAAATCTTCGCTACTTTGTTCCTGTCAGCCTCTGTTGGATCACTTGACTGGTTCTTCTCTTTATGTCTTTGCTTAAGCCATTCTCTCAGTCAGTTATGGCTCCCTCTAATTTATTCACCTAATTAGTAATGCTACCAATCTTGGAAAAACTAAGCTCAACATCACCTACTATGGAAGCCTTCCCTGACTTTCTTATTTTTATTAAGTAATCAATTTCCCTACTCCCCAATGCATATATCTACACAAAGAGGATGCACAATACATAGTAAATTATATTATCATTATTGTTATCATACTCATTTGGCATGCATCGTAGAACTTCTCTTACTGTAATTTGATCACTATTTTTTTCTCCTGTGTCTCATCCATTATTAGACTGACTACCTGGTCCTTGAAGACAAGGCTCATATTTTGTTTAGCATTCACATTAGAGGGCACAACAATAAATTTGTTAAATCAGTTAAATATGAACAGTGTATTAATATGTTAAATCAGTTAATACATGAACAGTGTATTAATTGATTTGTTAAGTCAATTAAGACATAAGCACAGGATTATCTTGATTTAAAGTCATACTATTAAGATTAACTGTACCCCTGTCTCTATTTTACCATATCTGACCAAATTTGAGGACAAATTCGACACTGAATCCACTGGCTTAGAAAACTGATTTATGTTAAATATTTTTCCTTTAAGCCAGGGACCACTTTATATTTCCATAATTTTTAAATGAAATTTAAATAGACTTTTCAAAAAAATTAGAATCGTTTTGGATTTATAGGAAAGTTGCAAAGTACAGAAAGTTTTCATATATCATCACCAAATTTCCTCTATGTTTAGTATTTTATATAATGATAGTACATTTGTCACAATTAAAGAACTAACATTGGTACATTGCTATTAACTACACATTTTTAGGATTTCACTATTTTTTTCTTAATGCCTTTTGTTTTTTTAAGAATCTCTTCCAGGACGCCACATTACATTTAGTTGTCATGTTTCCTTCTCTTATCTGAGATTTCTGAGACTTCATTTAATTTTGATGATGTTGACAGTTTTAAAGAGTACTGATTGGGTATTCCATAGAATGTCCTCAATTTGGATTTGTGTGATATTTTTCTTATGCTTAGAATGGGTGTCTTAGTCCATTAGTGTTGTTATAGCAAAATATCCTAAACTGGGTAGCTTATAAACACAGAAACTCATTTTTCACGGTTCTGGAGGCCACAGAGATTAAGGCTTTGGAAGTTTTGGTGTCTGGTTCACAGGCAGCTATATTTTTGCTGTGTCCTCACATAGCAGAAGGGACAAGGAGTCTTTCCCTGCTGCGGCACTGGAATCAATAATTTCTCCAAGAATTCCTGGTTTATTTTCTTGAAGAATGACATAAGGAACCAAGATTTGGGTACTAGGTTTTCTCTCACATTAAACTGGTTTCCTAGGTTGGACAGCCAGCCACATCATTACCACAGCAAAGGTCTTTACACTGCACACATTTCTTACTCCTGCCTATAATCACCTCTGTGCTGTGGCCTAGATGGAATTTAATGGTACTAATGCAGCCAAAATCACAATGAGCTATAACCTCTGAGCCTTATGTCTTGGTCTATACTACTGCCCGTGCTGAGCCATGCCTACAAAGTTAGGCTGACTTCCACTTCCTGTCCAGATTTTGGTGAGTTTCATTTAGTTTATTCTCACTGTGTTTCTCTTCCCTATCAGCTCAAATTGTGATAGAGTCTCAACAGCTTCATCTTAGAGGCCTCTTCTATAGTAATGGGTAGTAATGTCATTCTTTTGGGGCCTGACTACAAGGTGAAGATTTTTGGAAGCTATACATAAATGTTCCCTCTCCAATTACCATTGCTAAGAGCATTCCCACTAATTAATTAAATCAAATTTATAGGAATTATATCTACAAAATATCTGTAGACAATAGTGTTTTCTAAAAGCAGGTATACAATATTTGAAGCAACAAACTGAAATAATAGGTCAATTGGTAGTGCTCTTAAAATTTTTGAATTACTTGTTTGTTATAATTTCACAAGTGCTATGGACAATAGATAAAACAAAATTAAATAGCATCTAATACAAGTGAAAGTGTCCAATAGAAATTTAAGATTTATGCAAGCTTTCAATTATTCCCAACATGTATTTCAGAATTTCTCTGAAGTATGAGTTAAAGGTCATGTCCCAGTATTTTTGTGGATGGCTATCAGAACTAGAAAACGAGATCCAAGTTGCCCATCTTAGTTCAAATAATGAGAAAGTCAATTATATCCAATCCTTTACCAATCAACTATTTGCCTGGAATTCTCCATACCTCCAGGAGGGATCTACATTTATGGTTGCATTGAAATAATTTCAAATCCCCCAAAATTCCTCACTTCCTCCTTCAAAATGTTATAGACTATAATTTTATTTCAAAATTTTATATTTTCTTATCTAAAAGAGGCATATTGATTTTGCCTAAATCAGTCAACTTCAGTAAAAAGAATGGTGACTATACACATGTTACATATACAGTAGTTTCTCACCAAAGACTATACTCGAGTTAAGTGCTCACTGCTGAAATTGAATTAAAAGATTCAAAACTGCATGATGTACATCTAGTTCCTTATTGAAAAGAATGAATTTATTTCAAATAATTGTCATAATTAAATTCAAAGAGAGATGATTTTTATTTATCAGGGTGGGTATCAATAGTTTCCTTTTCCTCCTAAGCAATTGCAATGATGAATTTTTGTTACATTTCAAAAGACATTTTTCACATAGTGGAATGTCCCGCAGGAAGAATATGCAGAAGGAACAGAAAATATGACTATGAAATGGAGGTTTCTACTCTTATTATATAAGGTTTCTACTCTTATTATATATATATGTATATATGTGCATATATGTATATGTATATATATGTGTATATATGTATATGTGTGTATATATATATGTGTACATGTATATATACACACACACACACACCCTATTAGTTCTGCTGTCTAGAGAACCCTGACTAATACAAGGGGTTAGTCCCATGAGTTCAGGAGCCAGACTAAAATCCATGATTCCAATCCAGGTCCCTCCACCTACCAGCTCTATGACCTTGAGCAAGTTACTTAACCCTTCATCTGGCAAATGCAGCCAATGCAAATGCTAGTAGCTTTCTGGAATTGTGGTGGCCTTTACAGGAGCCTACAAGTAAACCACTTAGCATAGTGCCTGATATATGGGGAGTGTTTTATAATTATTAGATGCTAGTATTTACTCTTAAGTGAGTTTAGATGAGAACTGTAATAACTTTATGCATCAACTTGACTACGATCCAGGGTGCCCAGATATTTGCTTGAACATTGTTTTGCATGTTTCTGCAAAGCTATTTTTGTATGACATTAACATTTGAATTGGTAGACTAAGTAAAGCAGATTGCTGACCCTGGTGTAAGTGGGCTTTATCTAATCCATTGGAGACCTACATAGAACAAAATGTTGACACTCCTGCCAGAACGAGACGGTTTTTCCTGTCTCACTGCCTTCTCGAGCCTACTGACTCAACCTGCTGAGAACTGGAGACTTGTCAATCTTTATAATGACATGAGCTCATTCTCTCTCTCTCTCTCCATCTTTCTCTGTGTGTATGTGTATATACACATGAATAGACGGATACACACATGCATATGCGTGTGTATATATATATATACACACACACACACATACAGATAGATAGATACTGGCTCTGATTAATATAAAGGTAAAATTGAGAAAAAACAAGGTAAGATCTTAAAAAGCCCAAGTGTTCTAACTTCTAATTTATATGATGCTCTCTTCAGTTGTCATTCTTGCACCCTATGTTGACCTGTCAGTGTCACACAGTCATTAAAGTGCAGCAGTGTTGGTGTAAATTTATAATTGGCGTAATCCTTATTGCTGACATGTCAATATTTAACTTGCATTAACCTTTCCTTCGAGGCTGACAAATTGTGCATCTGTGGCTTGTTCAGTCTAATTTTTCATGTCATTGCCTTGCAAAGCATACAGATTTATAATGTCACCATGTGATGGATGCAGGTCCCTCCTTTGCCTTGGAGAAGGGTTTCATCCCACTTAGATTATGCATTGGTTTATTTATTTATTTCCAGTTCCACTTACCACCTATTTCTAAGGGCCTCCAGTGAATTTATCTCCCAGAGGCTCATGTTTTGAGGATGAATGGAAGGGTAACCCTGTCAGGAACCATTAACACGCTGCTGCTGAGGAGCCTCCACATTGTTCTGGCCTGTCTCACACAGAACAGCCTTTGCCTGTTGTCACTAAGAATTTGTGGACAGAAAATGAAGACTGGTGAAGGAAAATTAGGTCAAAATAGTGTGTGGGAAGCAAAGTGACATTCTTGTCAATTTTGCCTAATCTCTAAAAAAAGAGCTTACAGTTATAATTTCCTTCGACATGGACAGCTGAGACTTGAACTCCATTATTTTGTTGTTTTTGTTGTTTTAATTTATAATTGCTCCCTTCCCCTCTTCCCCACAAACTTTGGATACCAAAAGTGAGCAAGTGTCCAAAAGTTCTCAGTTGAAACTTAGACCAGAATGCTAGGGATCTGGGGAGAAAGTAGGCTTAGCAGGGCTGAGTGTCCCATAGGTGTTCACAGTTGGTTTCCAAAATGGGTTTATGTAAAGAATCAAGGGTGATCTGCTGGCAATTACCTCCAAGTTTCACAACACTGTACAAATCCTCATGTCAAGCCACTTTCATCACACTTCAAAAACTGCTTTAGTATAGTGAAGTTATCCAAACTCCCTGCAGCAAATCCTATCCATTTATTTAAAGTTATCTAAGATAAAGAATGAGAACCACCCAGTCCACATATTCAGGGGAGGGATGGGTATTTTAATTTACATTTATAGAAGGTTTAGGGAAAATCCGGAGGCACTGAGACTGAAATTTTCATCTCACTTTGGCAGAGTATTATTTCCACATTGCTGTTAAAATGTAGCAATCATTGGTTTATTTCATGGATCCTAGATTAAACTCTAGCATATTTAAAAGTCTTAAATGATTTAAGGGAATTAAAAATGGTTAATGTGTGTGATTCAAGAACACTGTATCTCATTCATCACTTATATTTGGCTGTCCTGGTCATAAGAACACCAAAGCAAAACTGATGTTATATTTCAATTACTGCTTAAAATGTTTTTTTTTCTGCTTCTCAATTTTCAACTAATGTATATTATATAAACAAAGCTAACAAATTCCAAGACACAAAATAAAAAGTAGTCTCTCATCAATTCATGCCAATGATAGATTATATTGATAATCATTTTTACAGTCAGGTTTTAGCTTATCATAATTAATTTTGATACTTTTTTTGACCAGAGATAAAATTAGGGCCAGATTGTAAGTTTTTCCCCAGTCATAAAATCTGTTCTTTAAACACTAATCCTAGTTTCTATAGTAGCTCAATATATACAATAAGTAGAAACAAACATTTTAGCTGAAACAGAGACTGGGTTTTAAAACCCAGATCACAAATAACCCCTGTATCTAGCCAATTTCCTCCAGAGAGCCTCTGTATTGTGCAGTTTGAAAACTTGAGATTCCATTCAACTTTTGGTTTACAAGTGAGAAAACTACAGCTGGAGAGTATCAGGAAAATGACCCAATATCATACTTTAACCAGCAGGGCTAGAACTTGCGATCAAATCTCCTAATTCTTATGCTAAGCAATTTGGGAGTGCTATATGCTTTAATTCTCCTACTAATTATATGTTTTGGGTTCAATTATAGTCATTGTAATTGGAGAATTGGTTCCAGGAACCCTCACGGATACCAAAATCTGCAGATGCTCAAGTCCCTTATATAAAATGATGTAGTATTTGCATATAACCTATGCACAGCTGCCACATACTTTAAATCATGCCTAAAATACTAATAATACCTAATACAATGTAAATGTTACACAATAGTTGTTATACTCTACTATTTAGAGAATAATGGCCAGAAAAAATATTGTACATGTTCAGTACAGAAACAATTTCTAACCTATTTTTTTAAATTTAAAAACCAAGTTTAAATTTTAAATTAAGAGGGTACATAGGCTTGTTTGTTACACGGGTATTATATGTGTAACACTGGGGATTGGGCATCTAGTGTAAACATCACCCAAATATTGAACATTACACACAATAGGTAATTTTTATCCATGTCTCCTCTCCCACCATCCTTCCTTGTGAAGTCACCGCAAAAATTTGATCTGTGTTTGATTAAACCCACAGAGGGGGAACCCACAAACATGAGGGTCAACTGTATAATTAACATTTCACAGATGATGAAATTAAAGGACAGAAATATTAAACAATTTATGCACGGTCACTCAATGTGTAAATTGTGAGTGTTAGGATTCAAGCTCAAGTTCAACCCCAGAGTCTGTTCTCTTAACTCAACGCTATTTTGACTCTTATAATATTCTACATGTTTTAATGTCTCGTGCATTTCTACCTCATTCTTTATACCTCTTTTCTTGTTTTTTGCTCAACTTGGTCTGTGAATTTCTTGCTTGGGGATGGGAATTTCAATCGGCTTGAGCTGATTTAGGCATATAGGGTATAGGGCACTGCACTATACTGAATCATCATCAAAAACAACATATTGTTTTTCACACACACTCATACACACACAGAGCCAATGACACTGACCCTATCCAGCACATTAGCTATTCTTCCATTTAATGGGAAGTCCCTTTCTTACAATTTTCTGTTTTTGTTTTTCCAAAACTCTTAGAAAACCTGAAAGCAATGTCACCTTCTCAGTTCTCTAGTTTTCCCATGTGCATACAGAATCAATTATGCATTAGCAGGACAAAATGCATTTTCAAATTTAAGTCAATGGCCCCATGACTCTAAGTATGTCTCTTCCCTGCTAACATGGATATAAGGACTGCACCCTTCAGAATTTTATATAGCTTATTTTGGAACAAATGTTTAAGAGTATGGACCCTGAACCTGAGTTTAAATACCAGCTACACTGCTGACTAGTTGTGTCTATTGTGAATAAATTATGTCACCTTTTTTGGGCTTCACTTTTCTCATTGGTAAATAGGGATAATAATAATGCCTAAGTCACAAAGTCATTTTGAGAAATTAATGAAGAAATAAAGTAAACTAATGTGTTGTATAAGTGATTCCAGTATTTGAACTCAGACATCAAAGGTCCTTTTAAAAAATCAAGAGGTGTTTTGGTCGTGAAAGATACTTTACTACTGAAAGTAATGATTTTTGTGTACTTCACAGGTCATAAAAGTCCTTTTCTGTAAAGGGCCAGAGAGTAACTATTTTAGGTCTTTCAGGGCATATTTAATTCTACTGTTGTAGCATGAACACAGCCACAGGCAATAAGTAAATAACATGGCTGTGTTCTAATAAAACTTTATTTACAAAAACAAGTGGGTCATGGTTTTGCCAACCACCAGTAATTAAATCTAGTAGCTGTTCTGCCAGGGACAAGCATCATGTATTTCACTTCATTTAACTTTTAAAGCAATGTAATGAAGAAGGTGTTCTTATCATCTACATATTTATATTTAAGAAAAAAAACTCACCTTCAGAAAAACGAAGTGATTTTAGCTGAAGTTTTAGTATGTTACTACAAAGCCCAAGCTTAAATTATTCAGTTATCTCTTCAGATGGTAAAATATTGTAACTTGGTAACTTATATCGAGTTAACTGATAACTTTAGACCAAGGAAACAGAGCTAGCCGAAGGAAGGAGGCAATGAAGCGGAGCATTTATGTGGAGAATGTCCTGTAGGCTGGAATTCCATGTGGTTAGTGTTATTATTGCCATTATTATTTGTGCAGTTGTCTATGTATTTTACTAAAATGAACTGATTAGCCTTACAATCAGTAAGCATAAAATCTTGATTAAAAATGAGCTTTTTCCAAATTTTTCTCCATCTATAAAATAGGCCAATATAAAGTAGATAAGTAGACTTCTTTGCGTCAGATGTAGGTCTAAGAGCTGAGAATAAAGTAGATTCTGAATAAGGTAGAATAGTTTGCTGTACTAAAAATGTTTCTATTCTAATGAAAAGAAAAGGGCAACAAAATTTACAAAAAATAATGTATACAATGTCTTGTGTTACATCCTATGAAGGAAAATAAGGCAGAGTCAGAGTGATGAGAGGAGGGGGAAATGACTGCTATTTCACATAGAATGATCAAGGAATTCCTATCTGAAAGGTAATACTATGGGGAAATCTGGAAGAAATGAGGTAGGAAAATCATACAGATATCTTCGTTAAGGGTATTCTAGGCAGAAGAAACAGCAAGGACATTCTGCATTGGAGGTGTCGTAGGAGAGTTCTCAGAAAAGCAAGGCAGCCAAATAATTCAGAACAGTGAACTGAGAGAGGATCCTAAGAGAGTCAGAGACAGCAGAATCAGGGCAGAGCATTTGAGTATGCTGTCAGCAACAAGTGATATGTTCTGATTTATGTTAAAGAGAAGGAAAGAAAGCATAGTATCTGTAATATGTTCTTTAAAAGATACTTCCTTGAAAGAAAGAGAAAAAGAAAAAAGAAAGAAAGAAAGAAGGAAGGAAGGAAGGAAGGAAGGAAGGAAGGAAGGAAGGAAGGAAGAAAGAAAAGAAAGAAAAAGAGAAAGAAAGAAAAGAAAGAAAAGAGAGAAAGAAAATAAAGGAAAGAAAGAAAGAAAAAGAAAGAAAGAGAAAGTGGGAGAGAGGAAAGTGGGAAAAAAAGAAGGAAGGAAGGCAGGAAGGAAAGCCGGCCAAGGAAAAAAGGGAGAGAATAAATGAAAGAAACATAATGTTGTGTAGAGAATAGATATGGTAGTGGGGACAAAGTAGAAGCAGGATAAAGAGAAATAATTAGAAGAATGTAGGTTTTGTTTATGGAAGGATCAGTGAAGAAGTGAGCATGAGTAGGGGAATTTTAATTTTGAGATACATGTTAAATATCCAAATAGGCATATAGAATATGCAGTTGGCCATGAATCTGGAACTGAGGATTCAGGGAGATGTGAGTATCTTTGCCATTTATAGCCATTAAATATGATGACATTACCAAAATGTGTAAATGCTAATGCAACAGGAAGTCCAAAGATTAAGCCTGGGGTGGAGCGTTGCTCATATTTGGTGATCAGTCTCCAGTTCCTTGGAGAAGAAACCAGCTGAGGAACTCTGAAAAATACAGGATTCAAATTATGACAGTGTAATTCCCTAAAAACCAAAGATATAAAAAATTTCAAAGAGGATAGCGTATTTAAATATTCACAATATCACTAAGACAAGTGAAATTGAAACTAAGAAATGACTACTAATTTGAGAAAATGGAGGTCAATGATAATTGGCAAAAGCAATTATTGTGGATATGGCAGGAGGAAAGCCTCCCTGGGTTTAAGAAAACATGAGAGAGGAAGCCAGGGCAGGAAATAAAAACTACAGTTTTTCTGTGAGGCATGCAAATATGAACATAAGGTAGTTGCTTTAAGGAGACTGGGAGTCAGGGAAGTATTTTTAAAAAGGAGATATTACAGATGCTATATGTAGACATGAGGGAGAAAGTAGATAGGGAGATGGTATGATGTAGGAAAGGGAGGGGTCCTTTCAGGAGTGGTTCCTTGAGTAGAGAAACTGGGAAGAAATGCAATGCAAGGATGAATGAGTTGTCCTTAGAAGCACAGTGAGTTGGTCCATTGTAATAAGAAGGAAGTCAGAGGAATGGGCCAGGCTGGTAGGTGTAATCATGGAAGTCTGTGCAAGTTCTCTTTACATTCCTTCTGTGTTCTCTATACGTTTAGTAGGATCAGCAATCGAAACTCAGAAGGAGACAGCATGTTTTGGAAGGTTAAGGAGATTGCAGATTTCAAATAATCTTGATACATAGGAAAATGAAAGACATGAAAATTAATTCATACCAAAGGGTGATGTTCCTCATGTAATTATGGTATAGAATTAGATATATTAGTATATATATGTATATATATTTTCCAATCACATGCAGCTGTTCCTATGAAGGTATTGACTGGGAGGGGAAGTTGAATTTTACCTAAGGTTGGGGACTCACTAGGCTGGTGAAGGAAAGAGGAGAATGTGGTTAAAGATTTATGCAAGTGATCGCTTTTAATGTTGAATTATGAGGCCAGGTAAGGTAGCAGTAAAGGAGTTAAAGGATATAGAGGATCATGAGAATATAGTTTGGGAATCTCGAATGGGTGTATACATTTGCGGGAAAAAATGACGTAGAGGGAGAAAAATGACAATATAAGAGGCAATAGTTAAAGAATGAAATCATTATAAAATCAAGGATGGAAAGGGGAAATTATTGCAATAAAATAATCTAGATGACGACTGTGATAATGGGTAGCCATTACCTTTATACTTCCGAATTCATTTTAAATTTCACAATCTCAATAGAATTTCAGACCTTACAAAACTGGTTGGGCAGCCTTTTCTTTTGACAGAGTGTTTTCTAAGAATTCTTCAAATTTCAGCATAAAAATGATTACATTTCCTGTTAATCAAGAGCTTCAGGGTTCAATAGGGCAGCCACTGGCAACACGTGGCTGTCTAAATTTAAATTTTAATGAATTAAAATGAAATAAAATTTAAAATTCACTTTCTCAGTCTTACTAATCACATTTGAAGTGCTTCAGAGCCACATGTGGCTGGTCACTGCTTGTACTGGACAGTGCAAATCTAAAACTTTTCCATCATCATCAAATGTTCTATGGAATAATGCCATTCTGGAGTTTTGCCTCTAACTATTTGACTGTCCAACATTTCTGGCACAGAATGGAAATTAAATTTTGTTTTGTAACCACCTGGTCAGTTTTGCTAGAGATAGGAATCATCTGACAACTACTATGGCACCACAACCGCCCAAATACCATATGTTTTATGGCATTTAGGAAATAGACAGCTCATTGCCATGGTTACTGTATCCCATAATATGAGCTATTGAGAAGCAATTCACAAGTAAAAGGCTAAACAAAAGACGTGTTTGATTAAAGCAGCCATTTCCTATATGTTATCCTTTGTCAAATATTCTAGTTATTTTGGGGTGTGGAAAGAGTTTGTGATGCAAGCCGTTAACCTTTATGATGGTAGTGTGCCGTCAGCCCTCAAATGAAGACCATGATGTGGCTCAAAATGGGGAGTAATATGCAGATAGGGAAAACCAATGATTCTTTTGAAACCATGAAGCTAGCAATTTACTTCCAGGCTTACACTTTTTTTTTTTTTTTTTGGAAGAGAACAGATGAACAAATAAGTAATCAGTTTCTCATAAGTGAAGGTGAGGTCAGCTAAACATCTGCTTTATTCTAGCCACATGGCATAATTTTCAGAGGAAATTGCTATGCTTATAACTAGAATGTTTGAAAGGCTTATTTTCCAGTTAAGTGGATGTTGTGTTCATTTGATGGAATTTTGTTTCCTATGGCGTATAAGTATACATACAAACATACACTACTCCACAAGGAAAGTGAAGGGCAGATCAAGGGAGAAAAAATAATATTTTGAACCTTAATCTGGGCCAGATCTGTGTGAGACAGTTAAATTATATCAGGTCACTGAATGGTCATGCTAATTCTTGGGTGTCTATTTTATTTTCATCTCAGTTTTGTAGATGAATGTACTTAGAAATACTAACATCAAGTAACCTGTCTCAGAATTGATAATAGTTGGAGGTTGATGTCTTCCTAACTCCAAGAAACTGTGATTATCTATAACAGAGATGCATATTTCTCATTGCATTTCCTGAATAAGTCAGTGAACACTGTGCAGGTTTCTTCATTCAGCCAGTTAGATAGAGAACCAACCATGTTATATATAATAGGGATTAACATATAGAGAGAATTTCCAGTCAGGGAAGAAGCAAAGGATCCTTGAATAGCTACTCTGAGTCATATGTCAAATTATGTACTTACAAAATTTTTTGTTTTTGTCAACCTCCCATTGAATTTGGTGAGGTTGATATTTTCAGCCAATATTTTGATAAATAAGATATTCACCTGTCAGACAAGTTTGGGTAACATACACACAGTTACCCCAAGTGAATACCTGCTACTTTATATAAAATGACTCTAGAATATACATCACCTCTATCAATGTCAACTTTTGTAACTGCTAAAAATTCTTTATGGTAACTGTTACGTGTTTTTTGGAAGAGACTTTTTTTCCTTTAATCAGCTAAAAGTTTGCTGACTTTGTTTTTCTTTTCAAATCAACAATTTTTAGATTTATTGATTGTGTCTATTTTCCTTTTCTCTATTTTATCCATTTTTAGTCTAAACTTTATTATTTTCTTTCTTCTAGTTACTTTGTATTTAATTTGCACTCACATTCTAGTGTCTTGAGGTAGAAGTTTAGGTTATTGGTTTGAGATCTCTCTTCTTCATTTTAATGTAGGCCTTTACAGCTATACATTTCCCTCTAGGAACTATTTTAGTTGCACTCTACACATTTTGGTATATGGTGTTTTCTTTTTCTTCATTATTTTCTCATTCCCTTTGTGATTTTTTTTGATCATTGATTACTCAGGAGTATGTAATTTAATTATCATATATTTGTGAATTTACACATTTTCTTTCTGTCATTAATTTCTAATTTTATTCCATTGTGGTCAGAACAGATATAAACTATTCCAAAAAACAGATGAGGCTTAAATATGCTCAGATATGTTCCATATGTTCCAGGCTTAAATATGTTCCAGACATAAACATATCTGGAACAGATATAAACTATTATATCTGGATATAATACAGATATAAACTATTATATCTGGAACAGATATAAACTATTATATCTGGAACAGATATAAACTATTATATCTGGAACAGATATAAACTATTATATCTGGAACAGATATAAACTATTCCAGAACAGATATAAACTATTCCAAAAAACAGATGAGGCTTAAATATGCTCCAACTCATTTTATAAAGCCAGCCTGACAATAATACAAAAAATATACAAAGATAGATATTACAAGAAAATACATCAAAAACCAATATTTTAAATAATACAAATGCAAATATCCTTCACAAAATACTAGTACACCAAATACAGCAACATATAAAAAGCATAATATACTATGACAAAATAAGAATTGTAGCAAGAATTCAAAGTTGAACATAAAAAAGCATAATATACTATGACAAAGTAAGAATTACAGCAAGAATTTAAAGTTGAAAAAGTCAAGCAGTATAATACACTATGTTAACAGAAAAAAAGACAAAGACAAAACAATTATCTAAATAGATGCAGAAACATTATTTTGCAAAATATAAAATATTCCCCAAATAAAAACACTCAACAAATTATGGATACAAAGGAAGGTCCTTGACCTGATGATTGTTGTCTGTAAAAATTTGACAGCTAACATTGTACTTAGTGATGGAAATCTAAGTGCTTTATTCTAAGATCAGGAACAAGACAAAGATGTCTGCTGAGGCCACTTTAATTCAAAAATGTACTGAAGGTGCTAGCCAGGGCATTTAGCCAAGAAACGGAAATAAAAGTCATTCAGATTAAAAAGGAAAAAAGTAAAACTGTCTATTTGTACATGAAATGAGCTTGTATGTAGGAAATCCTAAGACATCATCCTCTCCATATCCACACCTACAACACTATTAGAACTAATAAACAAGTTCAGCAAGTTTGTAGGATGCAAGTTCAATATAAAACATCATGTGTTTCTATACACTAAAAATGAATAATTAGAATATGAAATAAAGAAATGAGTTTAGTTTACAATAACATAAAACAATAAAATATTTATGAATATTTACAAACAATGTAAGACTCATACACTAAAACTTGCAAAATATTGCAAAATATTGGTGAAAGAAATTAAAGAAGACTCACATACGTGAAAATACATTTCATGTTCATGGATTAGAAGACATAATATTATTAATATGGCAATACTCCAGTAATTCAGATATCTCTAAAGTAAAAGCAATCCGAATCAAAATCTCAGCTGCTTCTTTGCAGAAATTGACAGGCTGATCCCCAAATTCATACAGAAATGCAAGGAACCCAGAATAGCCAAAACAATGTCAAAAAAATAACTAAGAAGAATAATAATCCCCAATTTCAAATCTTACTAAAAGCTATAGAAATAAAAACCACATGGCACCGGCATAGGCTAGATATAAATCTATAAAACAGAATAGAGCCCCTTATAATTATGGTCAATTGATTTCTGGCAAAGGTGCAAAGACCATTTAATGGAGAAAGAATAGTGTTGTTTTTTCTTTATTCTGATTTCTTTTTTCCATCAAATAGTGCTGGGACTCCTGGCTGAAAAGAAAAAGAGAGAAAGAAAGAAAAGGAAAAAAAGAAAAAAAGAAAGAAGTGAAATGTCTACCTCATACTAATTGCAAAATAAACTTGAAATGGATTATTAAACTAAATATAAAGCTAAAACTATAAAACTCTTTAAAGAAAACATAGGAGCAAATATTTTGACATTAAATTTGGCAATGTTTTCTTAGGACACCAAAAGCACAAGAAAAAAAGAAAATTAAGTAAAATGGACTTCATCAAAACTAAGAATTTTAGGGTTCAAAGGACATTGCCAAAAAGTTAAAATACAATCCACAGAATAGTAGAAACTACTTGCAAATCATTTATCTGATAATTGTCTGGTATCCCGAATATATAAAGAACTGCTACAACTTCCAAATGAAAAATTAACCAATTAAAAATGGGCAAAGCATTTGAAGATACACTTATCCCAAAAAGATGTAAACATGAGCACATTAAAAGTCCTTCAATATCATTAGTCATTAGGAATATTCAAATTGAAACCACAAGGAGATATCACTTCCCACTCACAGCATACCTATTAGAAACCTCATACATTCCTGGTGGGGATGTAAAATGATGTAAGTTGCTTTGATAAAGTTTTGCATCTCTTCTAAAAGTTACAATTAGAGTTACAAGGAGATTCAGATATTTCAGTACTAGCTATATAGTGAAGAAAATTGAAGACATATGTCCACTAAATAACTTGTACATGAATGTTCACAGCAACATTATTCACAATGGCCAAAAAGTGAAAAAAAAACCTCAAATGCCTATCAACTGATTAATAGATAAGCAAAATGTTGCATATCCATGCAATGGAATATTATTTGGCCATAAAAAGCAATGAAGTACTAACACATGCTACAACAGGTATAAACATTGAAATATTATAGTAAGTGAAAGAAGTCAGATAGAAAAGACCACTTTACTGTAGGAACCCAATTATATTCAATATCTAGTCTAGATAAATTTAAAATACCACTACTTAGAATAGTTGTTACCAAAGGCTGTGGCAAAGGAGGAATGAGAACTGACTACTAAAAGATACAGTGTTTCTTTTTGGAGTGATGAAAATATTCCAAAATTAGATTGTGAAGAAGGTTATACAACTCTCTGATATATTAATTACCACTGAACTAATATATTAAAAATGTAAACATTATTTTATGTGAACTATATATTAATGCATCTACTTGAATCAGCCCATACTTTTTAGTCAAGGGAGAATTTCTAGGCAGATCTCCTCTAGACACTTCTGTAAGAATCGTTCAGAATACTCAATTGTGTAACCTTCCTTTAACACTCAGCGGTGATACTCTCATCTTTGTAAGACCTCCATTTAGATTTTTACTGCACTTATCAAAGTGTAAATCCATTAATTGTTCATATGTTCTTTGACCTTCCCGCAGACCAGGGATGTCATATCTCATATATTGTTTCTACTCCAGGATCCAGATTTTGTGTGTTGAATAAATGAATGAAGCTAAGAACTACAGGAAGGCACAGGTGAAACCCAAGAAGAACTACTTAACAGGATAAATAATGAGAAACTTCTAATACTCGTAATATATGTAGACAGAAAGGGAAACATGATAAATCCTAGTGAGGTTGACTATTGAATGTTCCGATGAAGAATAATAAATAAAATCCAAATGTAAAAGACCTCGAGGGAAAAAATCTGAGGAAAAGATAAGAAAATCACAGAAAGGGAAATATTTTGGGCTTTTGCATCTGAAAAACTGCCCCTTCACTAGGGCATAGTAATGCCCCATCAGGACAATTTATTCTGTTACCAGAAGAGCTTGGTATCTTCTGCTCAGTGTGACCTATTGAAATTGCAGGATTTCAGTAACTGCTCATTGAGAGCGACCCATCATTTTCAACCCAGCTGCTCCACCCTTACTAGCAAAGTGAGTAACAAACTGTAAAAGAAAAAAATGGCTCACTTATGCAATGAGATACTTTTTCCCAAATATTCTCTGAGACTACATTTTTTTTTCTTTTTCTTTCATTCTATTTTTTGGTGAATCGGCCCGGCCCTTGTATCACTCATTGGAAGTGAGATGCAAATATGTCAACAAGTATTTTCAGGATTTCTGGAAGTAGTCAACATGATGCAGGAGAAATGGCTTGCTTCTTTAGTTCCAAAGTCATGCAAAAGAGCTGATAAGCTTAATTTCATAAAAACAAAGAGAAGAAGGAAAGATAATTGTGCAAAACTCATTTTTTGTTATAAGAATTAAGGGAAGTTAATGTGTATAAAGAGTTCCACCATTAAGCTCTATTCCATAGTATGTTGCAGATTATACAGTCCTAGTGATAGCTTGTGAGACGAAATTGAGAAATCATGTATGCCATCAGAACTTTATTTTAAATCCAAATAACATGTTTCTAAACATTTAAAACTCACAGGATGGTAGAGTACCTGAAGAAAACTTTGCTAAGTCTTAAAGTCATTGTCCAAAATTTCCTTTAAGACATAGGGTGGGGCTTTGGATCCTGAAGGTGGAAGACATTCCAGCACTCTCATGGTCTCATAGTAACCTGACTTCGAGCTGGAAAAGCCTAAGATTTCATCAGATGCTTTGCATGAAGAATAATAGGAAACCACCAGCCTCTCACCTGCCCTTTATCATGCTCAAAGATGACTATATCCCCTCATGCCCTAAGCTACGTTACCAAAGCCCCTCTTTTACTATTTCAAGGGGTGTTAAGGAGTCATCTAACCTAGATATACGCAATAAGGTGATGCATTTTCTGTAGATAAATACAAATAACAATTAAACTAAAAATTAATCTGCCTTATATTATTGTTCTGAGCCAGCAATGCTAAACAATACTGGTAATAAACTATTATTTCCTGCTAGGACAGACCTCTCCCAATCCCTACCCCCCACCACATACCACTATTGAAGAGTGCATAGAACTTTCTCAGAAAAAAAATACATGATTCCATCAAGGGAGGGATTGCATCTAATTTGTTCAAAGACAGCTGTTTGCTTCCCAGGATGTTGCACAATAGCTCCCACATAGTAGGTGTCCAAAAATATTTATTAAATTAAATGTTTACCTTACATGTGAGCACATTGTAAATACAGGGAACATAATATACAAAAGAATTAAGGTGAAATGGCATAATATGTTCAGAGAACTATACAAATTTATAATTCCTGATGCATAAAATACAAAGAGGAGCCAAGGCATGAGACGATTATGAATGATGAGCAGTATGAATTGGGCTTGCCAAAACAGTAACATAAAAAGGCAGTAAAGAGTGAAAAAAATAAAGTGTCTCCAATTGAGAGGAGACATACTTATTCAATTATTCAAACATAATTTGAGCACTTTCTTTGCAATAGACATTTTTTTTCTAGGCCCAGGAGAAGTAAGATTTATAGGATATTGTTTCCAAGTAATTCACAATCTAGAAGGATAAATAGAAGGCATTAATAGCAAAAATATAAAGAGTGTCTTTTCAGAGCCTTTTATATACTACATGATTTCCAAATGTTAGAAAGTATCCCAATAAGGCAAGTGTTATCATTGTTAGCCTTTTATAAATGAGATCAGAGAGACTCAAGTTCACACAGTTTTAGATGGGGCAGCTGGGTTGTTGGGTCATTCCTCTCTGTGTCCACTGGCAAATAGAAAAAGAACCAAAAGTACGTCTATCTCACCACTGCACTCCAGCCAGGTGACAAAGTGAGACCCTATCTCTAAAAAAAATTAGATAAATAAATAAAATGTATTCCCAGAGATTCAAGTAGATTCACTCCTTTATCAAACAAACTGCCTTTTAAAAACAAACAAAAAAAAGCCTTAAAAGCAATTAATTTATCCAAGTCTCCAGTACTTAATATATAAACTACACATATATGTGTATGCACAGTATATGCATATAAGTGAGTATATATTATATGCATATATGCGTGTTTATATAATACATATATAATACACATTCACATACACACATGTAGATGACAGCCTGCTTAGTTTCTGCAATTTCCCAGTGAAACGTAAACTGAACAGAATAACAAGAAAAAAGATTATATATATTAGCTTATGTCAACTATTCAAAAATGCCATATATTTAAGAGGGCTTCTTAGTATTTACATGCAATTCAAAGTTAGTGTAAATGCTCAGAGAAACTTAAGCACTCATTCATCTTTTCAAGAGGGTTATATAGAACACATTAGTGAATTATGTTCAAATATTCAAAATTCGGTAGTGTTTGAGTCACAGTGAGGAGGATTGGAGGTTATTTGAGTATACTCCCAAGGTACTTTCTTTGTTCTTACTGGTATTTGATGTTTTGTTCTCAGGGGTGTCACAGAAAGAAAGAGCTGTCTTAAAAGGCTCAACAGAAGCAGGCCTGTTTTACGTTAAAGGGCCAAGTCAGCTTTGCACTTGAATTGCTGTCTGTGTTCTATCCTGGGGCATTGGGGAAGAGATGTGTTTCAGGGCACTCTTATGTTCTCTGTGCAGCGGTCACAGGCAACTTTCAAATCAGAAATGCAGGGCTTCAGCCATCTCAAAGTAAGTTTGACCAATCTTTACATATTAGTAGATAAAATAGATTATACTTTCAATAGATTATCAAAGGGTTATTATACCATTTAGTAAATTTGAACCCAATAATTTTGGAAACTCACTCAATTCTCTCTGCTTCTACTCTATATTGGAGCTCAGTCATCACTAAGAAAAACTGGATACCAAAAATAATTATTTATTTTCTACTGATGTGTTCTTCTGCTCTATAAGCCCAGTTTTAAACGGACTATATGCTCCCTGATTTAAATAATGTCCATGAGTATATGTCCATTCATGATAAAGAACATATTAGCAAAACTTTAAACTATTAGATAAGTCATATTTATTATTTTAGAGAATGTCAATAAAACATATAGACACATATTTTCATCTTGAACAGTAAGATACTGAAACTTGGACAATGTCTAGTTTCTCAGGGTTATAAGTGAGTGCCCCATATTTCCTAAGCATGACCAGACTTTGGGATCCTCAGTGCTTATCCATAAAAGCCCCTTTTGAGATAACAGTAACAAAACCATCATCTATGTATAATATGTATCACACTCATACATACATTCTCACATATCTTAATTATGCCTCTGTTGTTGCTGCTGTTACTTTGATCAAAATTGAGTCTAAACTGGTTTGGATAACCACATGCACACACACACACACACACACACACACACACACACACACACACACACACACATATAGACACAGTCACTTAAAAATTACAAAATTAAAAATAAGAAAAAGAAAGTTGAAATTATTAGCTCAATAAGCCAACTCTGAGGAAGGTGGAAGTTTCATTCATGGGTAGAGTTTTACGGTGTCTTTCTCATTCTGTTCACTCAGATTTTTATCCTGTAAGATGGGCTTTGCCGTGGACATGCATATTCCTGATCAAGGACATCTTCTGGTGTCATATATCCTCAGCTGTGTCACACAAAGAAAAGAACTTTCTGTTTAACATTTCTACTTTGAAAAATTGCAGAGTAGGTTTTTGATTGGTTTATCATGAGTCATGTGCCCTTCTCTTGACCAATCACTGAAACTAGGTTGGTAAGAACTTACAACAGGATGCCAAGTTTTAGAAAAGGAGGGTGAGTTTTCCAAAAGAGGAGAGGTAAGTGAAGACATGACCAATGGCATAAAAGTTCCTCACCAGGAACTATCTTAGTTTGGGGATTCTAGTCCAGGAAATGAATTTCACAGAATAGCTGTTTTGGCCTGTTTGTTTCCTCCAGGAATAATTTAAAAATTGAATCCACTGGTCTTGCAATTTCCTCTTTCCTCTTTAAATGTGAGGCAGGTGGCAGGTACTTTCCAAGGAGGGAAGATTGTACAGCTCTTATTCACAGTTGCATGGGGGATCAGGTTCAAAAGCCTTAAGTGGGGCCTAGAACTGAAACTACTTTCAGGCATAAAAACCACATTTCTGCACAGAATTGCCATTCTTATAATGTGGTAATGATTCATAAAACAAAGCAAAACAAACACAAATACTGGTACCTGTGAAGCCATCAGGTCAACTAAGTCTGATGATTATCCAAAGCAAACCAAATTAAATAGATCTGGCTCAAACATTTTCAGCATAAGATCTGATGAAGGAAAATAAGTAGGAATAAGGCTACTGAGTAATTCCAGAGACAGCAACAAGTCAGTTGCTTCTAATTCATAATTTATATCCAATCTCATTGATAGTGGATGCCTGGGGGTAAAAAGGCAATTTGTGTTCTAAGTGGCTAAAGTAATGGTATAACCTACAGAGAATAGGATGATGACTACTGACTTATCAGAATACACATATAATCAATATTTGCAAATTTGAAAAATACATAAGTCAGTTGAGGGAAAGACAGAGATTTTTTGTGGAAGTTCAGATTCTCCATAACTCCAGGCTGTAGATGCTCAACTCATTTTCTCTAGTTCCTCAATTGTTTTCTCTCTGTGTCCTAAGACGTATATTTGTCACCTTGGGTCATTCTAAAATGTTCCACTTGCTTCTATAACTTTCCAGTGACACGAGAAGAGAAAAGCTCTTTCTTCTGAGTAACATCAGCCTTAGTTTCGTCTACTTGTTACAGTGTTTCATGATATTCCCTACTTTAACAATTTGTCCTTGAGTGGTCAATAACTCAGCACCCAGTTCTTACAGGGACTATTTTTCTCATAAAATACCTGAGACCCCCTTTTCTACATCAATTGCCAGTCCTGGCACCTGTAAGCACAGGCTAAAATCTTCTGTGACCTGGTGGGGCTTTGCTTGCTTTTATTATTTCCTTAGGTAGCAGAGACTAGCAGGTTGTATTGCAAACTTTTTACCTTTTGTTCTTGGGCACACAGTTAGTCTGCTTCTGCCAGTCTCCCTTGCAGTAAAGTTTAGGCACTGGGCAAGTTCTGGCCCATAAAATGTGAGTTGGAATATTGTGACCCACTTCCAGAACTGTCCTTTTAAAACCTCCCATAAACCTATGCAAGAGCCTCTCCTTCCTAAGCCAATAACTGAATGGAAAGTCCACTGAGGGTCTGCTCAGAGGGAGGTAAAGCCGCACCTGGAATAAGTACTGGTCTTAAAGTGACCAAAAAGATGTCTACCTGGTTAGAAGCATCCACCTGATACTGTGAAGAGAGAATAAAATAACCTTATTTTATTTTCTTAAGTTACGAATGTTTGGAACTTCATCTGTTACAGAAGCAACTGTTTTTTTCACTAGCAAATTTTTCCTCTGTCTTTAGTCAACATCACCTAGGAAGAGTTGTTCTTTCTCTCTGGTGCTTGATAAATTATCGATTACCTCTCCAGCTCTTCAAATTCTCATTAGTCCAATGTCAGGACTTACACTGGTCAGAACATGGTACCTTCTGAAGGATAGAGAACTTCATTCTTTAATACGTGTCATGGAACTTATAAAGCAAAGCACACAGCATACAATATAAATGTGTTTATTGATCCAGAAATCCACAAGAGAAGTGGAGGGGACTTTCCTTCTTCTCCAGCCAAGAGAGGTCCATGGATGAAGTAAATAAAAACAGATGTGACACATCTGCATGTTATCTGAATATCATTCAAGAATCATATTAGTATTTGTAGATGTGTTTTAGATACCATAATTAATTACAGCCAGAAGGAAACCCATTTTAAAATGTCACTTCATCTTGTTTCATTTAATTTCACTATATTTTATTTTATTACATATATGCTTCAATAGTTCCTTGATAAGTAAAGTTTTATAATATGGATGTGCTAGATCATTTGATTATTCACCCGATGTAGGACATTTTGATAGTTGCAAAATGTTTACTGTTACAAGTTAAGCTTCTTCGAACAGACATATAAACATGTTACATGGAGATATGTTTTATTTATCTTGGATAACTGTCAATGAGTACAATTGTAGGGTCACATGAGTTGCCATGACCAAAATCAAGGTAATGGATATATTCATAACCTCCAAAAGTCTCCCTGTGTCCTTTTGTTTGTGTATGTGTGTGTTTACAGTACGAACAAATCACATGAAATCTACCCACTTAACACATTTTTAGATGTACAATACTGTATTGTTAACAATACACACTATGTGGTATTGTAGACCCCTGAAACTTACTCATTTTGTATAACTGTAATTTTTTACCCATTGAAGGACAACGTTCCATATCCCTCTCCCTTCAGCCCTTGGTAACCACCGTTCTATTTTCTACTTTTATACATTTCACTATTTTAGATACCTTATATGAGAGAAATCAGGCAGTATTTATCCTTCTGTGACAGAAGTATTTAATTTAGCGTAATGTATTACAAGACCACCCATGTTGTTTTTAAGGCTGAGTGATATCTCATTGTGTGTATGTACCATTTTTTCTCTATCCTTTCATCTGTTGATTGACACTTGGGCTGTATTTGTAAATGAGTTATTGTGAGTAATGCTGCAATGACATGAAACTGTAGAGGTCTTCAAGGTTCTGATTTTAATTATTTTTCATATATACCCCAAAGTGGAATGTCTGGATCTGACAGTAGTTCTATTTTTAATATTTTGAGGAACATCTATAATGTTTTCCATGGCAGCTGCACCATTTTTTATTTCCACTAATGGTGTGCAAGAGTTCCAATTTCTGCACAATCTGTCAACACTTGTTATCATTGTTTTCGTTTTGATAGCAGCCATTCTAACAGGTATAAGTTGATATCACATTGTGGTTTTGAGTTGCATTTCTTTAATGATTAGCACTTTTGAACATATTTTATGACATAGCTCTTAGCCATTTTATGTATTTTTTAAGAAACATCTATTCAAGTTCTTTGTCTTTTTAAAAATCAGGTTATTTGGGCTTTTTTGATATTGAGTTGTAAAATAAGGAACTCTATCCTAAGAAATTAGGCAGGAAAAAATAAACACAAGGCATCCAAATTAGAGAGAAAGAAGAAAAATTATCTGTTTGCAGATGATATGATCTTATATAGAGAAAACCCTTAAAATTCTACCAAAAATGTGTTAGAGCTATTAAACACTTTCAGTAAAGTTGCAGGATACAAAAGCAACACACAAAAAATCAGTTGCATTTATATACACCAACAATAATCTATAAGAAAAGGAAATTAAGAAGCAATCCATTCACAATAGCATCAGAAAGAATAAAATACTTAGAAATAAATCTAACCAAAGAGATGAAAGATATACACTGAAAATTATAAAAGACTGATTAAAAAATAAGGCAGACAGAAAATAACGGAAAAACTTCATGTGTTTGTTTACAGGAATAATTAATATTGTTAAAATGTTCATACTACCCAAAGTCATCTACAGAGTCAATGCAATCACTATCCAAATCTCAAAGGTATGTTTTATAGGAATACAAAAAAAATTCTAAAATTTATATGGAACCACAAATGACCTCAAATAGCCTAAGCAATTTTGAGCAGGAAGAAAAAAGCTGGAAACATCATACTGCCTGATTTTAAAATATATTATGAGTCTACAATCATTAAAAACAATATGGTATTGGCATATAAAAGGCATATGAACACATGCTCCAGAATAGAAAGCCCATAAATAAATCCATACATATACAGTCAACCGATTTTAAACAAGACTGCCAAGAATACACAATAGAGAAAACATAGTCCCTTCAACAAACGATGTTGGAGAAGCTGGATACCCACATCGAAAAGAATGAAATTGAACCCTCTTTTTACAGTACACCATGCACAAAAATCAACTGAAAATTGGTTACAGTTAAATATAAGATACGAAGCTGTAAATCTCAGAAGGCAAAGTGGGGAAAGTTTTTAGAATTTTTTTTTTTTTTTGCCAATGACCCCTTGAATATGACATCAAAAGCACATGCAACAAAAGGAAAAATAGAGAATCAGGACTACATAAAACCAGAAACCTTCTGCGTCACAAAATAAACAATCAACAGAGTGAAAAGACAACCTATGGAACGGGAGAAATATTTGTACGTCATTGTATTAGTTCTCTTCCACATTAATATAAAGAAATTCCTGAGACTGGGTAATTTGTAAAGAAAAGAGGCTTAATTGGCTCACAGTTGTGCAGGTTGTACAGGAAGCATGATACTGGCATCTGCTCAGCTTCTGAGGAGGCCTTAGGAACCTTATAATCATGGTGGAAGGCAGAGGGGAAGCAGGCACCCCGCCTGGCAAAAAGAGGAGCAAGAGAGTGAAGGGGGAGGCGCTACACACTTTAAAATGACTACATCTCAGGAGAAGTCACTCAGTTTCACGAGGACAGTATCAAGAGGGGTGGTGCCAAATTATTCATGAGAAAGCACCTCATGATCCAATCACCTCCCACCAGGCTCCGCGTCCAACGCTGGAGATTACATTTCAAAATAAGATTTGGGTGGGGACACAGATCCAAATTATAGTAGTCATATATATTATGAGGAGTTGTTTCCAAAATAAATAAGGGAGCTAGTTCTACTGATTAGATAAACGACACTCTTAGACCTGCCTCCTCTTTTTCTTTAATAGACTATTTTTTAGAGCAGTTTTGGGTTCACAGTAACATTGAGCAGAAGACACAGATTTCTCCTATTTCTGGCTGCCACATATGCATAACATCCTCCAATATCCCTCACCAGTATGCAACATGTAATATAGTGGATCAACCTATTTTTACAAATTATTTAAAAATAATATTTTTAAAGCCCAAAGTTTACATTAAGCTTCACTCTTGGTATTGTACATTCTGTGGATTTTTACAAATGTATAATTTGGACACATCTACCATTACCATGTAATACAGAATAGTTTCGCTGCTTTAAAAATCCTCTGTGCTATGCCAGTTCATCCCTCCTTCCCTCCTAACCTCTGTCAACTACTGATTAATCCCTTCTTCTCTCCTAACCTCTGCATAGTTTTGCCTTTCCCAGAATATCGTATCATTGGAATCATACAGTATGCAGTCTTTCAGTTTGGTCTTTTTCACTTAGTAAAGATATTTAAGTTTCCTCTATTTCTTTTTACAGCATAATAGCTCATTTCTTTTTAGTCCTGAATAATATTTCACTGTCTGTATGTACCACAGTTTATTTATCCATTTAGTAACTGCAGGACATCTTTGTTGCTTCCACATTTTGGCAATTATGAATAAGGCTGATATATACCTTCATTTTCAGGTTTTAATGTATTCAACTCATTTGGATAAATACCAAGGAGCACAGCCTCTTCTTTTTTATTATTGAGCAATCTCAAATGCATCTCTGTTTTTAGTGGTGATTGTAGCTGGGCAGGTGTTTTTGTTTTTGTTTTTGTTTTCTTTTAACCAGCTGACAATGAGAAAGTGAGGTTTCAAAGAATTTCCAGTTAGCACTTTTCTTCTACTTCAAGAGCAGCATCTCCCAAAGGAGGGTCATGAGGGGATTAAAGAAGTCAGATATGCTGCCTCAAGTCTGGCACACTTATTCCTATACATAGGATCATAAAAGCAAAACTTTTTGGCCAGGATTCTGTATAACCTCATGAAGATATTCCTTCAGCAGAGTCTGACTTCTAATCACCTCTTAAATTCTTCATTTTCCTTGATTTCTTCTTCTCCTTGGTCCCTGAGCTGACCTTGGTCCCTGAGCTGAGGCTCTGGATTTTTGTTGTTGTTGTTTGATTAGTTGATTTGGTTTGGTTTGGTTCTAAAATCTCCATCCTCTAGTATAAATCAGATATTGACTCACTTAAGAGTTCTGTTGCTGAGGAATGTATATAGTAGGAGATTTGGTTCAGGATTATGGAAGATTAAAAGAGGCCAAGAGCTGGTCTCAGTCATGGGTTACATCTTATTCTTTCTTTCTTGTTAATACAGATAACAACAGCAACATGAACAGATAACTTGAAGAGGAGTGTTACTATTTTCCCAATGATTGCTAATGCTTTACCATAGTATTGAGAGTAGAGCGGTCTCCTTTCCAAGCATGAATTGCGTTATGAAGGTAGTTTCAAACCTCTTCTTTATTCTTGGAATGATTTTTTCCTTTTCTTCACTGCAGCATGTGACAGGAAAGTCTATCCCATCACAATTTATACAAAAATGCTTAGAATGAGCTGCTATTTTATATTTGACATCACAATTGGTATTGAAATTTGTGATGGTTAATACTGAGTGTCAACTTGATTGGATTGAAGGATGCAAAGTATTGATCCTGGTGTGTCTGTGAGGGTGTTGCCAAAGGAGATTAACATTTGAGCCATAGGCTGGGAAAGGCAGACCCACCCTAAGTCTGGGTGGGCACCATCTAATCAGCTGCCAGCATGGCTAGAATATAAAGCAGGAAGAAAATCGTGGAAAGACTAGACTGGCCTAGCCCCCCAGCGTACATCTTTCTCCCTTGCTGGATGCTTCCTGCCCTCAAGCAAGAGACTCCCAGTTCTTCAGTTTTGGGACTGAGACTGGCTGTCCTTGCTCCTCAGCTTGCCGACAGCCTATTGAGGGACATTGTAATTGTGTGAGTTAATACTTAACAAGCTCCCCTTTCATATATATATATATATATATATATACACACACACACACACACACACACACACACACACATACACTTTCCTGAAAGTATACACACACATATACACATATGTGTGTGTATATATACATATATACATACATATACATTATATATTAATACATATATGATATATATTATATATAAATACATATATATTATATATTACATGTACACATATATATGCACATATATATAAATATATATACACACACATACATATATATGTACGCCCCTTTAGCTCCAGTGTGTATACATATATACACACATATATATGTGTGTGTGTGTATTATATATATATGTGTGTGTGTGTGTGTGTATATATATATATATATATATATATATATATATATATATATATATAAATTAGTTCCATCCCTCTAAAGAACCCTGACTGATACCAATTTAATTTAGTCTAAAAGTGTTGCTCTCATATAACATAAGGCAATTCAGCCACCTCAGGTATTAAAACAGTCAGTTCTTATTCATGAAAAACAGCATCCTGAAAAGAAATTATGCAGAAAGAGGGATGACAAGTTCCATGTTCCCATCCTTTCCTCTATTGGGACCCTCACCAAATATGTTCCCTTTGACAATGAGCGGCTTCAGTGCTGTGCTCTTTTGTATTTATCTGCCTTTGCTGGAGCTGCTTTCTCTACCAGGAAAACCATCTCCAGCCCTCCCATTCTCTGCCTAACTGTTAATACCTTGTCATTGTTTATGGATCAGCATTTGAACAATGTCCTGTGAGTAGAGTTTCCTGGTGATCTCCATACTCCCCGTACCTTCCTGGAATTCACTTCTGTTCCCCAGGCCACAACTCCAGGGATAAACAGTCACATAAAATCCTCCAACTGGAGTCTCTGGGAGATGGCCTGCTCTCTACTTTGTATCTCTTAAGAGCCTTTGTATCTCTCTTCATGCCTATTTCACTGTGAAGATCTGAAGGCCATGGTCTATAACAAGAAATGAAGTGTTCAGCAGTTTGTGGTAAAACAAACAAAAAAAAGTGAAAAACTGTGATTTTAAAAATAAAGTCCTACATAGGAAACGGAAAAGATGTAATGACAAACATGCCAAAAATGATTGCAACAAAAGCAAAAATTAACAAATGGGATCTAATTAATCTTAAGAGCTTCTGCACAGCAAAATAAACTATCAACAGCATAAACAGACAACCTACAAAATGAGAGAAAATTTTTACAAACTATGCATCTAGCAAAGGTCTAATATCCACATCTGTAAGGAACTTAAACAGATTTACAAGAAAAAAAACAAACAACCCCATTAAAAAGTGGGCAAAGGACATGAACAGAGAGTTTTCAAATGAAGACATACATGCGGCCAACAAGCATATGAAAAAAAGCTCAGTATCACTGATCATTGGAGAAACGCAAATCAAAACCACAATAAAATATTATCTCACACCAGTCAGAATAGCTATTACTAAGAAGTCAAAAAATAACATGCTGGCGAAGTTGCGGAGAGAAGGGAATGCTTATACACTGTTAGTAAGAGTGTAAGTAAGTTCAATCATTGTGGAAAGCAGTGTGCCAATTCCTCAAAAACCTCAAAACAGAAGTACAATTTGACCCAGCAATCCCATTACTTGATATATACCCAAAGGAATATAAATCATTCTACCATAAAGACACATGCACATGAGCATTCATTGCAGCTCAAGTCACAATAGCAAAGACATGGAATCAACCTAAATGTCCATCAATGACATATTGGATAAACAGAATATGGTACATATACACCGTGGATATTATTCAGCCATAAAGAAGAATAAGACCACGTCTTTTTGGGAACACAGATGGAGCTAATGGTCATTATCTTTAGTAAACTAATGCAGGTACAGAAAACCAAATACTGTGTGTTCTCACTTATAAGTGGGAGCTAAATGATGAGAATACATGGACACAAACATGGGAATGATAGGCACTGGGGCCTACTTGTGGGTGGGGGTTAAGAGGAGGGAGAGGATCAGAAAAAAATACCTACTGAATACTAGGCTTAGTACCTGGATGATGAAATAATATGCACAACAAATCCCCGTGACATTCGTTTACCTATATAACAAAGCTGCACATGTACCCCTGCTAAAATCAAGAACAAAAGGTAACATTAATGACAAAATAAATACTCAAAATATGAAGTTAAGATTTAAAAAGAGCAGGCTACAAAGCTATAGCTATGGGGTGATACAAATTATGTACCTGTGTAGGTATATAGATGTAAGTATAGGTACTAACGTATGTACTAATACACACACACACACACACACATTCATTCACATTTTCCCACACTGTGACTAAAAGCACATATTTGAGAACACCCTTTGTCAATAATCATAATACATCTATTTTTCATCTTTGTCAACTAGATAGGCAAAATATGTTATTTTAATGTAGATTTCAGCTATTAATAAATATTATTTGGCAAAAAGAAAATAAGATAAATATATCAATTTAAGAATCTGACTTAATCTGAAAGTATGTTTTATATATTCAGTGTTAATTTTTCCCCTAGGTTATAAAAATGCATTTGTAATTAGTTATCTTAATGTCTGGCAAAATCAAAAGCTGGCAACCAAATTTGAGTTTTCAAGTAAAATCAATATACTGCTCTATAAAATCCACAAATCTGCTATAGCATCTGTCCACGTTTATTACAAATGCTTCTTTATATCCATGGGTACTTCTGCAGATGCTGGATTTGGGAACAGTAGAGATGGTGCCTTATTCATCTGGAAACCAGGACCTGATACAGCAGATGCTTAATGAATATTCTCTGCAGAATGGTTGGAATTTGGAAAGATAACGAAAAGGTAAGTAAAGTGGTAGAAATGTTTACTTTAGTCTTCTCTTCTTCTGGGCACAATTTACAGAAATATAAAAAGGTCCTCTCTTCAAACAATGTGGTACTTGAACAACTCAGTATTTGTAAGAAGTATTTTCAGTCTCTCCGATATGCCTGTTTCTATCTATCTATATGAGTATAGGTATATGAAAAAGAAAGAGTCTATTCTATAAACTAAAACTGATTATGATTATACATGTGATCATGAAAGAGTATCCTGTGTGCCTAGAAATATACAAATAATGTAATAATAATGCTAGCATTCATTCATATGATATTTATGAAATTCCCTAAGAGTTTCACAGCCTCATTTGATTTTCAGAAAACTCAGGGAATTGCGAAATTTGCTTCCAGGTGGAAGAATCAGAGAGCTTCATTTACTAAATCAGGGAGTGAAAACTTAGAGCAATACTTCCTATCCTCGAACCTGGTGAAATGATGTTTTTGTTTGTTGTTTTGGTTTGCTTTGGCTTTTTATCCCCGGTAGCAGTTGTGTACCAAGCAGAGATGGAATGAGAGAGAAGCAGTCTTCCTGCCTCCTATCCTATTCTCAACTACTCACGGCTTCATTCCACTGTATGGAGAGGAAGATTTTATCACTGATATTATTTACATTTGTCAATGTAGGTGATAATAAAAAGAAAATGGACATTAGTGAGTTTTGTTACATTGTTGTTGCTTTGAAATTCTCTATGTATAAAGCATCATCCCTCTTTTTCCTGTGCTCTGGGGGGCTCTCCCTGCCTCATCATTGGTGCACCCATTTGTATTAGGCAAAGCCAACAGTTAAGGCAAGCAACTCCCAAATTGCAAATGATTTCTTGCACAATAACTGTTTTTGGCAACATTACAGTGTCATATAGGTCGTCAAGACCTCTGTTTCATGTAGTATTTCAGGAACCCAAGTTTATTCTGTGGCTCTGCACCGTTAGCTCCTATTCTCTCTATTCAGCTTATGGATAATGAAAGACAAGTCATGAAGGATTGTTCAGAAGACCTTGAGGGTCAGGATTGTGACTGGCTTCTATCATTTCTGTGCAGGAAAATGGGCATACATCACTGCAAAGGAGGCTTGGAAATAACGAAATTATCTGTATACTGGGGGTGTGGGGAGCATTTTGGTGAGCACATTGCAATGTTGTATTCCATCCTATTTCCATACTTTGTTCACTCTTGGATGAGGCTGATGAATAGACAGTTAACTGGTCATGGTGGATGCCTGTTAATCATACATTTGGTGTAAAAATTTGGAAGTCATTATTGAAATAGAAGCACTACATTTTTGGCAATCAAACTTTTCCAGTGCTAACTCACTTGAATTCTCATAATCATAAACATTTATTTTTTGAGCATTTTAAGTGTGCAAATAATTTTTACACGAATTTTCTTATTCTAGCTCAGCCATTACTTTGTGGATTGTCAAGATCTATTTCTCTCCTCCATTTTATACATAAGCATAACACTCAGGAGGTTAATGGTGTATACTCCTCATCTAGTAAGTAAAAAGTGCCCTGTAAACAGTGTTGTCTAAGAAAAAGTGTGTTAGACACTCTTAGTTGCACAACCAATAATCATTCACCAAGTTTCTTTATGGAGATTGTTCTCATTTCATTCAGGTTTGCAGCAGATGGTAGTTATATGACACAACTCAGGGCAGGGATGCCTAAAGTAGAAGTCTCTTCTAAAAAAGGACAGGTGGAGCTGATTCTGCTTTCTTTTCTTCCTCTATTGAAGAAAAACTGCCCAGATCTGCGTATCTGTTTTATTGAAGTGATCATGCATGCATATATATACACCCGCACATACATCTCTATATGTGTCTGTGTGTATGAATATATATGTGTGTGTGTGTGTAAACACTGCAATATGTGGTGTATGTATACACAAACACACTGCTATAACAAATTGTGACAAATTCAGAGGCTTAAAATAAAACAACTTTACTATCTTAAAGTTCCGGAGGTCAGAAGTCTAAAATTGGGTGTCTTTAGTGCTGTGTCCTTTCTGAAAGTTTCAGGAAATAATCCGTTTCCTTGCCTTTTTCAGCTTCCAGAGGGTGCTGCATTCCTTGGCCCAATGCTCCTTTCTTTCATTACTCCAAACTGTTTCCATCATATCTCCTCCTACTAACCACATTCTTCTTATAAGTTCCCTTTGATTATATTGGGACAATCCATAGAATCCAGTGTGATTCCCCGATCTCAGTATATCTAACTTAATCATATCTGCAAAGTCACTGTAAGGTAACATATTCACAGGTTTTGGGGGTCAGGATATGGACATATTTGAGGGGCCATTATTTAATCTACTACAGCTACTCCCTCCTCCAAAAAAAAAAAAAAAAAAAAAACAACAAAGGCACATTTTAAGGTCAATTAGATTAAGCATTGGAGTTAACCCAGAGAGGGCTTATTGGAATATGAGGCCAATGACCCATACTCTATGGGCCGGGGCTGATACCGATAGACACTGGAAGACTGACCACCTGTACTGCTCTCAAAGAAGCCAGAGCTGTGGACCACCTGTTTACTGTCCTCTGGTATCTTGCCCCTCCTGCTCTCAAAATGATGGATTTTAATTTGTTATTTTCTCCCTTAAGAGGAGCTTGATGCACTCCACACACATTTGGCTTATTAATCTTCATAACATCTCTGAATAACCCTGTGAAGTTATCAAAGGGCAAAGGAAAGGGTAGTAATAATTATCCTCATTTAATAGATGGGGAGATTGTGACAGAGAAGTGGTTCAATTCCAGTCTCTAATGAGTTGTAGGGAAAGGCAGGAAAAGGAGCGAGATTGCTGCCAAACCCATCCCTTCAACCACTATTTTGCTTTTACAACTTCCTTACTAAAAGTTTCTGAAAAACATGGTATGGGCTTTCTGAAGAGTGGGCTAGCAGCAACAGAGGTGTAGGTTACATTTATATATGCATGTCTGCTTGTATCACTGCCTATGATGGACAGCTTGCAAACTATCATCCTTAGGTGAGGCCAAAATAAGCCAATCTCAAAGAAAGCTAAAACTGAAATGTAAGGAGAGTTGTTAGGACTTAATTCTTCACATGGAAATTATTTGCTAATAACATATTTTTTCAAAGGGTAGGATGTACCTCTTTGCAATCTGAAATTTAATATGGGCTGAGTCCAAGGAAGTCTACTGTATTCAACCAGATCTTTTTTACTTTCTAGAAAATATACCTTGAGTTATTTTGGCCCCTAAATTAGTCATAAAACCACTTACTAAAGCAAATTAATGGAGATTATTTTCCCTGTGTTGGGAAAAGCAAGAGGACTCAGGTTAAAGATGTTTGCCCACCCATATTTCTAAAACAGACAATGAATGATATTGGTCAAAGACACTATATCACTCTCTTTCTTCCTTTCCAACCCTTCCATTGTTCTTTAAGATAATACCAATTTTTAAATTTGAGTCAGACAGAGAAGTTCACTACACTGAGAGCAAAACCCTGAGAGATTATGTAATGTGATGCAGTAGAGAGCTGGAGTCAAGTAGGCATCTGTCTTTGTTGAATTCTGTCTTGATTTCCCTTGGTGACTACAGGTGAACCTTTTGAAATTTGGCCTCTGCCATCCCTCCCAGTCTCATGTCTCTAGCAAAACTATAACACGTGTGATTTTCCAAGCATAACATGCATTTTCTCATTTTATCTCTTCTCTTTGAGATTCACTTTTCCCTGTATACATTTGCTTTTTATACTTAATTATTCTCCTGACTCCTATTGATTCTTCAGGTCCCAGTGAGGTAAGAGATCAACAGGACTTTTTTTCTGAGCACAAGTTACAACTCTGCTGATCAAAACAGGATGTAGTAAAGAAACCAGCTAAAACCAGCCAGGATGAGAAATTAGAGTGTGTTTGCATAAAACACTCCTACCAGCACCATGACATTTTACAAATGCCATGGCAATGTCCCAGAACCTTATAGGGTACTGGGAACTCCCCCATTTTTTTCCAGAAAGTTCATGAATAACCTGCCCCTTATATAGCATATAATTAAGAGTGGGTATAAATACAGCTAGCCAGGAATCCTTGAGTGCTACCCTGTGCTACTCTGCCTATGGGATAGCCCTGTTATCCCACAGACATACGGAGCAACCATTTTGCTATACGCTATTGCTTTAATAAAGTTTCTTTCTTTCACTATTGGCTCACTCTCGAGCTGTTTCCTGAGCAAAGCCAAGAACCCTCTTGGGCTGAACCCCAGTTTGGGGTTTGCCTACATCATGTGTTTACATATCATTCCTTTCTAGACGTCTCCTCTTTCTCCCTAAGGCTAGATTAGATATCCCCACAATATGCTCCATGATACCCAACAGGTGTTCCCAAAATATTTATTAAATGAATACTAAGCTCAATGTTCCAATATTTTCTAAAGTTAATGTCTGAGAAATACTTTTTAAGAGAATCATTAAATCAAAGAAAAGCTCAAAAGCAAAGGCAATCCTTACACAATTACCAGACATTCATAATCTTTTATCCTGGAATATCATTTATAGAAAATATTCTTACAGAAATAATAGGAATCTAGAAAACAAAGCATTGGCAAGAAGATATTTATGGCAGCATTTTCGTACCATAAAACATTGGAAACAATACCGATTTTCTTTCTTGTTTTCTTTTTCTCTTTTTTTCTTTTTTTTTGAGATGGAGTCTCGCTCTATCGCCCAGGCTGGAGTGCAGTGGCACGATCTCAGCCCACAGCAACCTCTGCCTCCCAGGTTCAAGAAATTCTCCTGCCTCAAGTAGCTGGGGTTACAGATGCCCACCACCACGCCCAGCTAATTTTTTTGTATTTTTAGTGAGATGGGGTTTCACCATGTTGGCCAAGCTGGTCTCAAACTCTTGGCCTCAAGTGATCCACCCGTCTCCACCTTCCAAAGTTCTGGGATTACAGGCATGAGCCACCGCACCTGGCCCAAATTTTCAAATATAGAATTTAGGATATGTTGTGGTTAGATTTTATTCATCCATTTTTTTTTTACATGAAGAGTCTATAATAACAAGCAGATAAGAGTAGAACAATGTTCAACATAGGATGCAGGTTAAAAGTGACATACAACACCTAATAAAAATTGAAATTTATATTAATAAAAAATAACCACAAACTTGGAATAAAAAGAAATGGGGAGGAAAAAATAGAGACATCAAAGTGTTTTGGGCATCAGAGCTATGAATTATTATATTTCATTCTATATTCCTTATTATATACTCTAAAATTATGATAAGCATACCTTAAAAATTAACTTTATTAAAATCTTACTACTTTATAAAGACAACACCTATATTCTCAAGTTCCACAAAATATGTAAAAAATAAAGTGAAAAATATACATACCCACAACAAATGAACAGTAACACCAAACTGTATTTTAAAAGGCATAAATGAATTCATATGTAATGAAAATTAATGACTTCTTTTTCTGGCAGGCCTTATCTATATCTTATGCAGTTCAACTGGCAGTAGATACAGAAGTAACATGCTTGAGGAAAATTTCTTCATCTGTTGTTTTCTTCCTGCCCAGCATTGCTTCCCTGTTTTTTGGAGATTACATCCTGATTTTTCTTTGGAGACCACCCATGCTGTATTTGCAGTCTCTGGGTTTTAAGTGGGGTGGGCACAGGATTCAGGTGGGCCAGTCATTTCATTCCATTCTGATCAAAAGGAATTGATCCAGAGATGGCATAGGAGCCAAGCTAGGTCAAGGTCAGTAATTCTTATGGTTTTGCTGAAAAATATAGAAACGGATTCAGATTTTCCTAGGGACCACCAGTAAGGCCTGTGAGTTCCTGAATTCATTTATATCTGAAATAACTTGAGACACTACATTTTCTGGTTTTGTTTAAGCTATTTTGAGTTAAAATTTGAAAGAAAACCTTCTCTGTTTCTACTCTGTAACTACTTTGAATACTTCAAGTCTGACATCAGATTGCAGGTGTTTTCCCCAAACCAATCAATTCTCAGCAGACACCCATTAGGTATCCCACAACTTAACTCAGTACTGACCCTAACTACTTGGAGTTAATGCAGACCCCACAGGTTAAGGGCTCAGTCCCACAAGACTGCCTGCCCTTTTCTGATGCCATTCACAAGTAGTGGGTCCTCAGGTTACCTACAACTCCTATCTGACGTGGCCAGAAATAGCAGGTTTCCACAAACTCTGCTCAGTTTCTGTAATGTGGTAAAACAACACACAGAACTCAGGGAAAAATGTGGTTCTTATTATTACCAGTGTATTGCAAAGAATATATTAAATAATACAAATGAACGGCCAGATGAAGAGGCCAGATGGAGAGATATATAGGGCGAGGTCTGGAAGGATCCCAAGCACAGGAGCTTCTGTTCTCATGGAGTTTTGCTGTGTATCACGCTTCTGGCATGTGGATGCATTCTTGTTCATGAACCCCAAAACTTCTGGAACCTCCTTTCTTTTGGGTTTTATGAATCTTTCTCACCCTCTAATCACATAGTTGTTTTTTTTTCTGGCAACCATCCCCTGTAATGTGGTTATCTAGGGGCTTTCCAAAAGTCACCTCATGAACTTAAACTCAGGTGTGGTTAAAATGGGTTTTTTTGAACTTTTAAGTTCAGGGGTACATGCATAGGTTTGTTACATAGGTAAACTTGTGTCATGAGAGTTGGTTGTACAGATTATTTCAACACCTAGGTATTAAGCCTAGGACCCACGAGTTATTTTTCCTAATCCTCTCCCTCCTCTCACCCTTCACCCTCTGATAGGCCCCAGTGTGTGTTGTTCCCCTCTTTGTGTCCATGCGTTCTCATTGTTTAGCTCTTATTTATAGTGAAAATATGCAGTATTCGGTTTTCTGTTCCTGTGTTAGTTTGCTAAGGATACTGGCCTCCAGCTGGAATATGACTTCATTCCTTTTTATGGCTGCATAGTATTCTATAGCGTATATGCACCATATTTGCTTTATCCAGCCTATCATTGATGGGCATTTAGGTTGATTCCATGACTTTACTATTGTGAATAGTGCTGCAATGATCATTTGCATTCATATGTCTTTATAATAGAACAATTTATGTTCCTTTGGGTATATACCCAGTAATGGGATTGCTGGGTCAAATTGTATTTCCATCTTGAGGAATTGCCACATTGTCTTCCACAATAGCTGAACTAATTTACACCCCCATCAACAATGTATAAGCATTCTTTTTTCTCCACAACCTCACCAGCATCTGTTGTTTTTTGACTTTTTAATAATAGCCATTCTTGACCGGTGTGACATGGTATCTCCTTGTGGTTTTGATTTGCATTTCTGTAATGACTAGAGATGTTGAACATTTTTCTGTATGCTTATTGGCCATATGTATGTCTTTTTTTGCATCTCTGTCAGGTTGATATCAGGATGATGCTGGCTTCACAGAATGAGTTAGGGAAGAGTTCCTTTTCTCAATTTTTTAAAATTGTTTCAGCAGGAATGGTACCAGCTCTTCTTATACCTCTGATAGAATTCAGCTATGAATGGATCTGGTCCTGGGCTTTTTTGGTTTCTAGGCTGTTTATTAATATTGCTGACTCAATTTCAGAGCTCTTAATTGTTTTTTTTCAGGGCTTCAGTTTCTTCCTGGTTCAGTCTTGGGAGGGAGCATGCATCCAGGAATTTATCTATTCCTTCTAGATTTTCTAGTTTATGTGTATAGATATATATATATTCATAATATTCTATATATACATATTCATAATATTCATAATATTCTCTGAGGGTTTGTTGTGTTTCTGTGTGGTTCAGTGGTAATATTTCCTTTGTCATTTTTGATTATGTTTATCTGAATCTTTTCTCTTTTCTTCTGTATTAGTTTAGCTACTGGTCTATATGTTTTATTATTTTTTTCCATAATCCAGCTCTTGGATGCACTGAACGTTTTTTTTTTTTTTTTGAGATGGAGTCTCGCTCTGTCACCCACTCTGGAATGCAATGGCATGATCTTGGCTCACTTCAGCCTCTGCCTCCCGGGTTCAAGCAATTCTCCTGCCTCAGCTTCCTGAGTAGCTGGGATTACAGGCACCCGCCACCATGCCCAGCTAATTTTTGTATTTTTAGTAGAGATGCGGTTTCACCATGTTTGTCAGGCTGGTCCAAAATCCTGACCTCGTGATCCACCCACCTCAGCCTCCCAAATGCTGGGATTACAGGTGTGAGCCACTGCGCCCAGCCCACATTGATCTTTTGAATAGTTTTTTTTTTGTGTGTCTCAATCTCTTTCAGTTCAGCTATGATTTTGGTTATTTCTTGTCTCCTGCCAGCTTTGGGATCTGTTTGCTCTTGGGTCTCTAGTTCTTTTAGTTGTAATATTAGGTTGTTAACTTGATACCTTTTTGACACGGGCATTTAGTGCTATAAATTTCTCTTTTAACCCTGACTTATGCTGTGTCCCAGAGATGCTAGTATCTGTGGTTGTATCTTTATTCTCATTAGTTTCAAAGAAGTTCTTGATTTCTGCCCTGATTTCATTATTTACCAAAAGTCATTCAGGAGCAGGCTATTCAATGTCCATGTAGGTTGGTGCAAAAGTAATTGCGGTTTTTGCCATTAAAATAAATGGTAAATGGCCGGGCATGGTGGCTTATGCCTGTCATCCCAGCACTTTGGGAGGCTGAGGCAGGTGGATCACCTGAGGTCAGAAGTTCAAGACCAGCTTGGCCAATATGGTGAAACCCCATCTCAACTAAAAATACAAAAAATTTGTCAGGCGTGGTGGTGCGTGCCTGTAATCCCAACTACTCAGTAGGCTGAGGCAGGAAATTCACTTGAACTGGGGAGGCAGAGGTTGCAGTGAGCCGAGATCATGCCATTGCACTCCAGCCTGGGCAACAAGAGAAAAACTTAGTCTTAAAAAAAAAAAAAAAAAAAAAAGGTAAAAACCTCAATTGCTTTTGCACCAAGTATGTTTTTTAGTGACTTTTTTAGTCTTGATTTCTAATTTCTAATTTCTATTTTTAGTCTGATTGAGCTGTGGTCAAAGAGATTGTTTGTTATGATTTCAGCTCTTTTGCATTTGCTGAGGAGTGTATTTTCTTCCAATTATGTAATTGATTTTAGAATATGTGCCATGTGGGGATGAGAAGAATGTATATACTGTTGTTTTTGGGTGGACAATTCTATAGATATCTATCAGGTCCATTTGATCTAATGCTGATTTCAGGTCCTGAATATCTTTATTTTCTGTCTTAATAATCTGTCTAATATTGTTAGTGGGGTTACAGTTTCCCACTATTATTGTGTGGGAGTCTAAGTCTCTTTGGAGTTCTCTAAAAACTTATTTTATGCATCTGGGTGATTCTGTGTTGGGTGCTTATATATGTGACAGTTAGATCTTCTTGTTAAATTGAACTCTTTAGCATTATGTAATGCTCTTCTTTGTCTTTTTTATTATCTTTGTTGGTTTAAAGTCTGTTCTCTCAGAAAGTAGGTTTGCAATTCCTGCTTTTTTGTTGTTTTTTTTGCTTTGTAGATTTTTCTCCATCCCTTTATTGTGAGCCTACAGGTGTCATTGCATTTGAGATGGATCTCTTGAAGACAGCATACAAATGGGTCTTGGTTCCTTATCCAGCTTGCCACACTGTGTTTTTTAATTGTGACATTTAGCCCATTTATAATTCAGCTTAGTATTGATATGTGTGAATTTAATCCTGTAATCATGGTGTTACCTGGTTATTTTGCAGATTTGTTTATGTGGTTGCTTTATAGCATCATTGGTCTGTGTACTTTGGTATGTTTTTGTAGCGGTTAGTAACAGTCTTTCCTTTCCATATTAGTGCTTCCTTCAAGAGCTCTTGTAAGGCAGGTCTAGTTGTGACAAATCCCCTCAGCATTTGCTTGTCTGAAAAGAATCTTATTTTTCCTTCACTTATGAAGCTTAGTTTGGCCAGACATAAAATTTTGAGTTGAAATTTATTTTCTTTAAGAATGTTAAATATTGGCCCTCAATTTCTTTTGACTTGTAGTGATTCAGTTGAGAGGTCAGCTGTTAGTCTGATGGACTTCCCTTTGTAGGTAATCTGACCTTTCTGTCTAGCTGCCTTTAATAGCTTTGATTTTGACCTTGGAGAATCTGATCATTATGTGTCTTGGGGATGATCTTTTGCAAAATACCTTACTGGGGTTCTCTGCATTTCTTGAATTTGAATATTGGCCACTCTAGCTAGGTTGGGAAAGTTCTCATGAATAATATCCTGAAATATGTTTTCCAAGTTGGCTGTATTCTCCCCATCCCTTTCAGAGACACCAATGAATCATAGATTTGTTCACTTTACAAAATTCCATATTTCTTTGAGGTTTTGCTCTTCCTTTTCATTCTTTTTTCTCTATTTTTGTCTGGCTTTCTTATGCAGAAAGCCAGTCTTCAAGCTCTGAGATTACTTTTTTTTACTTGGTCTATTCCGTTATTAATACTTGTGATTGTACTATGAAATTCTCATAGTGTGTCTTTCAGCTCTATCAGGTTGCTTACATTCTTTTGTATACTCACAATTTTTTTCTGTCAGCTCCTGCATTTTTTTATCGTGATTTTTACTTCCTTGCATTGAGTTGTAAGTACTAAGCTCAGTTATCTTTGCTCCTATCCATATTCTGAATTCTATTCCTGTCATTTCAGCCATGTCAGCCCAGTTCAGAATCCTTGCTGGAGAAGTGATGCAGACATTTGATGAAAAGAAGGCACTCTGGCTTTTTACGTTTTCAGCATTCTTGTGCTGAGGCTTTCTCATCTGTGGGCTTATCTACTTTCAATCTGGGCTTATCTGCCTTCAATCTTTAAGGTTGCTGACCTTTGGGTGTTTTTTTTTTTTTTTAGTTTTATCCTATTTGATGACATTGAGGGTTTGATTGTGATATAACGTGCATTCAGCTGACAGGCTTTGTTTCTGGGAGATTTTAGGAGGCCAACACTCAGCTCCCAACTCCCAGACTCTGTTCTGTAACTCTGGAGGATTTGTATTGGGCCCTGACTTTGTTCTCTGGCTCCTCGAGATTTGGAATCCACTGCACTGGGGGTGCCAAAGTGTGGCAGCTGTGACAGAGTGCTAACAGGTGCTGGTAGGCACCTTGCTGCAGGCATTCACCACAGTGGCAGTGGCCATGAAGCTGGAGAGGGGCAGGGCACTCCTGCTGGAGACTGTGTGCATGGTCCTGTTGGCATGGGGTTGGGGTGATGATACGCACATGTCTGGGTGCCTTCTCTCTGCCCCTAGAGGATTGTTATAAATAACAAAAGGTGCTCCTATTGCCTCTATCTCTTTGAAGCTATTTCAGGAGCCACAAACAAAAACCAAGAGATATAACAAGAGATTTTCCTATTGCTTTTGTCACTTAGGAAGTTACAAGTATTTTAGGAGCTGTGTGCCAAGAACAGTAGACAAAGATCAAAATATATAGTTCTCATTCTATCACAATAAGTTTTTATCATGTGCAAGATTAAAAATCTTAATTCTTTACTATTATTCAAGTGCTTCACAGATTTGTTCCTTTTTTTCTACACATAAACATAACCGGCTATAGAAAGTGTCCAAGAAAAATTAAAGTATACATGTTTCAATTGAACAAACATCTAAAGATCTAGCCCACTCTGTTAAAGTCATCTGTCCTGTGTTGCCATATCAATAAGGTCCCTAATCATATTCAACTTTTCCACCGTCACTTGCAGCTCACACGTTTAAATACACAAAAACACCTTAGATTTTGACTTTGTTTAAGTATGATATTTGATTACCTCTATGTAAAATATTTTTCTTTTTTGATCATTTATATTTTATTCTATTAGTAGTTTTCTAAGCATTCTCCTAAAAGAGTGTTGGTTTCTTATACTTAATTACCACATTATATGCATGTATTTTATTAAATTTGTATTGAAATATTTATTCTAAATGGATTCTTTCTTTGGCATATCTTAGGGCCCTCCAATGAGTCATTGCTCTATTCTGTATTGTCTTAAAATATTTTAATCGACCAATAATTTTTATTGCTTTAAATGAAGACTACATGAACAAATTCTTTATGAAATCAATATTTTCTGCATTTACTTATAGAATTATACAGACACTATCAGAGCTGAAGATCTGAAAATCTTTATGCATAAGTTAAAGTATTTGATTCTAGGCTTATAGACGATGAAAAGAGAATAAACACGCACATTCTTTCAGCCAGAAGTAAGAAGCTGCTAACAATTTAATCTGGGTCTTTCCTCTGTGTTCTTTCCTTGAGACTATTCAATTAGTTCCTTCAGTAATAAATTACCACTCAGTGAAACACCAAATGTCAGCTATTTTTTTTCCTAAAGAATTATAAAAACAAAGCAAAACAAAAAAACCTCTTTTCCCCTAGGATACTGGTTGGAAGGTACTATGGATGCAGCATCTGGGGTGAACAAGGGTAATGGAGTTTATAATAATTAATTTGCAGCAGCTATTCTCTAGTGATCAAAGATTGAATCATATGCAAGTGTGGTTTTAATTTCCTCTTTTAAATGAAGAACAAGAAAAACTATAAATCACATATCCAATTCTGCCATAAATCTCATTTGTTTCATTGCTTGCTGACAGTCTAAAAGACATATTTTATTCCTCTCATTCCTTGTCCATATCAGGTTCATTACATTTTATTTTTTCCAGTAATAAGTGAGTGCGGGACATACAAACTCTGAAGTCATTAGCAGTGATTTCTCTGCTGCCCCCTTCCTCCACAAGATTGACAGCAACAGGCAATCAGACACGCTACTAATATTGGCTTGTCTACACATTGCTTTTCAGTTTACATTCTGGAGGATACAAGATACATGCACCATGAAATGTAAGAGGAACCTCAAAGTGATTTGTGGGTTCAGTAGAAAAAAATAGTCTCCAACAACCTCTCCTCTTAGCAGATAGATTTTCTTCAATTTTAAAACCCCACAACTATCCATATAATTCTTTTCACCAATGCTTTGGAATGCCTTATATTCATCTATATAATTTACTGACAAACAGCTAAAAATACACGGAGATATCCTAAACTTTTAGTTTACCTTTTTTCTAGAAGCCAAGATTTTCTATTAGGTTTCAGATGCTTCAGATACCAAAGGAAAGTATTTTGAGCCAAATTTGTGAGATATTTTCTTTGCTCCCTCAATCCTGCACTTCCTTTTTAAATTTTGCAGACTTACATATAATTTTTCTTCTTGATTTATACTTTCAAACATTTGATATATTTTTGTGGATACATAGCTTTTGCTATGGAAATGGCTTTGCTTGATGTAATAATATAATAGTAGATAAGGCAGTTGATTTTTTTCTTCCTTTCCAAAATAATGATTTTACCCCACTTACATATTGATATGCTGAATTAGAAGTACAAACTTTCAAAAATAATGAAAATATTATGTAAGATGTCTTTAGTCTTTTTTAGACTATTTTACCAGAGAAAAGTATGAGAATTTTGATAGTAATGTGGTACAAATTTGTATTTGTTGACTACAAATCTGAAACTAAGGTTATGAGTCATCTTGAACTTGTGAGGATATGTATTTTTGTATTATATCCCCAAAAGTCATAGCTCCTCAATTTGTAGGCAGGAAAACAACTTTTGAAGAGGAGTCATGGATTACAATTCTATCTCAGTATCTTTGCTATGTTTTACTGCATAAATCATCTCGTTTATTAGCTTCTTTGGCTTTCCCTCAGAGAAAATGGTCCTTTCTCCCCACTTACTCTTAAGGAAAGTATTGAAGATCACTGGCATTTGGTAAGATAACAGTTAATTTGGAAGGACACCAAACCAAGAGTAGAATTGCCTCAGCTAAATATTTAAATATATTCCCTTATTAGGAATGAGTACCTTAATAATAGTCATATTTCTGGGCCTCTATTTTCTACATTATACAATGAAGGATATAAAGTAGAACACTAAGTTTCTTTGAAATTATAATAAACTATGATAAGAGCTTTTTTGTCCCTCTCTAATTCTGTGAGTAGCTAGCTAAAGAAATTTTGAATGTACGTATAAGGTACAACATAAAGTTTATTATATTCTGTAACAAAATACATGCCAGACAATGTTCTTGGCAACACACACATACTTAAATAGCTCATGTAACTCTATAATTCCCTTCCTTGTTAGGTAACATTATGTTCTGCATTTTACAGATGAGGAAACTTGAATCACACAAAAGAACTTGGCCAAAGTCTCACAGCTAATTAGTGTCAGTGTAAAACTTAAAGCAAACAGGCAGTTTGGCTCCATAGCTTTTGCTCTTAAACTCTGAGCTATAATGTTAGTTTTTCCCGTTAGAATGGATAGTCCAGGATCTTTATAAAGGTGGTAAGTTATTGCATTGTTCGGAGATATCTAATTGACTACCTCTGGCTATAAACACGACTTCTATAATGATATCTTGCCTTCAAAGAATACTTCCAGAAGTCCCTTCTGATCATTGTATCTTCTTCATGGATAAATGACTTGCTTCTAATGACAGATCTACAAGCTAGTAGGCAGTTATATGTGAGTTTAGGTTTGTTGTAGATAATTCATTTTAGTCATGAGAAATGGTCTGTAATATTTCCCATACTCTAATTTCCTGAACAATATGTGCTTTCTTTTCATGTGTCTCCTTTAGAAGGCCTTCCTGGGGTCCCCTTTGATATTATAATTCTTGTGAATTTTGCAATGATTTTGTGATATTAGAGACTTGAGACAGAGAAGAGAATGAGTTAGTGTCCTATTTACCTCAAAGAGGAAACAATGACTTGAACAATAATAATAATGAGAATGAAAAAGAATAAGAAGGATTTTTCTCTCCATAGAACAATATGGAGTTAAAGTATTTATTTTAATCTTGGAAAATCTGTTCTAGCAGCAGTATAGTGCATTGTAGAGCAAGAATACTGGAGTTAGGAGGAACAAGTCAGAGAATGGGGCAGTAACCCATGTGACATAAAATAGTGGGCTGTATTAATGCAACGGCTACGGAAATGGGAAAAATCGGTGAACTTGAGACATATTAAAGATGAACTTGTGGCCAGGCGCGGTGGCTCATACCTGTAATCCCAGCACTTTGGGAGGTCGAGGAGGGTGGATCCGAGGTCAGGAGTTCAAGAACAGCCTGGCCAAGATGGTGAAACCCCGTCTCTAGTAAAAATACAAAAATTAGCCGGGTGTGGTGGTGCATGCCTGTAATCCCAGCTACTCGGCAATCCCAGCTACTGGGCAGGCTGAGGCAGAAGAATCGCTTGAACCAGGGAGGCGGAGGTTGCAGTGAGCCGAGATCGCGCCACTGCACTCCAGCTGGGGTGACAGAGCAGTACTCCATAAAATCAAAAAACAAAACAAAACAAAAAACAAAAATGAACTTGCTAGAACTTTGAAATTGGCTGTGATTTGGGGGATGAGGGGAAGAACACTGTCTACATTTCTAACTTCAGGATTAGGTGGATGGTGGGCAAATTACTTAACTTTTGTGAGCCTCAGTATCTTCAGATATGAAGTGGAGATGCACACTTTGTGAGCATACTGGACATTGCAGTGAAATAATATAGAGTACCCAGCATAGAGGCAGAAGTATGTGAACACTATTTGAAAAGAAATATTTATTATGTAGGAGACACTGAGAATTAATTATTATTTTAGCCTAGATTAGTAAGAACTGTGAGAAGACTTCACAAAGTAGGTGACAAATGGCCCCATATGAACAAAAGCACAAGGGCATGAACGTGCTTGACAAAATCCTATTTTCTGGAACCTAAAAAGCCAGAATATTGATAGTTCAGCAGTAATTTTAATTTATGGTTCTTTCTTGAGAGAAATAGACAAATAATAATTCAACATATTTCTCATAATAAATATAAATTTGGGAAACTTTACAAAATACCCCCAATGGCCCATCTGCTTAGTAGAATAATTTATTCTGTATCTTCCCTTCCCATTACCACTGAAAAGATGTCATGATCCCAGAATCTTCCCTCAAAAGTATGGTCAAAACAGGGAATCAGCATTTGGTGACTTGATGGAGAAGTGACATATACTTTTGACACATTTGATTCTAACTGAACTCACTGAGTACATAGTACTCAGTGAGTGCAGCAAAATCAAGTTTAACATTTTGTAATTTTGCAGGGAATTTTTTCCCCCAATATTTTCGATCTATAGTTGGTTGAATCCATGGATGCAGAATTCACAGATATGGAGAGCTAACTGTACTCATCAAATAAGTGAATGAAAAAGTGATCAGCGAAATGTCAGTTCAGGGATATGTGAAATTTGTATTCCCAATGTTTATAAAGCTGGAATTTGGAGAGAAGGGAAAGTCTGTAATTAGATGCATCCTATGTAAGCTTAACTGATGTCAAAAGTGGGATTGGAGATAGTCACAAGACATGTAGGATTATACTCATCTGTTGAGAAAAAAAAGGGATCCAGGATAACAGAGTCTCACTGTCCCTGCTTTTCTGAAGATAAACTGTCACATAACTCTTTGAAAATGATATCTTTTTTCACAGTTAATGATCAAATGTCATACTACTTTAGGAATTCTGGAGACCAAATGATCAGTATGTGTGTGTGCATGAAATTAATTAAAAATTAAAAAAAAAAAACTTCTCTTAAATTTCTGTTGTTTTTTGTAAACATATATGGAGGTACTATACATATATATATATAGAGAGAGAGAATATATATATATATACTTTATATGTAGGTGTATATATATACTTTATATATATGTGTGTGTGTATATATATATATAGAGAGAGATATCCCACTATATATATATAAAGTGCCTCTCTGATAACCAATTATCAGGGATGTATTAATAATATAATTATATGAAATACATTAATTGTATTGTATATTTTTTATTATAATCCTGAAAATTTCTAAACTATACACCACCCACTTCATTAATCACTATATATCTAGCACATATTTAGGACCTGACACGTGGCAGGTATGCAATAAGTAATTTTTTAAAAAAAATTAACTTATATTTTCAGTTCAGGGGTATAACTGCAGGTTTGTTACATAAGTAAACTTGTGTCATGGGGGTTTGTTGTACAGATTATTTCGTTACTCAGGTATTAAGCCTAGTATCCATTAGTTATTTTTCCTGATCCTCTTCCTCCTCCCACTGTTTGCCCTCTGATGGGCCCCAGTGTCTGTTTTTCCCCTCTGTGTGTCCATGTATTATCATCATTTAGCTCCCACTTATAAGAGAACATGCAGTATTTGGTTTTCCACAACAGACAAATTACAGAAAAAAGCAAAATGGGGTGTTTGAACTTGATGATAAGTCCTGGGTTATTGGGTCTGTATTTATAGAGAAATGTAGAGACATTTCATAAATTTATTTATAAAATTTATATTTTTCATAAATATTAATGTACTATTTGTGAATTGTATTAATCAATATGATTTTTTAAATTTTTGTGGGTACATAGTAAGCATATATATGTATGGGGGACATGAGATGTTTTGATACAGGCATGCAATGTGAAATAAGGATGTGTCAGAGAATGGAGTATCCATCGCCTCAAGCATTTATCCTTGAGTTACAAACTGTCCAATTATACTCTTTAAGTTATTTTAAGATACACAATTATGTTATTATTGACTATAGTCACCCTGTTGTGCTATCAAATAGTAGGTCCTATTCATTCTTTGTAACTATTTTTTTGTGTACCCATTAATCACCTTCATCTCTTCCCACCCTCCCATTACCCTTCCCAGTCTCTGGTAACCAACCTTCTATTCTCTATGTCCATAAGTTCAATTGTTTTAATTTTTAGATCCCACAAATAAGTGAGAATATGTGATGTTTGTATTTCTGTGCCTGGCTTATTTCACTTAACATAATAATTTCCAGTGCCATCTATGTTGTTGCAATTGACAGGATCTCATTCTTTTTTTATGGCTGAATAGTACTCCATTGTATATATGTACCACATTTTCTTTATCCATTCATCTGTTGAACACTTAGCAGAGTTTATAAAGGATTCTCCCAAATACATACATAGACTTTTCATTCCATGGCTTCCAAATTTGACTAAAAGGGTGAAGTGACCATAAGTTTATGAGACTTCCAGAAAATCTAACATGAACATTCAAGTCAGTGGAAATGCTTGGATGGTTCACATCATCAGGGTCTTAGACAAAACGTATGTGTCAGCATAGTTTCCAGACCACTATTTATGGAATTATTTCTTCATTCAATTACTTAATAAATATTTATTCAGCACCAACTAAGTGTCATGCATTATTCCAAGAACTGAGGATTTAACAATTAATCAATATTATAAAATAAAATAAACTGAAGTCTCAAATCTCATGGACTTATGTTTCAGTGGGGATGAGGAGTACTGACAATAAATGAATTAACTAGTTATCTTGTTGATACAGTTTGGCTGTGTCCCCACCCAAAATCTCATCTTGAATTGTAATCCCTAAAATCCCTATAATCCCTGTGTGTCAAGGGCGGAATCAGGTGGAGGTAATTGGATCATGGGAGCAATTTTCCCTATGCTGTTCTCATGATAGTGGGTGAATTCGCAAGAAATCTCATGGCTTTGTAAGCTGCTGGCATTTTCCCTACTTGCACTTCCTCTTACTGCCACCTTGTGAAGAAGGTGCTTTGCTTCCACTTCCCCTTCTACCATAATTGTAAGTTTCCTGAGGCCTCCCCAGCCATGCTAAACTGTTAGTCTATTAAACCTCTTTCCTTTGCAAATTACCTTGTCTTGGGCAGTTCTTTATAGCAGTATGAAAACAGAATAATACACTTGTAATATAATGTTGGGTAGTATTAAGTGCCAAGAAGGAAACAAGGCAGAGCAAGAGAACGAGAGTGATGTTTCCTGATCAAAGAAATTTTCCTGTTTGGGGTATAAACCTGAAGATAGGGTTGTATCATGTAAGATTATCACTAATATTTCTGTCATTTCAAAACCGTGAGATTTGCATCTCCTCATCATTGACATGTTTGCCCTAACAACACAATGAGATCTTCATGATCTCTTTATTGTCCTGTTGGCCTTGACCCTTCAAATTTCAGCACTCTATAACTTCCCACAATTTAATGTTATTGATAAAAATATCCCTTTCTATTGTCTCTTATGATTTGATTATTTTATTTTTCTTTCATAGTATATTGTGTTTTCAGTCTAGGGTGAGTCCTGCTAACTATGGCCAAACTGCCTTAAAAAAAAAAAAAAAGAGTCTTAGTGGGACACAACTGTAGCCATCTCTTCATGTATAATCATCAGTGGCTATTGCGTGCTCCAATGGCAGAGTTGGGTTGCTCCAGTAGAAACCACATAGTCCTCAAAGCCTGAAATAGTTATCATCTAGCCCTAGCCCTTCACGCATGCACACACACACACACACACACACACACACACACACACACAAATATACAATGCTAACTTATGGTTGAAGTTACCATCTATTGGAATTAAAAAATCATAAAAATGGAAAATAAATTACCCAACATTTCATACAGTCTTTTCTACTACTCTCTCTGCACTTTTCTTATGCCATAATCTTTGGTTAAACTTTTATCCTCTCTACTTCTTCAACCTTCTAAAACAAGAAATGCTATTAGATTTGAAACAGATTTTTTTAGCTGCTTATTGCTATACCATCCATTCCCTTTTAACCAGTATCCCAGTTGTATTTGGGGGTATCCAGATACCAGCTAAACAATTGCTATTGCAACCTGTCTTCTAGTTAAAAGTGGCCCTGTAACTCAATTTTGGCTATGGTATGAAGGGACATCTCACTGAAGTTTTTGAGAGACAATTTTGCTTCCCTGACATAAAGGAAAATGCAGTAGCTGTCACATCTTTCCAATTTCTTCCTGTTTTGGGTGAGAACATGATGCGTGGAGCTGAGTGCCATCTGAGGCCTGAAGACAAAAGCAAGCCAACAAAACCGTAAGAAAGACAAAAGCATAGGAAAGCAGACAAATCAGAAGGAGTCTGGGACCTTAAGGATTTCACTGAATACCTGAAGCAATGCCAGAAATCACCTATCTGCAGACGCCTTGCTACTTGAGAAGAATATAACCCCATTTGTTTAAGCCACTATTACTGGGGCTTTTCTATTACTAAAAACCAAGGAAATTCCCAGAAGATACAGCAAAAGGAAAGATAGCTGAAAAAAAATCAGCTCAAATGTGGAATTCTGTATGACAAATCTTGGTCATGTAAAGCACAATGTAGCTCATTTTGTGTGACCTAAGCTAACACCAAGTCTGTTAAAACAGGAAGAACAATTACAAGAGCATTGTTATTTTCCAAGAAAGGTAGCTGTTTAATCAAAATGCCTATGAAATATACAAACACACATATGACAATCTTAAAATACTTAAAATTATAAATTTAAAAAACCTAAAAGCTAGGATTCTATGTGAATTTTTTCATTATAAGATGTTTCACCGTTGCTTTGGTTGTATTAGAAATTTTGATTACATAGTCTTTCTCTTTTATAATAACTGATATATTGGCCAAATAAAATAAAGTGTGCTTAGCCTATCTAATGTAAACATTATATGTAACTTTGTTCTTTAGACAGAAATCAGATAGTTTAAAACTGTGACAGCAATTTAAATGTTCATAAGTGTACATTCAGAAAGTTTCTTGTAGAAACAAGTTTCCAGTATCAGCTTATTGATGACATTAGCCTCTTTCTCTTGAGGAAAACCAATTAAAAAAAAAAACAAATAAAACTAAATCTAACAACAAAAACATAGTTAGCTGATATTTTTTCATTTAGATTTAGCTAAGTGAAAAAAAGGATTATGTTTTTTATTGTCAGGCAAGTGAAAGTGGGAAGATTATGTAGCATAATCTATAAATGTTTCAACATATCTTGGAAAAATGTTATATGTCTTCTCTATGGTAGGAGAGATGACCTGGCCAGGCGTGGTGGCTCATGCCTGTAATTCCAGCACTTTGGGAGTCTGAGGTGGGCAGATCACCTGAGGTCAGGAGTTTGAGAACAGCCTGGCCAACATGGCAAAATCCCATCTCTACTAAAAATACAAAAGTTAGCTGGGAGTGGTATTGGGCGCCTGTAATCCCAGCTACTTGGGAGGCTAAGGCTGGAGAATCGCTTGAACCCAGAAGGCGCAGGTTGCAGTGAGCTGAGATCATGCCACTGCACTCCCGCCTGGGCGACAAGCATGAAACTCCATCTCAAAAAAAAGAAAAAAAAAAAGTGATGACTTACAGCTAACAAGAAACATTCATCAGCAGGATCGCATGTGTGAATCAATGTATGGCTTTTGGTAATACTTTTATTGAGGACATAAAGTTAATTTTATTATAGAAATGCTTTATTAATTATTTCACCTACTTGTTACCATTTTATTGAATTAATCAACACAATGAAACATGCAATATATGAAAAATCTATCTAAATAACAACCTTACTCTGAGAAGAGAGTTTAAGATTGTGGGAGGTGTGTTGATTTGAAGGCAGACATTCCTAAGTCTGAAGCCCAGCTTGGCTCTTCATTTTATGTGTGACCTCAGGAAGCAACCTAGACTTTGTCACTTCACTTCTCATTTTGTCCCTTGGCCCCATGTTGTAAATTTGTTGTAAGGATAAGGTGAGATAGTGTATGCATAATGCCTAGCATTGTTCCTAGGCCAGAGAGGCCTCCATGGAGCTGTGTTGTATTCTTCTTAAAGAGTTAACAGCTCATTACCTGGGTCAAAAGAGAAGCCACCATTCACAAAGTACAGATTGAACATTCTGAGTGGGTGGAGAACAGAGCTTGTGGGGCAGAGAAAGGAGGAATGAAAAATGTTATATGTGAGCTTAGTGTTGAAGAAATAATTTTATCTGAAAATGGAGAGAGGGTTGGCTGTGTCTTCTATTTTCTCTTTAGGAAGCAATCTCTTTCTGCTTCTCATACAGCAGAGATGTAGGTCTTTTCCAGTATCAAGTACACATAAGCTTTGTTAATGTACTGTATGATTTGAGGTCTTCACTATTATCCGTCATTATTTGCTGTCTTGCTCAATTTAACCTCATCCATCTGAAAGCTGGGAAATTGTGTTTAGATTCTTTTTCACTGTTGTTTGGGTTAAGTAGGCTTGAAAGCAGGGAATCCTTAATGACCCATCTTCATTATGTGAGGAAATTATATAATGTAGTATACCAGCTTTGCATTTAACCTTAAATTTGTACTCCATTATTTAGTCATTAACGTTATGTTTTATATGACCCCAATTCTTAGGATGATCAGTAAAGGCTCGCTTCTGTATTATTGTGGGGTAAATTGAATTAAATTCAGAAAAATTTCCCAAGTCCCAAGCCTTTATATCTTTATCTTTCTATCCCCAATTCCTACCATGGTATCTGGCCCAAATTAGGAGCTCAATAAATATTTTTAAATGAATAAATGTTAGGTGATACAAAGGATGTCAACATGAATAAGATTTTGTCTTGACACTCAACAATTTTGAAAAATGATTATGAGGGCTAATTAAAACATATCAGAATAATTCCAATGTCTGATTATATATTAAAAGTTACAAAGTAGTATGTGAGTTCTGTGATTAGAAGGGTACATGACAACTGGTTAGGAAAGAAGAACTGGAAGACTTAAAGCAGAAGGCAACATTAGAAAAGAATATCAACCAAAACCACTATGAGATATCATCTCACACCAGTTAGAATGGCAATCATTAAAAAGTCAGGAAACAACAGGTGCTGGAGAGGATGCGGAGAAATAGGAACACTTTTACACTGTTGGTGGGACTGTAAACTAGTTCAACCATTGTGGAAGTCAGTGTGGCGATTCCTCAGGGATCTAGAACTAGAAATACCATTTGACCCAGCCATCCCATTACTGGGTATATACCCAAATGAGTATAAATCATGCTGCTATAAAGACACATGCACACGTATGTTTATTGCGGCACTATTCACAATAGCAAAGACTTGGAATCAACCCAAATGTCCAACAATGATAGACTGGATTAAGAAAATGTGGCACATATACACCATGGAATACTATGCAGCCATAAAAAATGATGAGTTCATATCCTTTGTAGGGACATGGATGAAATTGGAAACCATCATTCTCAGTAAACTATCGCAAGAACAAAAAACCAAACACCGCATATTCTCACTCATAGGTGGGAATTGAACAATGAGATCACATGGACACAGGAAGGGGAATATCACACTCTGGGGACTGTGGTGGGATCGGGGGAGGGGGGAGGGATAGCATTGGGAGATATACCTAATGCTAGATGACACATTAGTGGGTGCAGCGCACCAGCATGGCACATGTATACATATGTAACTAACCTGCACAATGTGCACATGTACCCTAAAACTTAGAGTATAATAAAAAAAAAAAAATGTAAAAAGAAAAAAAAAAAAAAAAAAAAAAAGAAAAGAATATCAACATGTGATTGAGAAAGGGATACTCTGATGTCCACACATATAATTCAGATACATTGCAATGTTTTCCTTCAAGGAGGGGACCATGTCTATTATATCTGCATCCTTGCCACATTATACAGATATTGAATAATCCTAGAGGCACGCAGTAAATAGTAAATAGATTGTGTAGTTTTGTACGTAACACAGACTGGCTTGATTGATAAAATTGATCAGCTACCATGAAAAAGTTGGGATTACCTAATTAAGCTAATTTGTTGTTGTTTGTTGTATTTTTGATAGTTAGAAGAAATCTGCACAGAGGAGAATTTTGCCAATTATTACTTAATATTCTGATATAAATTATTGAGCAATTTTATAAAAGTTCAAAGAATCCTCACAACCAGCATAAAGTAAGGTGTTTGAGTTAGACAATATGGTTTCAAATTCATACCCATTAGTTTATAGCCACGTAAGTTGATGTTGGTTATTTGACCTCTTTTAGCATCCATTTCAGCATTATTAAAGTAGTAATAATAACCTCTACTTCAATCCTTGTATGAAAATTAAATAAGATTAAAATTCATAAACTACTTAGCAAATTTCAGAGCCTTAGTGTTTAACAAAAATAAACTTCTTTTATATCAGCTAAAATGATTTGGTTTCCATCAATAGACATTTTAACCCAAATTAACTTAAAGAATAAAAAAAAAATCTTTGTCACATGTAACAAAAAGCCAAAGGAACACATTTTACCTTGAGTCCTTCAGGGGCTTAATTATGCCATTAGGGAACCAGATTCCTTCTTTCTTTCGGCACTGACAATTCTTAGTGAATTGGTCCTGTGTGCTGGCATGTTAGCACTGCTTACCCTCATGGCCCAATTTGGCTGTATCAGTTCCAGACATCACATCTAACACAGTAACCTCCAAAAACAGAAGGTAACTGTTTTTCCTTGTCTCTCATAATTTTGATAAATAAACATTTTAAAATAAGCATAATAGCTGTGTTTTATGTTTCTTTAGCCAAAACAAGACATATGCATGTCTTTAAGTCACTAGCAAGAGCATGGGAGTATTTTTATTAGGATGGACAAGTCATTTGGGGTGCAGGGCATTTTGAAGCGTCAAAAAACATACTTACTGTGAAGTATAAATTTCTAGTTTGGATTTTTTGTTTTATTTTAAATACCTCTTGGTATCCTCTCCTGAATAAATAAAAAATAAGTAAATAAAAAGAGGAAATTTTTCTAATGAAATTATTCTTTTCTTGGGGTTGGGAGGGGTGGACAGAGTCTCTCTCTGTCGCCAGGCTGGAGTGCAGTGGCACTATCTTGTCTCACTGCAACCTCTGCCTCTCAGGTTCAAGCAATTCTCCTGCCTCAGCCTCCCGAGTAGCTGGGACTACAGGCGCCTGCCACCATGCCAGGCTAATTTTTGTATTTTTAGTAGAGACAGGGTTTCACCATATTGGCCAGGCTGGTCTCGAACTCCTGACCTTGTGATACGCCCGCCTCGGCCTCCCAAAATGCTGGGATTACAGGTGTGAGCCAAATTATTCTTGAACACATAGGAAGCCTAATTAAGTATCTGTTTGTTTCTATCCAATGAAAGTACAATCAGTCAAGTCGACTTACTCAATGGAGAAAATGAATAGTTCCCTTACCTTTGTAATCTTTAGGTAAGGAGTAAAAGATAAAAATATCAAATTGAATCTTACAAGCAAGTATCAACAAATGATAGTTGATGAACTATCTCTTTTTTTTCAAATCTGTTTTCCAAAAACCCATGGTCTTCTCTATGGCATATGGATTTTCTATAGGTTCTCCAACATATATGTATTTGACGTTTATGAAGTAGTGTTCAGTTCTGTGAAACTGCATTTAACTGCAGATGAAATATGCATTTTTGAATTGACCCCCAAAGAGATGTGACGTAACTAGTCTGTTCTAGCAGTGACTTAGAAGCAGAGACTCATGTGCCAAACATTTATTCACATTGCATGTGCCCTTTCAGTCTTTTATTAATCTGTAACATTATAAGAAAACTTTACCACAAGAAAATACAAAGAAAACCATAATTTTGTAGCAGTATTATTATCTTAAACTACAATTTACAATAAATATATGAAGAATTTGACATGAGGAAAAAGCAGTGTACAATAAGCAGGAATGCTTCTACTTAAATCTTAACACATTGGCCTATTTTTGCCAGATGTTTTTATTTTAGCATTTTTTGTTCCATATAAATGACAATATTTTTTCCAACTGTAAAAAGAATGAATAATTTATGAAAAAATAGCTTGTGAAACATTACATTTGGCATTTCTGTTTAGTGCCAAGATTTAGCAGTGCAGTGGGAAAGTTACAAATTATTAATGCGTTCATTTCATTAAATGACCATAGAAGTTTTCCTTTCCTTTTATAGATAAAATTTCCCCATTTCCAATTTTATCTTTACTTTTTTTCCATGCATTGTGTCTCTATAAACTACAAAATCCACGCAAAACAGCTAATGATTTAATATCATCCAAATGTTTAAAATATTGTAGGAAAAAGTTAAGTAGCAAAACTAAACAATTAAATTACTAGAATTGTGAACATGACACTTACTGGTAGGCTTTTGTATTTCCTGGTTAGCAGCATAGGTTTGGGGGTTATAAATCAATAGTACAGCTCTCTCCAGCACAGGATATGCTATGACATTTTGAGATCACAGAAGAAATGCTGGTTTAGAGATATTTGAATGGAATTGCAGTTAAAATAATCAAGTGATGTTGTAAGAAAAAGTAAATCACAAGATGATGTTATTATGGGCCTATGCCATAGTGCTCATGAAGATTATTAACCATCCATCAAACTTTCATGTTACTACATCAAGAGAATCAAGAGAATAATAATTATCTAGGATTTTATATTTGATTAGAAATACTTTTGACATTTAAGAATTAATATTAAGGCACTTTTTCAATACTATGTTTAGTCAACTCAGTCTAGGGTTATAGAGATTATTCACAATTTGCTTATTGTAGGTAAGTAGGAGATGACTACGATTTTGTAGGGAGACAGAAGACGGCAGTTAAGATGTAACAATTGAAGGCTAATTAATTTTTCAAAAAGAAATCTCATAGGATGGCATTATCATGGTGCCTTCAAACATTCTTGTCCGTGTTGCATTGTTCACAAAATTGGGTTGGCTGACTCATAATAATTAAACACCTAAGAGAAAGAAACATATAAACAAACCCTTAGTAAATTCATTTCAAAGGGGACATTCCTTCTAATTGACCAAAATCATTCTATCTTTCATCCAAGGGATTCTCATCCAAGCTTGTAGCTCAGGGAAATCCGGATTACTAATTGGAATGTTGCCTGGAGAGTGCAGAAACAAGGCAAAGACAAGTGGTGGGTTTGGCCAAGATGAGAAAGCACCACTCTAAGACAACTGAAAGTTGTGTTTTTTCTCTGGACATTTTGCATGCACTTGTTCACTGTGTGGCTCCATACTTTTTCATTCACAGTCTTTCTCTGGCATAAATCATCAGTTTGCCACTTCCAAATTTAAGTCACAGTTTAGTATACCACTCTTAAATTAACTTTCATTTTGCCGTCAGTGGTGTGCTTGGATGTTCCCAACAGTTTCCAGTCACACATTTACAGTCTCAGGTTACTATTGGATTTGTCTGATCATACTTAAAATCTCAAAAAATCACAATTATTTTTATTTATTTATTTATTTATTTATACATCATTCTTGCCAGTAAGATCATCTTTTTTTTCTTGGAAACCACCAACCTACTCCTTTTCCTTACTGTGTGTCTCAGTTTTCTATATCTGGTTTCTAATAATCATGCTATTGATGTCATTTAAGATCTACTGTCTAATTACTAGTAACTTAAATATCACAATATCTCTGGTACTGATAGACCTAGGATCTGAAATTATGTTTATATGATCCAAAGTTTATGACTTATTAAAAAGGAAGTAAAAAATACTGTTAAAATTACAATTATATTAAAAAATATGGAGTAGTACATATACCAAGGGTCAAATGAATCTTTCTTTCATAAAATAAAACAATCAAATAATGGTTATTTTATTTTATGAAGGAAAGATTCATTAACCTTGCTGGTGGAGGCTTGTGGGGAGGAAGAGCATCAGGAAAAATATCTAACAGATGATGGGCTTAATACCTAGGTGATGGGATGATCTGTGCGGCAAACCACCATCTCACTTGTTTACCTATATAAAAACCTGCACATCCTGCACATGTACCCCAAAACTTAAATGTTAAGGGGGAAAAAAGAAATATCAAAAAATAAAATAAAATGACCAAATAATTAATTCACAATGAAAGGGTCACTGGTTGACTCGTTCAGCTTTCAGCTGAAATCCCCAAATGCAAAGTAACTTTAAAGAACAGTGTACTCTACTGGGAATTCACAGACAGCAACAACACTATCATCACAACAACAAATATAAATTGGACCTTCATTGGCTCTCAATGATCTTTTCATCCATCTCTTACTAAATCCATTTTTATTTTATATCAATTCTATTTAAAACCTCCCACTTCTCTTTGAGCTCCTGGTTCTTTACTCTCTTCCTCTCATGGTTAACAGATGATCTTGCTTTTATTCATTGTTCATACAAGAACAAATGAACAGTAAAGAAACACCTAACTACTCATATTATACTTGGAATTTCTACAACAAATGAATTCTATCTCAGAGTTCTGAAATAATTTAAAATTAATCTCACTGAACCAATGAAAGTACACTATTTATAAAATATGAAAAAGCGAAACAGTACAAAAATCTAAAGGGAAAAGAAAAAAAAAATAATTTTTTTTTTTTGTTCAAAGAGAAGTTGAAGGTAGTTTGCACGATATAAGATGAGAATTCCATGCCCAAATTTTGGCAAAAATGATGATAGATATTTTAAATGCTGTCTTATATTTGAATTTAAAAATTTTATGTATAAAAGTAAAATACTTGTGATTGCATTTGATGGCACTGGATGCCATTATCCCTAGCAAACTAACACGGGAACAGAAAAACAAATACCGCATGTTCTCACTTATAAGTGGGAGCTAAATCAAGAGAACACATGGACACAGAGAAGGGAACAACACACACTGGGGCCTATCAGGAGGTAGAGGGTGGGAGGAGGGAGAGTATCAGGAAAAATAACTAATGGGTATTAGGCTTCATACATAGGTGATGAAATAATCTGTACAACAAACCCCCATGACAAAAGTTTACTTAGATAACAAACCTGCATTTGTACCCCTGAACTTAAAAGTTTAAAAAAATCAAAAAATTAAAATTAAAAAATGTAGAACACAGCAAATTTGAAAAGTATACTACAATGGGAAGCAATAAATAAATAAATAAATAAAAACAAGGAAACTTCCACCTTGCAATGATAGATTTATTCAGATTTGTTATGAATTGTTTGTCCACTTATCTCCTTTGTCATCATTACTTATGTGGAGTAGATTTTTTTTCAAACCACTGACTTTAGGTTTCATATGGACTTCTTTTGGCCAAAGAAATATGATTGGTTTGAGTGTGGTGCTCAAGCCTATGCTTTTAGGAGCAGTGCAAGTTTTTGTTTTGTCAATCTTCTTGCATTGTTGGAATGCATGTTGGAATGAATCACTGGAAACACGTTGCCCTCTTGTGTTCTTGTCCTCCACCAAAGGTAACTCAAGAAGAAAGTGTTCCTTCAAAGGACATCTAAACTCAGTCTGCACACTCAAGCCAAGCTCACAGAAGACCAGCCAAGACCAGTGAAATCATGGAGGCTTTGGAATGCTTTGAGGTACAAAACTCAAGCTTTACTTAATGTGAGTGAATATTTGTTGTAAGCTAATGAAATTTTGCATTGGTTTTCATGTACATAATCTAGTAAATGCTGACAAACATATGCAACATCCCAATATCTCTTTACCCCTTCACTGAGTGAGATGGGTAGAAAAGAATTGTGAAATATTTTAATGTGTTTTTATAAAGCAATGTTATTATGTATACCTTTATTCATAGTTAGATGAATTGAGGTGATATTTAAATGTAATTTTCTAGCATAACATTTTTATTTAATATTGCCTATGATAATATTATTTTATAAAGTGCATTTGTAGTGGGTGCATACTATTCCATAATACGAAGTTTCAAGTTTATTTAATGGAAATAAGCTTAAAGGCCTACATTGTTAGACCATTACATTGTTTTCAATTATATTTTACACTGGAATGAACCTCTTTGACCTCATTCTTGTTTATGTCACAGACAAGATATGAGTTTCCCAAAATAGACTTAATTTATCAAAATAAACATGTATTTTAAGACTGCTGATGCACATAGGTTTTGTCATCTAGAAACTTTGGAGTAACTTACCCTTCCATACCCAACTTATGAAGCTTCATATTTTATTGTATTCTCATTACCATCAAATATTAAAATTTCTAAACATTTCCTAATTGCATAGGCAGAAATGACATCTTGTTTTAATTAGGGGTTAAACGCAATTTAACTATTGAACTGTAAGCATTAGAAGACAATTGCTAATCAAGAGTCAGGCAATGATTACAGTGGATAAGGTATACAACATTAATTTATTTCATGCTAACATTGTTTCCTTTTGAGAGGAGCATCATAGAGATGGTATGTAATAGATGTCTGGAGACATAATATAGTATATTAGTATTTGAGTTGTTGCAATGATTTAAGGGTCCTATAGGCATTTAGTAGGTAGAGGCCAGAAATGCCACATTGTTTTGCAGTGCATTGGATGGTCCTTCATAAAAGTGTCTCGTCTCAAATGCTAAACACAATTTCCTTGAGAATCATTAGACTATAAGATGTAAATTGGGTCAATGGCAACCTAAGTGATCTCTGCAAGATCAATGATAATGCTTTTCTCTTGGCCTTCTCTCTTTTTCTCTTTTTTCCTCTCATTCTCCAGACACACACACACATACAAACACACACACATAAACACATGCAAATACTAAATATTTAATTATAAATTCATGTAATGACTTGAATGTGTATAGCAGTAACATGTAGTTCAAATTCATCAGCAGCAAATAGAAAAGTTTGACCAATGTCCTGGCTGAAAAAACAGATTCCAAGAATGTAAAGTATCAGAATGAAGGATCAAATCCTATTTTATTGTGGACATTTACAACACTCCTTCTTCTCTTATAGAACTGAATCCATTTTAACTTGTATTGACATCGTTTGAATTAATTTTTTCACTTAGACTCTATGTGCCTTGACAGTATACCATTACTAGTCAACTCTGGAACGTGGTATATTTTAATTACTCTGTATCTATTTAACAACATAAAGAATAAGTGAATGAATATCATCACTTTGCATCTATTCTCTATATAATCCCACTCACCAAGAAAATTGATGTTGGTAAAACGTACCATTAAAAGTTTGGACAGGAAAAAAAGAAACCACCCAAGTATTTTTAACAGGAAGGAATCTAAAGCAGGAATAGTCACTTGAAAACCCATGGAAAGTGCTATGGGAGCAATAGTTAGTGAGAAATTATTAACTTCTGGAAAATTAGGACACAAGGAAATTGAGTGCAGATGTTGCCAATAATCTCAAAAATGAAGCAGGTAATTTGAAGAAGTTTACTCAGAACCTGTTGAAAACTGTACCTCTGCCCTCTGCCCACATTTCCCCTAGCTTCTACTATAGGAGAATGGTAATGACTACTCCTTTCTAGCCATGTTCTAAATCTCATATGAGTACCTCTTACAGGCAGACCCTGAGCTTTGCCCAATGAGCCAGAAAAATCGGGAAATTACGTCTTCCAAGGTTCAAGCCACTGTGATATAATGAGAATATAGCAGGGGTGAGGATGGGAGTGAGTTGCCAGTAGTCAATCTACCACACTAGACAGCATTTCCAAATTCTGGATATTTTCATTTTTCATTTTGCTCCTTGAAACATAGTAGAACTATACTATCTGTTCCATTTTTTTTCTCTTTCTGAATTACATTCATGTTTCAAAAGCAGGGCTGTAAAATATGTGTTCAGGATAGCATGGAGTTTTAGGGATATAGCTATGTGGAAGTATGACTCAGATGTGGAAGACATGGCAGAGCCTAGCTCCAAAGACCTCTAATTTCAGCAGCATCAAGCATATGAGAGCCTATATAAAACACTGTGGAACGGTAAGTGGCTAGAAAAGGGACAAAGCCCAACAAACAAACATGAATTTGGAAGTGGATTTCAAGGGCAAGAATGAATTAGCTGGAGTTGGGCAGAAGTCAAAAAGATTCATGAAGATGATGTTAAGGTGATAATTGCAAAAATGAGAAGTGGAGGGCTTAAATTTGTGTGCTGTTGGCAGGTAAAAAGGAATTTCAAGGTAAAGAGACGTCATCAGGAAAATGAAGGATATCTACTGCAAAACTCAGAGATAATTTTGTTGGATACAATAATACAACTACAGCTGTCCTTGGTGATGAGTCACTCCTCTTGAGACATTGACATTCTGTGATTATAAGGGTTTGGTGTAAGACTTATAACAATCTCCCTTTCGTTTTTCAGTAATTTAGTGTTTTTTAATTTAAATTGTCTTTAACCCACTTCTTGTTGACATGCCTCACTCCTTTCCTTACTATGATTCCTAATTTAAGTCTTTAACATTAACATTCAGTGCGCGTTAAATAGAATTTGTCAGAAATTTTAAAAATCTTCATATTACATCCTTAAGGACTCCATGAGTCATGATGTGGTTTATGATTGTAAGGATCGGTGGGATGACAATTTGTTCATAAAAATGACTTTTTTTTAGACCAATGGTTGGTGAACATTTTCTGTAAAGAGCCAAAAAGTAAATATTTTAGGTTTATTGAGTAAATAAAAAGGTAAATATTTTAGAGTATTTGCAAATTATCTTGCAAATGTTCTACTATGTGAAAGTAGCTGCAGGCAATATATAAATGTGTTTGTGGATATTTTTCAATAAAATACTTTTAATCGACAGTGAAATTTGAAATTTGATTTTCACATGATGTTCTTGTGTCAAAAAATATTATTCTTACTTTGATTTATTTCAGATATTTAGAGAAAGTAAAATTTATTCTTAGCCCTCACGCCATACAAAAATCAGACTGTAGGCTGGATTTGTCCAGTAAGCTATAATTTGCAAACTATGCTTTAAGTATATAGTACCCACCAGCCACATGTGGTTACTGATCACATAGAATGTAGCTGGTATGACTGAATAACATACTTATTTATTTAACTTTAAATGTCAAGAAAGATGGTTTAGTTATTGTAAAATTTTAAGTATGTTTGGAAGAAGTTGAGTATGTAAATCTACGTTCTAACTACAAATTTCATGAGTATAAATAGCAATTAAGTATTTCTAATTAGAGTTTAACATTAAAATTGAAATATACTTAAAGTATATAAAATATATACCAGGTTTTGAAGACTTGGTATAAAAAAAGTAAAATATGTTATCAATAATCTTCTATAATGAATACATGTTGAAATGATTAAAAAACCAAATATATTGGTCTAAATAAGATATATCATTAAAGGTAATTGTATCTGTTTATTTTCTTATTATAATGTGGCTACTAGAAAATGTACAATTGCATGCGTGGTTCACCTTTATTTTTCTATTGGCAGCGCTACCCTAGACACATAGCTGGGCTACATTTCCAGGCCTCTCACAATTTGGCAGGACTACATGACTGAATTCAGGTCAAAGGAATGCTGGCAGTAGTGAAATAGGGCACTTCTAAATAAGGCCCATCAATGTTACCAGGTTTTTTCTTTTCACCTGCATGCCAACTAAATGCAGATCACTCAGAAGAAAACTAGGAGACCTTAGAACATGCTGGCATAGAAAGATGGAAGGACCCCACATCCTGAGAGACTGCTCAGGGTCCAAATGGCCTAGAGAACCACCCAACCCCATAAACCTATTTTCAACTATAAGGTAAACAGGAAATAAACTTTTATGATGTAAGCCACTGAAATGTGTATATTGTTTTTATGTTAGATATTCCATCCTAATTCAATAAGCTTAAAGATATAATCCTTGTAACCAGGAAAGAGCACAGGGAGTAAATTCATGCTTTGAACAACTGGATATTTGGAAAAAATATCTAAAACAACAATTTTCAGATTTGGAAAATTGGAAGCATAGGACTATGATCTCAGAGAGGGGAAACAGCAAATTAAACCCTGTGTTTCTATATTTGCATGAGCTTCCTCCCTGGATGAAGTTTTCAGACTTCAAAGTAGAGAGAGAGAGACAAACAGAGCCAGGTGGTGTTTCTGAGTAAAGGAAACAGAAATCAGAATTTGGGAAGCCAAGGAAACCGGAATTTGTAGGACAGAGAACTGAAGAAGAGAGTGACATGAAAAGATGTAGTCAGAGAGAGAGATCTCCAAAGAGCTATGAAAGGTCCTCCTCAACAATTAGGCTAATATTGACCAGTGCATGTATGAAAGGAAACTATCTGAGACAAGGGAGAGTACCACTTAAAAAGAGCAAACAGAATGAATTCTGGTATTCACAATGAGAGTCAGGAAGAGCTGTCTCCATCAGCTGACATAGAAAGATGTAGTAATAAATAAGACATTAGGTAGGGCATTGCCTTAGTCAGGCAAAACTAACTTAACTCTAGAATAAATGTCCAGGACCCAGTCTGAAAGCCTTGAAAAAAATTAAGCTACTTATAAGAAACTGAACTGCACACTAAAACAAAATAAAACACTGCTTAAGGGGAATGCAGAAATATCTCACAACCAACAACTTAAAAGTTTGTATTACAGTATCGAATAAAAATTATCAGACATGTAAAGAAGTAGAAAAAGATTACCTAGAAGCAGAAAAGAAATAATCAAAAGAAATTTAGAACAAAGAACGTTTCCAACGTTAAAGAGGAAGACTCATAGTGATAAATGGGTCACTTCATTAAGAGGAGCTAACAATTCTAAATGTGCTTGCTTCAGACAACAAGATAGGGCTTGAAGGAAAAAAAAGGGGAAATATATAGAATCTACAAGTATAATAATTGACAGAACAATTAGACAGAAAATCCACGAAGACATCAAAGACTTGAACAAAACTATTAAATAATTAGATTTAATTAACATTTAAAATACACTCCACTCAATGACAACAGAATATGTATTCTTCTGAAGTGAACATAAAACATTCAATGAGATAGATCAAATTAAGGCCATAAAACAAGTTTGAATATATTTAAAGGAATTAATCATGTAAGCTATGTTCCTGATGAAAATGGAATCATTAGAAATCAACACAAGAAAGATATCTGGAAAATTATCCAATATTTGTACTTTAACAAAACAGCATATTGCTAGCATGTGAGTTAAAGAAAAAGTCCCAAAGTTAATTAGAAAAAAAGTAAAATTTGAGCTAAATGGAATTTAAAACATACATATGTGGGTGTTTGTCTAACAACATTAAAATAGTACGTAAAGGGACATTTCCTTCATTAAAACTTAATATTAAAAAAATCTCAAATTTGTAATCTAAGTTTTTATATTAAGAAAGTAAAGAAATAAGAGTAAATCAAAACCAGGAAGGAAGGAAGGAAACCAATAATTAAGGAAGGAAACAAGTAAGGAAGGAAAAAATAAAGATAAGAATACAAATAAAAATATACAAAATAGAAAAGCAATACAGAAAATCAGTGATCACAAGTAATGGTCCTTTGTAAGGGCTAATACTATAAACCTTCTAAGGTTTTCTAAGAAATTTTCTAAGAAGAAAATATTTGTGAACTTGAGTTGGGTAAAATTTCTTAAATAAGTCACAAGAGCACTTAAAACTTTTAAAAATATTTGTTACATTAGACTTCATCAAAATTAATAGCATATTGCTCCTTGAAAGACATTGATAAAAAAAATAAGGGAAGCCACAGACTAAGAGAAAGTATTTTTAAAGTATATGCCTGATTAAACACGTATTTCTATTATAAATGAAGAACTCTTACGACTTAATAAACATGACAACCCAACAAAAAATGACCAAAGGTTTCGAATATATGCTGCACCAAATAAGATATAGTATCTGCTATATCTTAACTATAGAGGATAGTTAGTCTTTAGTATTAGCCATTATACAATTTTAATACTAAAGATTAACTATATCAACTAAAGTTGAAGCTGTGAAGCAACTTATTCAGCCACTTTAAAAGTCAAGCAAAAATTGTTTTCATTTATATGAGTTTCTAGTAATGTCAAAATAATAGGGGCAGAAATTATATTGTAAATTAGTGTTAGCCATGAAACAGAATTAAGGGGAGACTATAGGCTTCAGAGTGGCACAGGATAACTTTTTTCTTTGATAAAATTGTTTTCTACCATGATCATAGTGGTGGTTACTCTATGGAATGTCTCTGTCAAAATTCAAAATATGGTGAATTTTATTGCATCCAAATAACATAAAACTGGTTTACCATTCAAGTAGTAACCAGGCTTAACCCTGCTTAGCTTCCAAGATCAGACAAGATTGGACATGTTCAGGCATGGGCAAAGACTTCATGACTAAAACATCAAAAGCAATGGCAACAAAAGCCAGAATAGACAAATGAGATCTAAGTAAACTAAAGAGCTTCTGCACAGCAAAAGAAACTATCATTAGAGTGAACAGGCAACCTACAGAATGGGAGAAAATTTTTGCAATCTGTCCATCTGGAAAAGGGCTAATATCCAGAATCTGCAAGGAACTTAAACAAATGTGCAAGAAAAAAACAAACAACTCCATTGAAAAGTGAGCGAAGGATATGAACAGACACTTCTCAAAAGAAGACATTTATGTGGCCAACAGACATATGAAAAAAAGCTCATAATCACTGATCATTAGAGAAATGCAAATCAAAACCACAATGAGATGCCATCTCATGCCAGTTAGGAAGGCGATCATTAAAAAGTTGGGAAACAACAGATGCTGGGGAGTATGTGGAGCAATAGGAATGCTTTTACACTGTTGGTGGGAGTGTAAATGAGTTCAACCATTGTGGAAGACAGTGAGGCAATTCCTGAAGGAACTAGAACCAGAAATACCATTTGACCCAGCAATCCCATTACTGGGTATATACCCAAAGGATTATAAATCATTCTGCTATAAAGACACATGCACATGTATGTTTATTGCAGCACTGTTCACAATAGCAAAGACTTGGAACCAACCCAAATGCCTATCAATTACAGACTGGATAAAGAAAATGTGGCACATATACACCATGGAATACTAGGCAGCCATAAAAAAGGATGAGTTCACGTCCTTTGCAGGGATATGGATAGAGCTGGAAGCCATTATCCTCAGCAAACTAACCCAGGAACAGAAAACCAAACACTGCATGTTCTCACGTGAAAGTGGGCGTTGAACAATGAGAACACATTAACACAGGGGAAAGGGAACATCACATACCAGGGCCTGTCAAGGGGTGGGGGGCTAGGGGAGGGATACCTAATGTAGATGATGGGTTGATGGGTGCAGCAAACCACCATGGCACATGCATACCTATGTAACAAATCTGCATGTTCTGCACATGTATTCCCGAACTTACTGTACAATAAAAAGGAATAAATAAATAAATATTTGTTGAATGAAAAAAAATTTTTAGTTTGAAGTAATTAGGTAGATAGATAACTAAATATATAGAAAGTTGAATTTAAAGGTGAATTTTAGGGGGAATCAAATTGTTTTTACCCAATTGCAATATCATGTCACCAAGGCAAGATGTCTTGAGTGCAGTGCCTCCATAAAGAGATTAAGACTGAGTCATTACAAGATGTCAAGTCTATGTAAATGAATGCTGGTATAACATTTGAAAAGCATATTTGCATGAAAAGCTCCAATTTGTTCCTGATATTTTATACAGATTGTTCTTTCTTTTCAAAAAGTTTTTTGAAGGATAGGGCACAGATAAAACCTCTGTTAGAGTTGTGGAAAAGCATGGTAAATGGTTCAATATCACTGAGACATTTCCTGCTGTTGTTTTAGCAAAATAAGAAATAAAGATACATAAGAAGATAAAATGTGATAATAGAATCATAAATGGAACATTTTTTAAAAGTCAAAAAATCTAGTTTAAAAATATTTCATTGATTTGATTTCATTATCTTATAAAATATACCTTTTCACTGCTCTCCATTTTTATAATATTTAGTATTTAATAATTTCTTTCTACACAAAGTATCTTTTTTTTTTGCATGATATCTATGTTTTGTAAGAGACAAAAAGTATCTTTCTTTGGTGTTCATTCTCATGTTACTTGAGAGAAAACAATGGAATTTAAGATTACTTAAATGGTCAAACACTGCCAAAATCGATTAATTGGACTGCACTGTTGAAGATCAAGTGGCTGGTGGAGAGGGTCTCTAATCATGTCCTCTCTGTTTTTTGGCTAAACATTGTACTAACAAGACCCAGTCAGCTGTCTTAAAAGCGTGCACTCAATAAAAATTCTGGTATTAATAAAGTTGTTGCCTCATTATATATCTCTCTTGACGGATGATAAAACAATTCTTCTTATTAAGGGAAAGCATCTTTAAAAAGTTTGTGCAGAGTCAGCCACTTTTAAAAGTTTGACACAGGTTGTATTACAAAGTCTTCTCTACACTCATATAGTAAAAGAGTACTTATTAATCTTTAACTTGGAGACTAGAAAAGCTACAGGCTTTGACCAAAATCTAGGAGTTACATCACAGAAGAAGGATTTTACATCCTCTGGCTCTTAATTTTGTTGCTTTTTCCATTGTGCCATGCTGTATCTTTCTATAATTCATGGATAATACAATTATTTTATAATGACTCAAATTCCATAGTGAAAAGGCAATAGGCATAAAAAAATATAGAGAAAGTAGTCAGCTTTGATTATTTTTCAGATTCTATTCCTTGCAGTAATTCTAGGAGTAATAAATGAGTAGTCATTGTTTACGTCAATATTCTATGTATCTATTTATTTACTCCCATGAGACATTTGTGGCGTCTCTCTTTTCCTCTTTCATTTATATTGCCCAAATATCCTGTCTTCTGATCGCAATCACAATTTGGAAAGATCTTTATCTAAAAACAAAGAAAGTATGAGTCACAAAACTGATATGGTTTACCATCTTTCCTATAAACAAACATCCCAATTTTTCTCCATAACACAAAGCTCCTTTTCCCTTTATGCCAATTACTCACTAGATAGCAGGGACAATGGTTTCATTTGGAACTTTCACCTTTCTCTTGAAGCAGAACTCCTTTCCTTGGATACCCTCTGTCTTCTAGCAAATGGGCTTGGGGAAGTGGTAACTCTTTATCCAGTTTCAGAAATGGGTGTATGAGCTGACTTTAAGCTGATCAGGTTACTCTCTTCTTCTAGTCTCCTAGTCTCAGTTATTGATCCAGAGAAGACCACATGGCAAAAGTTAATCTAGTCTAAGACAATTATGGCTCTTTTTCTGGCATAAGTAGAAAACTGCTTCCCCTCTTTTGGAGTTGTTAAGAAAATAGGATGTAGGCTCCACATTGCTGTCACTCTCATGTTATCTTGAGAAGAAAGCTGCCTGAAAATAGAGACACTCTCAGGAAATGAGGACCAAGTGATAGAAAAATGAGTGAGCACTGATGATGTTGTCTGAGTTACTAAATTCAGCTGTCTCACAAGCCAGAACCAATTTATGTCTTTGCAATTATAGATTCCATCAAACCTCCCTATTGTTTAAACAAAAATGAATTGGGTTTTTACCTTTTACATCAGAAAACGTCTGCAATAATACATTCATCAAACCTCTTCCTCTTTGTGTTTTTTCCTACTCACAAAACATAAATAGCCTTATTCCCTGGCACTGATTCCGAAAAACATGTATGATAATAACATTGAGATTCAAAATGCAAATGGAATCTGCATTTAACTTATTTTCTCTATCCTACAAGTAGGGTCACTAGTTAGATACATGGAGAGATCGGTACCCAGAAAAGATGGGCAAAAGGCTAATTTCTTCATCCTAGGCCAGACTTCTTTGGTTCAAGTCTAAATGTCTCTGGAAATGAGCCTTATTACAAAGGCTGTTATCATTTGTTTTGTATTAGTTATGTTTTTCCCACAGATTATCTATCTGGTGGAACAACAGTCAAGTATCCTCAATGCGTGGCCACTGGGTTTACTTTCTATTGCTTTTATGGGTTTACATATAATTCTTTTGCTAACTACAGGATATTTTCTTTAATCTATTTGATTAAGCAAGCCAGGAATTAGAACGAAAGATAATGTTTTCTAAATTCCTTTCTGATGAATAATAAATGTCACTAAGGAATTAGATAGTAGGAGGTAGTTGCCTGGGCCATCTGCTGCATATGGGAACAGAGAAAGATATTAAACTTTAAATTAGGTATTGCTTCACAGAACCTAGAAGATGAAAGGAAATACACACTAAACTGGAAGATAATCATCAATTCTTATCAGTCAACTTATTTCTTTGAAAGGGTAAAAAAAATAACTATTGCTTTTTATTCCTGGTCAACATATTTTGTATTGAGTTGAATATGGAAAATCTATAATGAGCATATCTCTTCTTCAGTTTGATGTATTTTCCGATTTCTACAAGTAAAATGTACAGTTTTTTAAAATACACAACTGATGAACATCTAAGAAAAAAAAAAGACTTTTTTTCCCCAACATATGTAATATACCAAAGAAACAAAGTCTCATTTCCATGGCAACTATATCATAGGTCAAAGGAGAAAAATAGAACATTTATGGGTATGTGCATTTACTTTAAAAATTATTCACTGAGTTTTGATCGTTAACATTATGGTTAATTTTAATGAAAAGAGGAACACTCTCTTAGTTCACTTTTTCTATATAATTATTCATAAGGAAAATATCTATTTATATGCTACAAATTTCTGCTGTTTTGATATGATTTCTGTTTAAAGAGGATTTACTGGAAACAGATTTTTATGAGAGTCTTGTAAATACTAGAAAGGATGCTATGAAAATAATTTATTGTGGTAGTTAGTAGTATAGCTTCAAAGTCAAGCAAAGAGATTAGATAAAAATTGTGTATATGACATTTGGACAAGTTACTTAATTTCCTCAAATCTCAATTTATTCTTCTTTAAAATGGATAAATATTCTTACTTTCACCAAGTACAGAAAATAATATAAAATAAGACATAGCAATAAAAATCTGGCAAATTATCTGAAAAAGTAATTCAAAATGAAGACGATAGATACATAATAAACATGTTAAGAACACTCAACTTCATTACTCATTAGATAAAAACACATCTGCCACCTTTCACCTGCTAAATTTAAAAATTTTTAAAGATGAAAAGTGTAGAAGGGAAGAATAATTCTCACGTACTGTTGCTGGTGGTATAAGTTAAACAAGATTTTAGAATAACATTTAGGAAGTGCCTGAGAAATTTTAAGATGCATCTACTCTTTTATCTATTTATGTCATGTTAGAAATCAATCCTACTGAGACACTAAGGCAACTTTACAGCCATGTATGTAAAAGGATCTCTATTGCTGTACTATTTGTAAAAGTAAAATATTGAACTAATTTAAATATCCATAAGCAGATGAAGTGACAACTACACTGGGAAACACTATGCAGTCTTAAGATAAATGAAGTGAATGTGTGTGCAGTGACATTGAAAGATGTCCATAAAATACTGTTTTCATTTTAAAAGATGGAAAAAAACTTAAGTAATAAAATCTTTTTGATCATGGATGCATGCTTCTAGGAATGTATTAGGTTTAATATGAAAATGTAAAACTGCATTAGGGTAAATAATATTTTATAAATGATTCAGCAACATTTCTGGCACAAAAATGGTTAAATATTGTTATTTCTCTAAGTATTTAATATTTTGATTCACCATGCATAAATAGCTAATAGAACTGTGGTCATCTAGAAATGAAAACTTAGAATGAAAACAATCGCATCAAGATAAGGTTGCCATGGGGATCCTTCCAGAGTGTAAACTGCATTAGTTTACAAAGAATTTAAAGTATTAAGACATGAATTTCTGTCTCTTCTTTCTGCTGCTGTGGATTAAATAGCAAAAGTATTATAATGCATCTTTCTTCCTCCGTCCTCTTTTAGAAAAAGGCTTTCATCTGCTTTCATATTCTGAATTCCTTGCTTTTTTTGTTATTTATTTTAAATGAGGATCGTTTTTGTGTATATGGTAGAAATCTTAGAATTTAGAAGATAGGGCCTGCAAATGCATCAGGTCAGATATGATGAAGATGGATGAGGATGGAAGCTGGCAAAGCCAGGGGAGAAGAGAATGTCCTAATCTTGGCAGGAAAGATTCACATTCCCTCAAACTAGAAAGAAAAGTGGTGCGATTTTTATGGGGTAGTCACATTTTTCCCACTGGTATCAACATCCCAAGGAGACAAAACATCATCTGGGGATGGCTGCATGTCTGCTTTGAGACTGAACCATAGGTGCTGTGTGCACTGGGTCTAGCTTTGACTAGAGTGGGTTGATGCATTGGAGAAATCTCCCAACAGAATAGGGTACAAGGGTTTGGTAAATAAATTGTAGTGAAAACCAGAGACTTTTTCTTAATCTTTGGACTGTGTAAGTGCCATATATCTTGTAAAATGCTCTGGGAAAACGGAGGAAGTTGCTCTGACTGTCAATAATTAAACTAGATGACTTGCCAACCAGAAAATGGTGTTTAAGACAATATAATTCGATTTATAAAAATACTGAAATACAATCTATCTAGCTATACGTGCCAGACACAGCCATTTCCTGTTTCTAGCCTAAATAAGATTATGTAATTTAACACTTAGTAGGTGGTTAATAGATATAAGTTTGATTCTAATTACAGAGCTTTAACATTTTAGAACTAGAAGTGATCATTCTGAAATTTCTTCTCTTTGATTAAAAGAATGACAAACTAAGGTCCAGAGGTATTATATGCCTTTCACAAGGACACATAATGGCTTTCGGGACTCTTTTTGAGACATGAAATGAAATATAGGATAAATTTTCTAAACTGGATTTGATGATAACTGGTCATATTTGCCTGATCAGATGGTGATTTGTATTATTTTACCCTATTTATGATTTATACCAACTGCATGGCAAATATTGAGCATGAACTATCTGCACTGACTGTTAAAATGTGAAGTTAAGTGGATTACCATAGTTCATGAGTTCTGCACATTTTTTGACTATTAAATTTATCATTTGCATCCCTAACTAACACACAAAATAAATATTTTTCCAACATCAACAGAAAAAAAATAAGTGTTTACTGGTTAATTTTCTGTTTATCATTACTTCCCGGAAAAGTTTATAAAGTTTACAGGCTTTTCAATTACTTGAGTCCTATTTAAAAATGCATCAACAACTTACAGGCATATATAGTTATAGAATGAACAAACTTGTCAATAATACAGCTAGGATGAAGAGCTAAAGTTAAAATTCCTGGGAAACATAAGCAAAATATGGAACTATCTCACCAAGTTGAAGCAATAGATACTTGTTAACTAGAGAGATGGAGAGTAATTGATAACAATACATTTAAAAATATTCAAATTTTTCTATTCTAGCTATTTTGCAATATCCAGTAGATTATTGTAAACTATAGCCACCCTACTGATCTATCAACCCTAGGCCTTATTTCTTCTATCAAACTCTTTCTAGCATTAAGACAAGACAAATATTTAAAACGCTGGATTTCCCTATTACACTGATTTGATCATTACAAATTACATGAAAGTATTAAGTTATCACATGGATCTTGAAAATATGTCCATCTGTTATCTATCAATTACAGTTAGAAAAATACAGTTGGGTTAAATGAATTAATTTTTCATATTTAAAATATGGGAAAAATAGCTCAATGGCGATTCAAATAAAAATAATCTAGGTTTGATTTGATGGAAACTCCATATATACTCAGTATAACATGGATAAGCTAATGAGCAGTTGGACAACATCATTTGCCTTAACACTAGTGATATAGTATAGTGATACTATATCACTTTATTTATATAATAAAATATATTAATATTTTATCATATTTTAAAATGAGACCCCCCCCCCAAGAAAGAAAACTAACTTGGTCTTAGCTATAATTCAGAAAATTAAATTTCTGTAAAAGTATATGTAAACAATATTTAAGTTCAGATGAGAGACCCATTGCTCCATCTTAAATCATAGAGAAAAAATGTGTTTTCTAAAGCAGCAGTGATTTGGGTAGAAAAATAGAATGAGAGTGGGAAATCCGGTAATCCAATACAAAATGGGGTCTATCAGTGACTATGAGATTCTGAGTTAAAGTAAACTGAAAGTCAAAGTAAAATCAAACTTCTGAGTCAAAGTATACTTTCCTGACTATTTTCTTTGTGTCTAACATTTCAGCACAATAGTAATATGTCGCTAAAGGTAATCAGAAAAGAAAAACTATATAACAATGCAGATATACTAAGGTTAGACAGGCAATAAATGCATAACCTGAAATGTAGACACACATCTAATGAAGGTGCTTTTTAAAATTATTATTATATTCTACCTGTTAACAGCAGACTCCATCCCAAAGAACGATAGGTACTTCCTTGTGAGTAGTGAGGCTTTTATGACCACATGTTTCAAAGAAATTAGAGATTTTGACTTATAGCTTGTTTGATAGACATTTCATGCTATGACCCTAAGAGGTAGTCCTGTGAGATATTATTACCAATATTTTTAAAATAAGAAAGTCAAAGTTCAGAGAGCTAAGGTACTTTGCAAAAATCATACAAAGTATTACTACAAATTTGAGGCAAAATTCTGTCTTCGGATTCCAGTTAAGAAAGTGCTCTTTCAGACTTTTTAGAAGTTTTCTTCAGGGTTGACAAAACAAACAAAAATATTGTGATGGTTAATTCATGCAGGTAGTGTCATTAGTGTATTTTGGAATTTCTTACTCTGGTTCAGATAAATTAAAATGTTTCCAGACTATTCTGCTCAGTGGTGTGTATTCTCAACATGGAACAATAGAAATAGTACAGTGTAGGTAAAATTAGAATATGTTAAGTTTAAGCCTAAGCTCATATTTTGCCTTGCTCACCTGTAGTCTTGAGCAAATTGCTTAATGTCTATGAACCTCAATTTTCTTATGTCTAGAATGGTGACCATAACATTAAGTTTTAAAGTATCCAATTTCAGTGCCTAACACATAACAGTTTCAGATTCTCCTTAACTGTACATCCTGTTTCTGGAACTAATTTAGATAAGGAATTTATACTGATATTTCTTCAAGTTGTTTCATCAGCATTGATCTAACAAAGTAGCTGTACTTTAAATAGCTCTGCTGTATCTAGAGCTCAGTTCAAATTGCTATATCTGCAATTATAGACTTGCAACAGTTCTTTGTAGTTATACCTTCTTGAATCTATCATCAACTGCATTTATCCTATGTCTAAAGTACCTTGAAAGGAGTATCACTTGGAACTTTTGTTTACTGGATTTATGATTAGATTAAAAGATAGTAAATAAAGTGACCTGACAAGAGAATGGATGATATGAAGGGTGAGTTGAGAAAAATCAATGAAGCTACAAAAGAAAAATATAAAGATATAAATGAAACACTATCGGGAGGAGGAAAATAAGTGTTCATTTCAACTCAAGTGACAGGACTTTGTAAATATTCATTTCTGAATATTTTAAATTTCTTATAGTTAGGTAGTTTACTAAAAAAGAAATTCATATTTTTCCAAAATAATTACCAAAATAAAACATCTGGTTTACTGAATCAATATGCATTAAGAAAAATAATATTGCGCATTTTTTATCTGTGCCAGATATAGTGTCTACAGCTGAACATTATTAGTAATTGACACATGTAATAAAATGTGGTCTATGGCCTATGGCTTGTCAAAGAAACATACTGAAACAATTTAGTGACTTTTCTGGAGGCATTTCAGTATTCTTTCATTTTTTTACTCCATCTACTCTATTTGAGGTGCTGTATGATACAGTGGGGCACAAGGTTAAACAAGGTGGTCTTGGACCCCGGTTTCCTCAAAGTTGAGGGTGGACAGAGATAGATACAGACATGACAGAACAGAAATGAGATAGATACTCTATGGTTGAGGGATGCCCAATGAGCTACATGGATCCATGCAGGAAAAACAATTAATTCTTCTGAGATAGGCTTTAAAGGAGGAAGAATATTTAAAATAGATATGGAAGGATAAATATGAATTAATCAAATCTGATTTGAGAGTGGAAAGACATTGTTTCAAGCAGGGAGAAATTTACTGAAACATTTCAGAGAGTTTCACCATTACTAGCATTCAGGATTACAGACATTGTCGAATAAAACTGCATCGACTCTACATCATATGCTAAAATCATTGTTTTGAAGATTAATGTCTAATATCAATTTGCCTTCTATACCTTTTTTTCTTGGAAAACTTTTATTTATCATTCAGGAAAGACCTTGCATTGCTTTGAGTTGAATAGATTCCATGATCCTGCCTACCAAACTGGATTAGGTATTCCTCCTCTGGTGTCTGATGAGCATTGTGTGCACCCTTCATCACAGGAGGAAGAGAGAACGAGAGAAAAGAAGAGGAGTGGGGAGTTCCATCACAGCACTTGTCAGGTTCAAAAGGCGTAATATTCATGTCTGTTGCCCCACTAGGCTGTGTGTTTCTTGAGGACAGTTCTCATCAAAGTGCCTGTCACATAGCAGGTGTTCCTTAAAGATTGAATGAGTTAAATAATGAATGAGAAGAATATGGAGATTTTCAGTTGTTTTGATTTTGCAGTAAGAATTGAATACATATTCAAGCAATAGTTCCCTGTTGCCTAGGAAATTGAAGAGAAACCACTTAGCTCAGCATTCCATAGCTCTGCAGTCTCTTATTAGCCCATACCATCTCTGCTCCACTGATCTCACATAAGGACCTTATGTTGTCCCCAAACCAGAGTCTTCCCTTGGACTTGCCATACCTTCCACTTTCTTTTTATCCTTTCCTTCTATCCATTATACTATAAGTAGTGAGTGAGTACTGACTGTTTGAAAAGACACAGGTTCTAATCCTAGTTTATTCAGTAATCTTGCAGACATTAGGCAGGCCATTTGATCACTTTGAATACCCATTTTATTACCATTAAATAGCTATTCATCACCATAAGCTCTATGGTCTCCACCTCTATGTCGGCTCCCATAATCTTAGCTAAAATAGTCTCTGACAATCTCTTTCTGTGCTTTAATTTTGTTTATAGCTTACATCTCTAGTTAGAAACTAGAACAGTACCTGTTCTGTTTCTCTAGAAACAGAGTATATGCTTAGAACATATTTGCTGAATAAATAAATGAACGAATAATTGATTCCATGCTTATAGCACACTGTAACTCTGAAGTCCTTGAGGCAAATCTCTGTCTAATACACCTTTGTGTCTATCATGCTTAACTCTGAACCAAGCACTCTATGGGTCCTCCAGGAATATCTATTGTATGGTGAATGCATAGATAATGCTTAAATGTTTCTCATTTAACCCTACAGTAGCTATAGCACAGAGGGAAGTAAAGACTTGTTTTTATTATTGTATTTAAATCATGAATTAAATAGAATTATAAAAACAGTATTCAGCATGTTATCAAATAATTTTATGTAATGTGTACAAATCATGTAATTAAGATAATACTTCATGGTATTAGAAAAACACACACGGAATCATATATTATCTTTAGATTAGCATGCCCTGGACACTCATTATAATATATACATATATATGCACATTTAGTAATAGGATTGATGACTTTACTGAGTTGAATTGTAGCAGGACGAGCCACAGATAAGAACCCCTCAGATGCCGAGTTGTGGAAGGAAAGGGCTTTATTCAGCTGAGAGCATCGGCGGACTCATGTCTCCAAAAGCCAAGCTCCTGGAGTGAGCAATTCCTGTCCCTTTTAAGGGCTTACAATTCTAAGGGGGTCCGCGTGAGAGGGTCATGATCGATTGAGCAAGCAGGGGGTACGTGACTGGGGGCTGCATGCACCGGTAATCAGAACGGAACAGAACAGGACAGAGATTTTCACAATGCTTTTCCATACAATGTCTGGAATCTATAGATAACATAACCAGTTAGGTCAGGGGTTGATCTTTAACTACAAGGACCAGGGCACGGCGCTGGGCTGTCTGCTGGGCTGTGGATTTCATTTCTGCCTTTTAGTTTTTACTTCTTCTTTCTTTGGAGGCAGAAATTGGGCACCCCTCAAATTGGGAGACAATATGAGAGGTGGTCTCCTCCCTTAGAATGAGAACAAAATTGGACTCTACCTCTAGAAAGCCATTCCTGGCACTCCCTTTAGTGTGGTAAGAAAATGAAAACACAGCTCACCACCTAGTAAAGGGTGACTTTCCAGAACTATCATACACTATTTTCCTAAATATGTTCCAAAGTTCAACCAGATGATACTATCTTTTATTCACTGAGGTCACATTCATACCTCCATATCTTTGCTGATACAGTTACTCCACCCCTTGTCTTCACCTATACTCACCTTCAAAAACACGTCCTGTAAAGCACCATTCAGATGCCTCCTTCTCTGGGGAGCTTTTCTTCACAAGATGATTGTATCCTTCCTCTTTGAATCCAGTAACACTCTGTGTACTCCAGTCTTATTTCGCACACCTGGTTCCATTTCTTTTAGCATGGCCATTGTGCACAGGTCTCATTACCCATATTAGCTTACAGGACTCCTTTTTGCTTCCTAGTAGAGTGCCTTAAATACAAATAATATTCATTTTGTGCCCACACACTCAGTTCTATTGTGCTGAAATTGAATACCATGTTTTCCTTGAGGGCTGACCTGTTTTGTTTAAGAGAAGGGTAACGGAGGCACTGACTTTCTAAGGTTTTCCAATGTCTGTGTTCATTTTATGCAAACAATCTCTCATCCTCATGATGACTATCAGTCATTGGTGGTCAAAGCTAGGAGGAATGGGCTTGGGGGAGCCTCAAGATCTTAACTTTGTAGTTCAGCTACTCACTCACCCTTTGCTTCTCAATGCCTGAATATGCATGACTTCCAGGTTCCAGGTGGTGTACAGGATGCCAATCTCATTTGGGGTGTATTTCAGAACACAACCTCAGTAACTATGGCAATAGTGATTGATAAAATAGGTGGTGGGACTATTTCTTATAAATGAGCCAATGATGGCCTCTGTGTGTTGGGCCACACACACTTCTGGAGGTAGAGACTCAGAAGCCTGCCAGAGCCAAAAATCACATTTTTACACATCCAATTTTAAAAGAGATGGTGAAAACAAGAAGATTTTTAAACATTTAGGGGCTGCATGCTAAACATATCTTATAAAATGTCACCTCACATCTTCTGGCCATTGATAAGATAGAGCCTTGTCGTTATAAAATCTCCAAGTTGCACGGAGCTCTCTGACACAGACTCCCCTCTGAGCTGCTGGTAACATCACCTGGATATGCAAGCATCTTTAGGATTCTCCTCTCTCTCAAGAATTCCTTGCCTTCCTCTCCTCATGGATGGTTATTCCCTAGTCATAAGCCTCTGGATGGTATCATGCTGTGAGGGACTTCCCCTCTCATTAACCCTGTGCAATCACTTCCCAATAAAGCTTGACGAGTGTAACTTCTTATTGTGGCCATATCTTTTTTCCTAAATCAGCCCCCAAATCTCTCAAACATGCAACAGACTAGCCTCAAAGCTTGTTTTTAGCAGAAAAAAAAAAAGTAAGATAAATCTATTCCTAGGGAGGAAATGGTTATGAACATTATATTCACAGTTTAGCCTTATAAATAAATGCATTTATGTTGTTACTCTGTAAAAGAAATGAAAATTCTGTTATTTCCCTTTTGTTCTCTCTCTCTCTCTCTTTCTGTGTGGGTGTGTGTGGGTGTATCCTTTATATATCCTTTCTTTTTAATGTTGCTTTGCTATATATCTTTTTAAATTTTAACTCACACTTTTGATCTCTTACCCGTTTCTCTTTTAAAGAGTCTCATGGGTTTTTTCCATGTGTTATCTTGAGAAATAGAAAAATCTTAAGCAGGTATGTATTTATGTGATACATAAAGCACATAAATAAGCACAGAGAAAGTGTGTTGCAATGGTATGTGGTACACAAACACACACCTCCTAGTCCACAAGTAACTCAGCAAGACAATCCACTGAATGAGCTTTCTGGGACCTGCACATTAGCTACAGAATCTTTAGCCTGAGAAGATTACAAGCTATGATTATTGGCCTCATTATCAGTTTTGTTTTTCTTTATTTAAACTATGTCCTTGATAAAGAAAAACAGGTTCATGTAGACTTTCTCTCAGTCATCCTTTGCAGGCTCCAGGTCTGGTCATTTCAGCACCCTTCAGACACCATTGAACCCCTCTATGGTTCTCAATCTCAGTTAGGATTAACAAGGCCTTGGCGTCCCCCTGTGCTCCATTTCTCCAGCTGTGCTTGAATGATCTTCCCCACAGCCCCAGCCCCCCATTGCATCAGGAAGGAAGCTCTAGACTTTCATCTGGCCTGATTATGCAGGTATGTGTTTCCCAGGGCAGCTGGCTGAGATCTCTGTGGCAGCTTGTCTCCCCCTGGCATGTATGCTGTCACCAAAAGGCACTTTTAAGCCTTCCTTTGCTACATATCCTTTATTGCTCCTTGCTAGACAAAACAAATCCTTGAGAGAAAAAGGGTCAGTGAAGGGGGGCCGGGGATGGAGGATCACAAAGGAATAGAAGAGGAGGAACAGGAAGAGAGTGAGCAAGAACTTCCCCTCTCTTCAAGGGCCCTAATTTAGCATACCAATAACAATCTATTAAAGGACACATACAAGGGTTTGTGGAAGAAGGAAACCAACATTTACCAAGACCTTGATGTAAAAAAGTAACTGTACTGAATGCTTACTGTTGCCCTGGTACTGTACCAGGTATTTAAGCCACATCAACTCATTAAAGGCAAACAACAAATCAATCTGATGATTGCTCTTATTTTCCTTATTTTGCTGTGAGGTAAATGATATAAAGTTATACCACCTGGTTAGTAATGACAGTGGTTTAGATTGTACTCTTAGCACCTGCAGCTCTCTCCTATCAATATCCACAATTTGTTCAACTTCATAGAAATCTGAAATAGGTATTGCACCCTAGTTTTTTAGATGAATGCACTTAGACTTGCTGCTTATCCATATATATATATACACCACAAGCAGTAAACATATATATATGTATACATATATAATGTGTATATATATGTATACATATATATATGTTTACTGCTTGTGGTGTATATCAAGGTTCCTTCAGAGGGCTACATTCTACATTCCGTAGGAACTGTGGGGTATACAATACAAGCAGTAAAATAAAATCATCCAAATGTAGAAAGTTGCTTAAAGATTGCTAGTAAGATGATGAAAAAGGTTTCACATACATGTATGTCCAGCTCCAACATTCTTTCACCTTCCAATGCAAGTTGAAACTGATTCCTAAAAGTAACCTGGACAAAGAACAAGGCAATGTCTTTCAAGCAGGGTATTTCTGAGTAAAATTTTTGCCGTTATTGATTTGCAATAATGCTAAGCCAACGTAGTCATCTTTGCTAGAATAACTCCTAAGGTTATTGTGAGCCTCTATCACAGAAATAAGTGACATATGCAATAAAAATGAATGGCAAGCCAGACTAATAATCCCATTAAGAAAATAGTAATGAAACCATTCACAATTTTACTGGTCATCAAACTACTGTATTTCGGGGAGCAGGTCAGCAAAGATGTGTAGGGGGACTAATCCTTGAGTTTTAAATTGCTACTCGGGGTACTGGCTTTATGGTCAGCAATAGGAGGAACTTCACCAAATAAATACAGAAAAAATAATACTGCCTGGAGTCAAGCCAGTATGAGAATGAAGGGTACAAAGGGAGTTAAGACACCTACTGAATAAGCAGGAAAATTTGCCTAAAACCAGATTATCAGGTTAGCATATGGTCGTGTTATCGGGACATCTGATATACAGTTAATGAGGCCTGTTTTGGTTTATTATGGTCTTTTTGAATTACAATATCCTGTCACATAGTTGAATTGTATGTGACTGAAATTTGACACTGCACTTACATTTCTAGTAGGATTCCTTCTTGGTTTTATTTTTCAATGGGTAAATCCAGTTCAGAATTTTAAAGGAGTTAGTTGCAGAATTCTTTAAGAGTTGTTAACTCTGTTGTCTGTTCACCTATATTCATGTCAATATCACAGCAATGACCACTTTGCATGACATTGAATTTTTAGCATACATACCTTTGTTTCCTACTAAGTGATAAAATGCTTAAGGGAAGAAACTGTAGCATTATAATCTATTTTTTTTAATTTTTAGCTTTGATCAAAGTAAATTGTCAATAAATAATAAATAAGTAAGGGCTGATTTCAGTGGCTCAGGCCTGTAATCCCAGGACTTTGGGAGTGTCATGAGGGATCCTTGCTCCCAGAGCTCCCAAGATGGTGGTGGGCTGCTTCCAAGATGGCAGCAAGCCTCGTATTCTCTGACCTGGGGTTCTTGCCCTCATGGATTCCAAGGAATGGAACCTTGGGCCATGCGGTGAGTGTTATAGCTCTATTAGAAGTCGTGGGTCATGGAAGAGAACCGCGGAACCCAGTGACTAGTGTTCAGCTCGATTAGGACGAACCCTGGCACTTAGCCGTGCAGGAACAATGGCAAGCCTTTAGCCCGATTGGGCGTGGCAATGGGCGCCTCGCTGGATCAGGAGCACAGCAGACACCCTGCTGGATCCAGAGGGATGGAAGTCAGCGGCAGGTCTGGGACAGCCGCAAACAGCAGTGGTGCACGGTGAGTGAAAGCTCAGCTTGAGCCGTAACAAACACGGACCAGAAGAGAGTGCAGTTGCAAGATTTAATAGAGTGAAAGCAGAGCTCCCATACAAAGGGAGGGGACTCAAAGAGGGTAGCCGTTGCCAGCTCGAATGCCTAGGTTTATATCCTGATCATTATCCCTCCTGCTGTGCTCTCAGGCAATAGATGATTGGCTATTTCTTTACCTCCTGTTTTTGCCTAATTAGATTTTTAGTGAGCTCTCTTTACTATCTGACTGGTTGAGTGTGAGCTAAGTTGCAAGCCCCCGTGTTTAAAGGTGGATGTTGTCACCTTCCCAGCTAGGCTTAGGAATTGTTAGTCGGCCTAGGAAATCCAGCTATTCCTGTCTCTCAGGAGGCTGAGGCGGGTGGATCACCTGAGGTCAGGAGCCCAGCCTGACCAACATGGCGAAACCCCGTCTCTACTAAAAATAAAAAAATTAGCTGGGTGTTGTGGCGCACACTGTAATCCCAGCTACTCGGGAGGCTGAGACACGAGAATCGCTTGAATCCAGGAGTCAGAGGTTGCAGTGAGCCGAGATAGCACCGCTGCACTGCAGTCTGGCTGACAGAGCAAGACTCCATCTCAAAAAATAATTAATAATAATAACAAATAAGGAACACCTTATGTTGGTTTGATGGTTATATTTAAAGTTCAATAATTTACAGAAGGGAGGGAGGAGAACGTGCTTGATATATTCGGCTTGCCAGCCGAATCCACTCTATACTCCGGGGGACCATTCCTTATGGACTGCATCAGTATGTTCCCTTCCTGCTATCTGACATTCATGTGGGTGTCATCAATCTGAAGTATGAGAAGGAAAAGGGGTAATGAAATCCTGGAAGGTATTACCTTGGTTTCCTTCCTGCTGGGTAACCACAGTTGGATGTGTCCCCATATCAGAATTCACAGGTGCTGTCCACTGACCCTCTCTATATCATTCTCTTGGTGGATCCTACAACCATCTCCTCCATGTGTTACTTCCAACTCAAAGGTGGGAAAACACTTCTGTCACCATCAGCCCCAGGGTACTGCATCAACCCAAGTTCTAGTCCCTAAACCTATCCACCCCCTTGAATATAATCCCTTTATTAAACCATCCTCTAGTTTAATAGCTATAATCCAGTTATCTAGAATGAGAAAATATTCCTTGTTGACAAAGAAGATATTAAACTATAAGACTTGACAATTATTTACAGAGTGCCCCCTGAATGACAGGTGTCTTGAAGTAACTCAGAAACATAACAAGGAAAAGTTAAATCTGTATAAATTAAAGCTGAAGGTTGAAAACTTCAGGTCTTTAACTTATGGCTTTTCCTACATGACTTCAATAATAATTTCCATTTTTGTACCTCTATTAGAAGGATATAACTTGATTTTTTACTGTGTTGGGCAAAGAACTAGATGTGGTTATATGAAAGCAATCAAAAGTCTCAGTAACAGGAAATGGAAAAACTAAAGGGTGGTATAACTTAAAGCCACGCTACGACTGCCATCCATTTATAAGACCGGCTTTACATTTTTTTAAGGACTTTATATTCTCTACATCAAATTGCATAATGGATTCACTGTAAACAATGATTGAGGCAAGAAGGATTGCCCTCTAAAATTTCAATTCAATTTTCTAAAATCGTGCAATACATTTCTTTTTTTCTCTCTCAAATGCCTTTACTGGCTGCTTTCCAGTGTGTTATAAGCACAATTGGAAGAGTGAAATTGAGCAGTGCCTACTGAATTTGTACAAATTTTTATTAGAAACAAGTAGGATGTTTGGGTTAAAAATGCATAGAAACTATTTTTTTTTAATGTGAGGAAAAATCTTGACTAATAGAAAAAGAAACTGTGCATCATGTGGCAACACATATTAGCTGACTATAAGATATATTAAATTTTTCCCTTTCAAAGACATGGAAAAAACACTCACTTATAGTAAAATAGATTGTGAGCTCACTTTTGTGCTGGAGGAACTTGACTATTATCTACGTACGAGAGGAAAAATGTATTGTTATTGGTACTATTTCTCCTATTTTTTGTTTCCACGTATCTTATGTGTGCCTATTTTGAAAATATAAAATGTATGTTGTATACAGTATTCTATCTTAATTTATATGTGAGATTGGGGGAAGGATTAAATTTTTAGGCTATAAGTATCAAAGTTAAGTGATAAAAAATGCACAATATTTTATTTCCCAATTATTTACTATTTCTGATAGAAATGATACATTCATTTGTTCATCATTAAATGTTCAGGAAAAAAATCCAAATTCTATAAATTTTCAGAATACAAAAGTCAATGAAGTAAGCATACATTGAGTAAGCACTTTTTAGTAGTATTTATTTGGAAAACACATTTTAGTGCCTGCTGTATATCAAGTAATGCCCAAATGAAAATACAAAAACCGATCCTAAAAATACTTAAATTCAAATTAAAAAACAGACATTTAACTAGATAATATTCTATGAAGAGCTACTTGCTGAATATCTATATACTGAATTAACTAAAATTAAATCACAAAAGTAAGAGCAACAATTATATTAGTCAAGACAAGTTGAGTTGTACTTTATAACAATCAATTCCCAAGTCTATGTGATTTAACATGATCAAATTTTATTTCTCTCTCATTCTGTATGTCTAACACAGGCTGCAGGTTGCTGTAGTTGTTATAGATACCCAGGGATCTGACTAAAAAAGGCTCGATATTGCCACATGCCTTAATAATCACCATGACAGGGAAAAAACCATACATAACCAATCACACACTGAATCTTAAAGCTTCTACCTGGAAGTGAAGAGTCCCTTTACTTTTTGTTAATCCAAACAAGTCATAAAACCACACTTACCTTCAGAGGCAATGGGTAAGCACAATATGTTTAGAATAATAGACAAAAATATTTGTGAAGAGTCCTCATGATTAACACAATGTTAAATCTGAATGTACAACTCAGAGAATATTCCACGAAGAAGGTAACAACTGCTAAAATAGAAGGCAGGTTGGTTTTTTTTAAAAATAATTTTTGTACTGTTACTTGTCCTATGAGTTCTTTTAACTTATATTTTACTCAATAATTTGTGATAATAAGGATGTTTTTTATAATCACTGGCTAATATCTTTATATATATATTAAATTCTTATTCATACACATATCCTATGGACATAAAGGTTCATATTTTTAAAAGCCTAAAATATTTCATTGGTAGTTAAAGAATCTGTATCCTCCTCCTTTGTCACATACACACACTGATACATTCATAATTCATTCATATACATTCATAAATGTGACCTGAATTATTTTTTGATTGGTTTTGGTTTTCTCTCATGCTAAATATTTCCCACAGTTGTTTATTCTATGTCATTTTCAAAGCAACACTACATGTTATAACTTTGATTTACTTATTAAAGAATGTTTATGAGTTTTTTTGATGTCTCCATTTACTGGAAACCCTTTTTATTTATTTTTTTTTAAAAAGAACAAAAACAAACACAAAATATTTATTTTAGATAACAGAAAATCATGCTTTGCTATTGTTAAAGAGAATTTGAACTTGGAAAGGTTGATATCTTCTTCAAAATTCAAAAGTGATAGTGCTAGAGCATATTATGAACCTAGGAAATTCAATTTGCTAGTCAATTGTCAAACAGTCATTACAAGGTAAATGTTCTATTTAAGATGATTCATCTGTGGAAGAAACGATGGCAGATATAGATATACATAGTTTTAAATGGGTTCGTAGAAAGTTTCAAATATGACATCAGCAAGTTTAAAATATAACATTAGAAGAGATTTCAAAGACTATGGATTCAGGAGAAAAAAGTTATAGCCTTATTTCTATTTTCCTTTGGATGATGATATTGGAACCTGGAACTTTCAGTAATTTATTCAGTTTTCTTTAAAAAACCATACTTCAATATTTTTGCCAACTATTCAAAACACGCTGCCAAAATCCTATCAGTATTTCCAAATGAATGAAGTTGATTTCCATCTTCATCTACAAATACAGCTTCCTTTCCTTTATAAAACTCCTACTTTTCTCTTTATTGCCTACTCCAATACTTGCTCTCATTTCCTTCAACTACCTGCCTCTCCTCTCTCCAGTCAGACTACAGTTTCTGGCATGAATGTCCTGACTTTATTATTATTTTTATTTTCAATTATATTTTCTAGGTTTACAATAGTTTTTTTTCTATTGTGTTTCAATGAATGTTGCTGGCTTCTCTTTCAAATTATTGGACTAAAGAAATCTGAAAGCCCTGGCTTCTTGATACACATAGAAAATGCTCACACAGTCCTTGAAATGCTCTCAAATAGGTACTACAGCAGTTATGGTGCAGATGAGAAAATTGAGGTTCTGAGAACATTAAGTATTATAATAAAAATAATTATAGTAGTTGTGTTTCTACATTTTAGGCACTGTGATGTGTCTGCTATAGAAATTGCCTCATTTAATCTACATAACAAACCTAAGAAGTAGATATTATTATTCCCATTTTATAGAAAAAAATGAAACTCAAACTTATTAAACAACTCTCATTCAAAATTGCTACAAAGAGAATAAAACATATAAGAATACAGATAACAAGGGAAGTAAAGGACCTCTTCAAGGAGAACTACAAACCACTGCTCATGGCAATCAGAGAGGACACAAACTAATGGAAAAACATTCCATGCTCATGGATAGGAAGAATCATTATGAAAATGGCCATACTGCCCAAAGTGATGTAGAGATTCAATGCTATTCCCATTAAACTACCATTGACATTCTCCACAGAATTAGAAAAAAACTACTTTAAAATTCATATGGAACAAAAAAAGAGCCCAGATAGCCAAGACAATCCTAAGCAAAGGAACAAAGCTGGAGGCATCACATTCCCTGACTTCAAGCTACACTACAAGGCTACAGTAACCAAAACAGCATGGCACTGGTAGAAGAACAGACACATAGGCCAATGCAACAGAATAGAGAACTCAAAAATAAGACCCCACATCTACAACCATCTGATATTTGACCAACCTGACAAAAAAGTGTTGGAGAAACTGTTTCCTATTTAATAAATGGTGCTGGGAGAACTGGCTAGTCATATGCAAAAAATTGAAACTGGACCCTTCCTTACACCTTATGCAAAAATTAAGTCAGTGTGGATTATAGACTTAAATTTATAACCCCAAACTATAAAAACCCTAGAAGAAAATCTAAGCAATACCATTCAGGACATGGGCAAGAGCAAAGATTTCATAACTAAAACATAAAAAGTAATTGCAATAAAAGCCAAAATTGACAAATGGGATCTAATTAAACTAAAGCGCTTCTGCACAGCAAAAGATACTATCATCAGAGTGAACAGGCAAGCTACAGATTGGGAGAAAATTTTTGCAATCTACCTGTGTGACAAAAGTCTAATATCAAGAATCTACAAGGAACTTAAACAAATTTACAAGAAAAATACAAACAACCCCATTAAAAAGTGGGCAAAGGACATGAACAGATGCTTCTCAAAAGAAGAGATTTTGCACCTAACAAACATGGAAAAAAGCTCAGCATCGCGGATCATTAGAGAAATGCAAGTCAAAACCACAGTGAGATACCATCTCACACTGTCAGAGTGGCAATTATTAAAAAGTCAAGAAACAACAGATGCTGGCAAGGCTGTAGAGAAATAGGAACACTTTACACTGTTGGTGGGAATTTAAATTAGTTCAACCATTGTGGAAGACAGTGTGGTGATTCCTCAAAGATATAGAAACAGAAATACCATTTGAACCAGCAATCCCATTACTGGGTATATACCCAAAGGAATATAAATCATTCTATTTTAAAAATACATGTGTCCATACGTTCACTGCAGCACTATTCATAATAGCAAAGACATGGAATCAACTCAAATGCCCATCAATGATAGACTGGATAAAGAAAATGTAGTACATATGCACCACGAAATACTATGCAGACATAAGAAAGAATGAGATCATCTTCTTTGCAGGGATATGGATGGAGCTGGAAGCCATTATCCTCAGCAAACTAACACAGGAACAGAAAACCCAAACACCACCTGCTCTCACTTGAAAGTGGGAGCTGAACAGTGAGAACACATGGACACCTTGAGGGAAACAACACATACTGGGGCCTTCAGTCAGGCAGGGAGGGGTGGTAGAGGGAGGGAAAGCATGAGGAAAAATAGCTGATGCATGCTGGGCTGAATATCTAGGTGATTGGTTGATATGTGAAGCAAACCACCATGGCACATGCTTACCTATGTAACAAACCTGCACATCCTGCACATGTATCCCGGAACTTAAAATAAATAATAATAATAGTAATAACTGGTTTACAGAGTCTAGGCTTTTAATTATTACTCTATGAAGTAGTCTCCCAAATGGTATTCACAAAATGATTCATAGAAAATTTATTGTGATCTTTATGATTTTTATGAATATTTATGTTTTCACCCTAGTTTTCATATCAGGTTCATATGTCTAAAAGGAAAATATTACTTGTGGTATGTTGATGATGCCCAAGGTAAAGATGGGGTATTCACCACAAATCTAACAATTAAGACCATCACAATTTTTCATTTGCTTTCAGCACACTGAGGTGTGTCATAGTAAAATTACCCTTAGTTCAATAAATTTACAGGATATTTTATTTTTCATATTATTATATTTTAATCTACTTTGCCATATAGAAAATGACTATAAAATGATATTTAGAAATGGAAAAACATTGCTTATCATCTCATGGTCAAAAATTAGGATTATCATTGTCAATCTTCGAAATATAATATGCATTTTTTCACTTATAAAGCATACATGCTTTAATTTGCTGAATTTGTTATGGCATTGTGGTAAACTGATTATATCCACTTACTTTGCTATGAACCTTTGCGTGTCTTTCACTATGGGTGGAGTACATTTGTCCAGTGCCATGATTTCTGTCTTGGTTTTGTGACCTTTTTTGCTTAATAAAATATTAATAAATATGATGTGGACTTAAACATGTGGGCATGGCTTGCCTTGCTTTCTTAAGTTCCTGTGATCATCTATAAAATGAACATGACATGAATAACTACTGACTAAAGATAAATAAATTGGAAAACACATGCAACAGAGTTAAGCCCAACCCACAATTCAAAGCCAAGTCTAGATAATTCTAAATTGGTCACTGCTGATACACAGAGTCTATATATATTTAAAATTGTTAAGCAGACAAACTAATACAGACAAGTGATATTCAATGGTGTGCTAACTAGCAGGTATTTTTGAAAACATAAACATACTAAATCTGTCTCTTTAAGACAAATGAGTAGCTACTTATTGAAAATGATATTTTTATAGGTCTTAAAAAACGTGCAATTACACTTTTCCAAGTTAGATCAGGGAATCCACTTCTTACTGATATCATCACTCTCACAGACATCGATTCAGAACTTGACAGTGTTTCTATAATTAATTCAGAATATTTGTTATTCACAAAACCCTTTTTCATTTTACTCCTGTGAGTTTTTGTCAGCTCCCACGTGGTGAGCTTATAATCTTTTCCCCTTGTAGTCTATAACTTCTTTGTAAGTTAAATAATTCATGTCTATAATTCAATTCCAAGTGCCCAATTATGGGGTAAAATTTCATTGATGGCATTGCTTTTGTCTTTTTCTGTGTTTTTATTAACTTTTTTTCTTTCATTCCAACAATAATATTGGAAACATATATAACCTGCAGGTTGTGAGTGTGAGCTCTGTAATTAGAATGTCTGAATTCAACCCTAGTTACATAGTCTTGTTAAACCTCAAATTCTTGTTCCTGCATGGGTTAATATTAGTACTCGTCTTTACAGTTGTTGCCAGTGTTACATAAGTCAATATATTTTTAGCACAGTGGTTGGCGCATAGAAGTGCTCAAAGGGTAGTGTGGAGACAGTCAGAAAGGGGGACCTGTAGTTATGAGACAGGATACCACCTCCTGGTCTGGCATAGAAGGACCATCACAGTAAGGTCCAAACCTGCTGTGAGAAATCTACACTACCAGATACACTGTGCCATCCTTATGCACTAAGAATGCACCTCTCCTCCTTGCTTTAATATATGCTCTTTTTTTTTTTCTGCCTGTAATATCTTTGTTGGTCTTCTCCCTCTCTAGCAGGCAAACTTCTTCTCTTAAGGTTCATCTCATAGAGTAATTCCTATGAGAAATCCTCTGTGATTCATTTATGATGTATCAGTGATTCCATCTTCCTTATTCCTACTTTTTACTATAATTCTGAGTCTCTCCATGAAACAGCCCGAAGATGATCAGCAACAAGAGTGTGTAAGGTTTTCTTACTCATCTCCATAATACTGATGCCTATGATCATGCTCCATAGTGTTGAATGAATGGATGGATGAATGAACATGAAAATGAATAAGAATGATTTTTCACTTTTTGGGAAATAAATATTAACATCGTGAGAAGATTCTACATACATATATATTTCCTGTCAGATTGAATAAACACAGAACTGTCCAAAAATTTAACTTTCCATGGATTTACATGTTAAGAAATCTGTGAGTATCATAGAGACCTTTACAATTATTCCTTTATATAGTGTTGCATTATACATAAATTCGTCAGTTACCCATAGTTATATAATTTTGCTATGTTAGATCTTGTCATTTTATTCAAAATTGCCCTATCAATCTGTCACATTTGATATTTCAGGTAAATATTAAGAATTTGGAGAGATTCTGTGAATTTTGCTGTTCTTGTTATGCTCTCTAAATTGGATATTCTCTGTCCACATTTGGAGAGCACAGTTGGATGTCTTTACAAAGTCTCGAATAATTCTGATACTAATTTAACTGTAATAGACTATCTTTGGCATCTTGATTACTCTCAATATTTTTAATGCTCAATGAGGCATTCTTGTCAATGGCTTAAAGCTTATAAAATTCAGAAATGAACATCTGCTATCCTCTTCATCTTTGCTACATAAGAAATCAATTCTAGAAGAAAATCCAAAAACCCTCCAGCATTAGTTGCCTCTCCATATTGCCTTTGATTTCACTGATGTCTGTAATTTATATATGTTTGAGGAGTTTAGCTTTAATAATAATCTTGTCAGACTGGGTACTCACATAGCCTAGGAATTTTGTAGATGCTTAAGATAAATTACCTGTTGAATGCTCAGCTGACATTAAATGGTACTTATATTAATTGTCTTTACCACATACAGATAGACAGATTGATGGGCAGGTACATAGATAAATAGATATGGAGCCTCGGATAAATTAATTTGCTTACAGTTGCATTTAATAAGAATCAAAACTTGGCTCTGAATTTGGTTCTGAAAGATTTCAAATGCCTTAATCTTTCCATGGTACCACATGGCCCTCTGTGCTATTTTGAACTTAAAAGGTGGAACTTCATTGTTGAGTTGGAGAATTTAATAAAGCATTTCAGAACCAAGACACTTTCAGCCATACACACACACACACACACACACACACACACACACACAGAGACACACACACGCAGACACACACACAGGCACACACAGTCACACACAGACTGATTTGGTTCCTCATTCCTAAACTTGGCAAAGTTTTGATATGTAATTCTTATATACCGGGCACAGCATAGAAGACCAGGGGATAATTTCCCCCTGATGTTGTTTTGATATAAATAAGCAGGGAAAGAAAAAATATTCCAGTCTTTCTCTTATTAAACAAATGAATATCTGAGTGCCCTACCCGAAATGAAGTATTTGATGTAATTTTTATAGCTCTTAGCAGAGTTCTGCCGAAAGCACTGTTATAAGATGAATAAGGACATTATTAACAAGTGAACAAAAATGTAGATCCTTGGTACAGTGGTTTAAATAGGATTCATGCTTTCACTTAAATATGTGGTGAGTGCAAGATGAGACAACAAAAATGATCAATTGCACATATATTGAGCAGAATGTTAATTTAAAAACCATATTATGTGTATTAACTGATATAGAAGTAAAGTTTTATCATTAAAATAAATATTTAGTTCTCCTGTTATTTTACAGTATCCAGTACAGTTTCAATATAGCATTTGTTATGTTTAAGTAAACATGCATTTATTTGCTTAATGCTTGTTCTCCATCAGCAAAACTTACGTATCCGGAACAAGAACTAAGTTTGACATATATCTCAATGCCAAGCACATAATAGGTGCTCAGTAAATATGTTGTTGCCATAAATCAGTGAATGGCTATATTGAAATAATTTTACAATAGATATATTTAGATAGCTATCTAATATAGAACAGCCAAAGTAAAATATTATATTATCTTAGAGAATAATTTTAAGCTATTTTAAATTGAAATATAAAACAGTGTAGTGGCAGACACTGGAGCCTGGATGCCTAGGTTCCAAATTCAGTTTTGCCATGCACTAGCTATATGACCTTGGACAAGTTCTTTCATCTCTCATTGCCTCAGTTCCCTCATTTTAAGTTAATAATATCTACCTCAGAGCATTTTTGTCTTTTAGTAAGCATTTCATGATTTTCATCTCATGTACAGTAAGCACAACAAAAATGTTGCATCTTATTTTTATTTATTATTATTATTATTTATTATTATTATACTTTAAGTTTTAGGGTACATGTGCACAACGTGCAGGTTTGTTACATATGTATACATGTGCCATGTTGGTGTGCTATCATGCTTTTTGTTTCACACTATGATCTTCAGCCATATTGAGAGGGTGGGATTTATAAAGATAATAATATGTAAGGGATTATTTCTAGTTCTTTTGTTGGCACTTTTCTGGCATGAGAATTTTTCCATAACGGTGGTCACTTTTGCTCCAAGGTTGTTACCCATAATAATTAAGCAGATTAAGATAATACATTTAGGGAAAAAAACAAACAGGAATTAATATATTTTAATGGAAATGTATAAATATTGCAGTCCAACAGAGCTACTTTCAAATTCCAGTTATGACGATGACTTTGAACGAGTAACATTCTGAATTTTTGTCTTCATTTATAAATTTTTGTCTTCATTTATAAAATGAGATTTGCTTGAACTGTTCTTCAAAACTATGACAGGCAGAATCTTAGCAAAATTTATACCAATAATTTTATGTATCTTCTTTGATTTTTAATACTCTCAACTCACCAACTATTTCCCTCCCAAACAGCCTGAACTTGCATCACCCTGTAGTTTAAAATTTGTCCTTTGTTCTCAGAGGAATCAGTGTTAAGCAGTAGTGTATTTGTCCATTCTTGCATTGCTATAAAGAACTACCTGAGACTGGGTAATTTATAAAGAAAAGAAAATTAATTGGCTCACAGTTCTGCAGGCCATACAGGAAGCATGGCTGGGAGGCCTCAGGAAATGTTCAATCATGGCAGAAGGCAAGGAGGAAGGAGGCAAGTCTTACATGGCTGGAGCAGGAGAAAGAGAGTGAAGGGGGAGGTGCTCTTAAACAACCAGATCTCATGAAAACTCACTCGTTATTATGAAAAGATCAAGGGGGAAATCTACCTGCATGATCCAATCACCTCCCACTAGGCCTCCTCCAACACTGGGGGTTACAATTTTACATGAGATTTGGACAGGGACACAAATCCAAACCATATCAAGCAGTAACTTGCAGTATAGTCCAGCAGCCATAGCACTGAAAGAAACATACAGATCTTGAGTTGAAATCCTAGCTCCTAAAGGAAACAATCAACAAAGTGAGAAGACAATCCACAGAAAGGGAGATAATACTTGCAAACTATCCATATGACAGAGATTAATAACCAGATTATACAAGGAACTTAAACAACTTTATAGGAAAAAATTTAATAATCTAATTTAAAAATGAGCAAAAGATCTGAATAGACATTTCTCAGAAGAAGATATACAAATGGCAAATAGGCATATGGAAAGGCACTCAACATAACTGATCATCAGAGAAATACAAATCAAAACTACAATTAGATATTATCTCACCCCAGTAAAAATGGCTTTTATGCAAAAGACAGGCAATAACAAATGCTGGCAAGGGTGTGGAGAAAGGGGAAGCCTTGTACACTGTTAGTACAGCTGCTATGGAGAACAGCATGGAGCTTCCTTAAAAAACTAAAAATAGAACAACCATATGATCCAGTAATCAAACTGCTAGGAATATATCCAAAAGAAAAGAAATCAGTATGTCGAAGAGATATCTGCACCCCCATGTTTCTTGAAGCACTATTCACAAGAGCCAAGATTTGAACACAACCTAGGTGGCCATCAACAGAAGAATGGATAAAGAAAATGTGGTACATATACACAATGGAGTACTATTCAGCCAAAAAAAAGGATGAGATATTGTTATGTTTAATAACATGAATACCACTGGAGGACATTATGTTAAGTAAAATAAGCAAGGCACAGAAAAACTAATTTTGCATGTTATCACTCATTTGTGGGAGCTAAAAATTAAAACAATTGAACTCATGCAGACAGAGAGTAGAAGGCTTGTTACCAGAGGCTGGGAAGGTTAGGAAGTGGGAGGTGGGAAATGAGGATGGTTAATGGGTATAAAAATATGGTTAGATAGAATAAATAAGCTCTAGTATTTGATAGCACAATAGGATGGCTACAGACAGCAATAATTTGTTGAACATTTTAGAGTAACTGAGGGTGTACAATTGGAATGTTCATAACACAAAGAAAAGATGAATGCTTGAGGTGATGGAAACCCTATTTACCCTCATATGATTATTACACATCGTACACCTGTATCAAAATATCTCATATACCCCATAATTATATACACCTAATATGTACTCATAAAATTTTTTTAAATAAAGTTTTTAAAAAAGGGACAGGGAGTGCAATGTGTGGGACTGATAAATAAAGGCAAATAGTATTTAGGTATTGTAGAATTTCAAATTTCTTTAAGTTTAGAATTTTCAAAATAAAAAGTTGGATATGAAACAATAAAAAATTGTATAATGACTAGTTAATTTTTAAAAATCTAGTTCCTTTATACTTTCCATCATTTGGGACTTGAGAAAAAGACTATATTTTTATGCTTTTGGGTAACCACCCTGGGTTTATAATTATGATGATAATTAATAATATAAAGAACAAATAAGAAAATGCAATGAAATACTTTCATATCTGTAATGTGCTATACAAATGCAATAGATTGGGTTATATTTGCTCTGGGACCCAGTGAAGCAAGTTCCATTGAAGTGGAATCCACCAAGCACCACTGGGAAATGTGACTGACCACTGTGCACCCTTAAATTGAAACCATAATTATTCTGTCTCCAAATACTGTGCAGTTTATTCATGATTCACTCTCCTCAAGTACCCCTGCTAACAAATCCACTGCAATACAGCCCAATCCACTTAATGCAGTTTCTTTACCAAACTCATTGCCTATCCTCTGCATGAGATAGAGTTGCCATTTGGGACACAGGCTGCCTTTCAGACTCCAATTTCTTTATCAAGAAAAATTTTGTTGCCATCCTGCTTCCCGGTGAAAGTTATAATTTTGTAATGATATCTGATGTTTTTCCCAACAAATGAACACAGACACCCTAAGCACAAACAAATTAGTCTATATTTCAAGTGTACCGATTTTATCCATTACGTAAAGGATTGGTATATTTTTTGCTAGCGATGCCATAACAAAGTGCCACAGACTCAGTGACTTAAACAACAGAAATTTATTTTTTCATATTCCTGGAGGCTAGAAATATGAGCTCAAAGTGTCAGAAGGGTTGGTTTCTTCCAAGGCTTCTCTTCTCACTTTGTAAATTGTTAAATTCTCCTGGTTTTTCACACAGTCTCTCCTTTATATGTCTGTGTCTTCAACTCTTCTAATAAAGATACCGTAAGGTTGGATTCAGTCCCATTCTCATTTGAACTTAATCACCTCTTTAAACACCCGATCTCCAAATATAGTCACATTCTGAGGTACTGGGGATTATTACATTCACATATGAATTTTCTGGGAATAAAACTTAGACCAAAACAGATGATAATGTAACAATAAAGTAGATGATTCTAAGGGAATTTTATTTGGCATTTTAAAAATTGTATCTATTTATTCAAATAAGTTTAACAAGCATTCACTAAATATCATCTCAGAGCAGGGAATTACATTATCCTGTGAGAAATTGTAATGCAGAGACACATTTCAAAGAAAAATCAGAATTCTGTAATTTTTTATTAATATGCATAACCACCCTGAGATATTATGCCCATTAATAAAAAAGTAAACTGAAGTAAAAAAGTTAAGCTATAGCTGTTAGATGGCAGTCCTGTTCATCAAGGCCAGAACTATTGAACTCCAAAGCCCATAATTTTTTTCTTTTATATTGTCCTTTTGCTGTATTATGCTGGGTCTACAGGCATGTATGAAGAGGCTGGAATAATCATCGATTATTGTTGAGTTTAAGGAATAAAATATTTATAAATACATTGGTTCAGGATAAGCCTTAGCATAAGACCTTAATACACATACTCATTAAACACTGTGTCTGTACCCAAGCAACCCTAAACAGTGCAGCCTAGTGGCTCAAAATCTTCTCTCTCTGGTTCCAGAGTGATAGATGCTTAGGTAGTAGAAATGTCTGATGTGGTCTAGTAGACAGCATTAAAGGATGAATCCAACGTTTTTCAACAGTAGCAAGAAACTGAACAATACAGGCCGAGAAGTCAGTACAATGAGAAACTTAAGACTGGAAGGCTGTGGTGAGATCATGAAGCAGGAGAGAATCTGGCTCATTTATACAAATGGAGAGAAATACTTGGAAATGACCAAAAACCAAATCAGAGACAGATTTCAGAGGACACAAAATGCCACATAAAAAGATTTATATAGTAGTTTTGAGGTCAGTGGTTCTAAAAAGTTATTGTGCAAATAAAACATCAGGATTGCTGTGATTAACCCCAGAGTTATTTACTTTGCACCCCAGAAAATTCTGAGCCTGGGCTTCTAGATATCACACATGGAGGCCCATGTCTATAAGTAGCGGGTAACTAGAAGAGGAGGTGAGCAGTAGACAGTGGCCAAGTGAAAGACGAAATAGAGCAATGAGGCCTAGGAGATGATTTCAGTGGATGCAAAGATAGTTACAAATCCCAGATATTTTGCATTTTAATACACAGATAGCATTCTTTTATTGAACTTAATGGAAGGAAAGTTACTTGTTATTTTAAGTTAAGATGGAAATTGTGTTCAGTCACAAATAATCTCAGAAAGCATTTTAATTCTCTGTAAGCATCTTGGCTGCTTATTGGATTGTTTTGTTTTTCCTTTAGCTTAAACCTAATGAGATAAGAAAGCCACTAAGAAAGGATTAGTGATCCCTGACCTGTTCCTCTAAGATGCTTTTACCACTAGTATTATGAATCAACTGAGCTGACTTAAGTAAAATAAACGACATCCTTTACTTTGTTTAATCTGGCAGTCAGAGACACTGAGGTCTTTTTTAATGTTCCTGCCAAAGGTTCCATTGAGTTCATCGCAAATCCTTTCTCCTCTGGAAGGGGGTCATGGCCTCCTTTTCTAGTTGTCTGCCTGTTACCAAGAGCAATTCCGGGAGAAAGTGAGGAGACTGACTCAAGAGGCCATATATAAAATTACCCACAAGTACAGTAGAGCCTCAGTTAATCAGAATGTTGTTACAACAGAGGCTTCCAAGGTAAAAGATTTTCTTGTTAACAAAAGATTAATTCTATATGTTTTTGGTTCAACCTTTGTTTAAAATCATGAGGCAAAGATAATTTCCATTCATGTCTACAACTGTCCTTTGAGAAGCAGCATCTACAGTTTCACCCAGAGTGGATACTCAAAGCAAAATAGAACAAGACAGTAAGCCATTATTGAACCAGACTTCTCTCTTCACATATTCAATCTAGTGAATAACCTTTAATTTTACAGTAGAAAGAGAAATTCTAGTCTCTCTCCTCTCTATATCTTCACAAGTAACTTCTGCTAAATATTTTTGTGACTAGAGAAATAATACATCTTTATTATTGAACAGTTAAAAAATAAAGCAAAATTAAGAAATTTAAAATACCCGTATTCTCACTAGAAAAGATAAATATTTTAAACTAAATACCTTATTTTACTTTAGTAAAATACTTAAAGTAAAATACTTTAAGGTATTTAGTTTTTTTAAGGCATTCATTTGCTGCTTTTTTGTGCATATATATATGCACAAAAAATATGTTTGTGTGTGTGCATATATACATATATATATCTTTAGGGCCATGTATTTAAGCAGAATACATATATGCATAAATCTGAGTACAAACAGCCAAATCTATATGCATACATATATAGTTTATGGCCTAAAGCTTATGTCCATATACAACTTTTGCTTAGGACTGCAAGTTTTAGCCAGCAGGCTTTTACATGGATTACTGATTAGAAATAGCTCACCAACAACCTTTTATCAAACAACGTTTCATTAAACATAATTTATCCATTCACTCATTTACTTCTTTATTCAACAGTGATTGACTCACTGCTCTGTCTAAAACTCTGTGGTCAGCATCATTGGAAATATACATATGCAAAGTGCACACTTCCAAATGCCAAACAGTTTATGAAGCAGTTCCTAGGCTTACGAAAGAGCCAGTTCTGTCTTTTGCACACCGTCTTCAAGCAGTGTCTGTTCAGTCTACTTAACTCCCTTGCTGACAAGCCTTATGACCCTTCAGAATAGGATAAAAATTCTCATGTACCGAGAAAAGATAATAAAAAATCTTCAACCTCCACTCTGCGGCCCAAATGCTTCTGGTGCTCTTTAAAGAATGTTTTGCAACCATGCAAATAAGGAATGTCTCTAGAGCAAGCTTTTCCCTTAACATGCCTTTTTTTTAGGACTCCAGTTGCAAGATGGCTGTATATGTAAGAAAAGAATTCAGTAGCTGGATAAGCTCTTGGGCCACCCAGCATCTCATACCCTTTGGGAGAAGAGAAAAGTGTTCATTCTTTAGTTGATATTCACATGGCCTGTGGAGCCTTGGGTTCAATGAAATTACTAGTCATTCTATTTTTATTTTTAATGCCAGAGACAGAATCAAACATAACACTGACTTTTGTACAGTACTGTCATGATTAATTTACTAGTGTTCTAATTGACATAAACTATTTTTTAAGGCTATTAGGTTGTGCTGTATCTGTTCAGTAAAATCTTTTTTGAAATGAAAATACCAGATTTCAATTTGAACCATTTTTTTTAAAAATTTTTATTTGTTTAGGTTTAGAAATTTGGTTCAATTTGGTTAATTTAGATTATTTGGGGGCTTATAAATTGTGTTGTTTCAATCTGATTTCTGGTTTATTTCTTAAATAGATATAACCTGATGATCACTTTAACCTGATTTGTCTTTAGAAACAATGTCATACTAAAGACAGAATTTGTCTAGTGAATTCTATAGTAAGAGTGGTAAGACTTACCATTCATTCATTTATTAATTCATTTATTCAATGACTACTTCATGTGTGTTTATAAGGCACCAGGTTCTGTGTTGGATGCTGGATGTTAGACTAATTGAATAAGATTCAAAGATTATATAGGACAAAATATTTTTAATGTGTTATGCCTGTGATGCCAAGAGAGTATAAAATGTAGGTATGTTATAAAGTCTATGGTTTCTGGGACTATTTTTTGAAGAGAATAGGATATATAAAGTATTGAGAATGAACTAAAATGCCATATTTGGGAGACATGGAGTAATATACTATAGTCGATGTTAATAGTGGGCAGGTTGAAGTCATGAAAGAGTGTTAGGAAGGGACCAGATCATTAAGGGTCTTATTTGTAAGTCACCATATAAAAGTTCTATAGCAACTATGAAGAACTTCTTTCAAACATTTTCATATTCAGAATTTTGGTTGTCCTAAGAACTTTTATAAACAAATATGATAGGGTAGTAATAATTAACAACAATATGCTTCAAATTATGTTTTCCCTATATTTTTTCTCATGCTATGCACTCATCCTGGAATGACTTGGTCTTTGATTTCTATGTGAAAAGTTTTTGCTTATAAAAAAATTATTAATTTGAAGGTCATTGTTTTAAGAAACCTGTTTTTTTTTTTTTTAAAGAAAAAAACCTCCTTGATATGGTTTGACTGTGTTTCCACCTAAATCTCATCTTGAATTGTAGTTCCTATAATCCCCATGTGTCATGGGAGGGACCCAGTGGGAGGTAATTGAATCACGGGGGCGGTTACCTCCATGCTGTTCCTGTGATAGTGAGTGAGTTCTCAAAAGATCTGATGGTTTTATAAAGGTCAGTACCCTTGTACATGCTCTCTTGCCTGCCACCATGTAAGACGTGTCTGTGCTCCTCTTTTGCCTTCCGCCGTGATCTGAGGCCTCCCCAGCCATGTGGAACTGTGAGCCCATTAAACCTCTTTTTCTTTATAAATTATTCAGTCCTAGGTATTTCTTAATAGCAATATAAAAATGGTGTAATACACTCCTATTCCCTCAGGCAGCCTCACTCCTTCTTTAGGTCCTTTAATACCACATTAAAACCCAATTCGTTGCAATTATACTGACATTGCATCTGTCACACTTCTTCATTTGTCTATGAGATTTATGTGAAAGTGATTGTGACTAACTCATCTTTAAATGCCTTGTGTCTAGCTTATGGGGAAAAAAAATGACACAGAGAGTCAATCTGTGCTTACTGAAAGAATGAATATGCCATAAGCCTTTCTAAAGAAATATTAGGTCCCTAATCAATACTGTTTCACCTCCTTTCTCGTTTGGCATCAAAAACAACTTCAATTGGATGATTTTAAAATAAATCATATGTCTTGTTTTCATACAGTTATTAAATAACACGTGTATTTTGTCAAAAGTTTTAAAAACTCTAAAGAGCAAAGAAAAGTGAAAACATACTAGGGTCTTACCACCTAGAGATAACCAATGGTAATATTTCAGAATATCTGCTTACAAGTTTTTCAACTGCTAGTATAAAAAGATAGGTTTTTAAAATTTATTTTGTACTGTACACATTGTTTTGAAATCAGTTTAATTAAACTCAGTATATCATGAAAATGTCCAGTTTATTAAAATTTTCTCTTGTTTAATTTTTAAATGACTGATATTCCATCATCTTGGTTTGTCATAATGTATTAGTTATTTTCCTTTTTAAAATATCTATATTTTCTTTTGTCTTTAAAGAGATTTGCTTTGTTGTAATAAATAATGTGAAGAAGATTCTTATGTCTATATCTTTGATTGCACCTATAACTAATTTTTTAAATGAGAGTTATGTAGAAATGAAATTAATAGGTAAAAGGAATGCAAGAGTTGAAGCCTTTCATATGCTTTCAAATTGACAACTGGAAATGTTAAATAACTTTTACTGCCATCAACAATGTCTGACAACATGAATTACCTTAAACTGCTGTATATTATTACCAGTCTATAAAACTGTCAATATCAGTAGTGAAATATGGCATATAATTTCTAAATTTGCATTTGTCTAATGATAGAGAAGTTTAGTAATTGTCATATTATTAAACAATTATTCATTTTCTAATTTATGTATTATTATAACTTTGTAATTTGATTTGGCTCTGTGTTCCCATCCAAATCTCACCTTGAATTGTAATAATCCCCAGGTGTCAAAGGTGGGGCCAGGTGGAGAAAACTGAATCATGGGGGTGATTTCCCCCATGCTGTTCTATTGATAGTGAGTGAAATCTCATGGTTTTATAAGGGGCTTCTCACTGTGCTCCACTGTCATTCTCTCTTCTGTCCCTCTGTGAAGAGGTGCCTTCCATCATGATTGTAAGTTTCCTGAGGCCTCCCCAGCCATGTGGAACTCAGTCAGTTAAACCTCTTTTCTCTATAAATTACCCTGTCTCAGGTATTTCTTCATAGCCGCATCAGAATGGGCTAATATATTGTGTAATTAATTTGCAAATTTGCAAATATTTTCTATCAAATATTTATTTGCCGTAATTTCTATTTCTTAAGAAGCTTGTAATATATTGCAAGCATATTCCTCTACTTACATTCTAATTTTGAGGTATTGACTACAAGTCACAAAACAGTCAAATACTAGTAATGACAATGAGTATCCTTTTATCCTTGAGTATGACAATAATATGAGTATCTTTATAGCATGACATAATTACCTTAGTTTTCAAGATTTTAAATTGATTATCTTCTTTTGAATGAGGAAATATATTTTTTTCTTATTTTACTAAATTTTATATTATTGAGGAATGGATGATATGCTTCATCAAATATTTTATGCATTCAACTAGATGTATTTTTTTTTCTTGTAACTGAAGTCATGAATTACAGGGATTAATTCCTTAAAATTGAGCACTTTGTACATCAGGATAATTTTCTACATTTTTATTGTTTTCTTATTATTTCAAGGAAGTGAAGGACTCAATTAACTTGTATTTGTATTTAAAATAATAAATGAGTTTGCTCACTAGTTTTCTTTTATTAAGATTACTTTGTCATGTTTTGACTTCAGGGCTGATTGAATAGTTTGTATGGTTTTAACTAAGTTAGTAATTCATAGGTTAGTTAAAAGTATTCCTTTTTAGAAATAGAACCATCAGCTATAGTTACTACCATCTTATTTCAAGGCACTATCACATTTGCCTGTATGATTTCAGTAGTCTCCCTACCAGTGTCCTTGCATTCACTCTGGTGAGCCCACATTCTCTTTTCCACACAGCGGCCAGTGACCCTTTCAAAACAGAAATCGAATCATGTCAGTCTTTTGTTTAAAATCCTCCAAAGGCATGTCATCTCACTCAGAGTAAAAGCCAAAACATTTTTATCATGAATTCATACTCTACAACTTGTACTGTATGGAAAAGTACTGGTCACTAATCAATTTACTGAATACACAAATAAAGTAGGAATGCAACATGATTAGGAGGGTGTATATACCGCTTCTCACAGTATTACCCTTTGTTCTCCAAATCCAGATAGCACTTACTCGCTCCCTCTAGATTCTCAGTATTTCTATTCAGAGTCATCTGAATGTTACAGGAATGGGGATGGTGATGTCATTGTAGGAAATGTAATAGGGCTTGGTATATAATAAAATGGAACATCAGAATAATAAAATATTATGAATAGACACATATTTTATGCATATCTGTATGTATTTATGTGTGTATATATATGATTTTATGTGCATATAAGTTTTTTTAAACCTACATAAATCATAAAATATGAAGTATGGGTATTTATTCTGCAGTAATATAAACTTGAAAATATTTTGCTTGATAAAAACTCAACCCAAATGATGTCATGCTCGAAATTCCATAGAATGTCTTACTTCCATTATATTTGTTTCTCTCTCCAGCTGCATTATTTTTATGTAGTGATTCCTCTATAATTATTCTCTTCATATGACTGTAAATCTCACCCATGTCAAATACAACTTAGACTTTAAAAATATTTTGCTTTCTGATTATATTTGGAAAAACATAAGATATTAAAGTGTTGTTTCAGGTATCTCTTCATTTCTTTATGCCTAAAGAGAATGTTAAAATGTACTCAGCAATTCTTATTAAAATTGTTTCCCTCAGATTATAAAATGAAAGATTGAAACCATAGACGTTTAAAAAATGCTTGTTTTCTTGGCAGGTTTTAAATAGTAAGTTGCCTGAACACTATAATATTCAAAATCTTTGCTTTTGTCTTGGAAGTTGCCTTAGAGAAAATGTTTAATTTTGAATTTTCATTTATATTTTTAATATTGCTTGGTAACACTACAAAATAAGGTCTCCCAAATCTGTTCCACTACAAATTATACACAGTACATAGATTTATAGACCTGGTAAAAAAATTGTAAAATGTTTATTGCATGAACAATTTAGGGGAATATAGATAATATATTTGGGTAATTTAGTTCCTAAACTCCGTAAGAGTGAAGCAAAAATAGGCTCTTTTTAAGCACATTTTCAAGACAGTAGCATCCAAGTAAATGGCTTAAATACATGCCATGTCTAAATATGTTTTATTTCTATACTGAAAAAAATGACCAATTGTTTTTCTATTATTTTATTTATATTTATTTCCTTTTCTGAAAAATATATAGGAGAATTTAGAGGCAGTGGGATGTCTTCCTAATGGAATGGAAGGAAGAAGGAGAGGATGGCAGTGAGGAAGAAACAAACTATTTCTCAAAGAATTAGGTCCTTAGTTTTTAATAAACATTTTTCAAGGATATATTATGGTCAAAGCGAGTTACAATTTACTAAGGAAAATATACAGATAAACAACAACAGACTAATAAATTGCCTTAATGGATCTAGAGATAAGTGCAGGAACAAAAACAAAAAGAGCACTGACATCTTTTTTTTAAGTTTTAAATTATGTTTTAAAATTTTTGTTGGTACATAGTAGGTGTATATATTTACCGAGCACATGAGATGTTTTGATACAGGCATGCAATGTAAAATAAGCACATCAAAGAGAATGAGGTATCCATCCTCTCAAGCATTGATGGAGGGAATGGATACCCCATTCTCCATGACTGAGTTGCAAACAATCCAATCACACTCTTTTAAGTTATTTTAAAATACACAATTAAGTTCTCATTGACTATAGTCACCCTACTGCCTTGTCACACATACGCTGCTTTAACATCCGGTGCGTTTAGCTACAGAAAGTAGAAGAGGAGGCTGCTGTTTAGATTTTAGCCTATTTGTGTAAGATCGTGAGGTCTTACTCAATACATGTTGAATAAATAATCCCAAGAATGATCATTAAATAAGTTATGGCTACTTAACTGTGTTGCATTATGATGGTAGAGTCTATGAACTTTAAATCCATCACTCCTGTCCCTTCAATATTTGTTTTTAGCAATAATTTATTCTGAGTATAGTTTAGAAAGGATACTACTTTTCCATGTAGCAAAAAGTTCATTGTATTGAGAAGGATTTTCTAGGTTCTTGTCTTGGATTTATAAATAGCACTTGGACTTCAACAAATCTCCTAATATTTTACAGCTATCATTTTCTTATTTGACAAATAAAGGTTTGCATGGCTTTTTTTAGGACACTGTAGCATTCGGTATTTCTCTGAGTTAAACACAAAATAATGCAACATTATTCTTAGAATGCTTTCAAATACTCCTAATTATTAATATAATTTTCAGCCCTGGTATTTAAACTCATTTTTATTATAACTCTCATAAGCATGTTCACAAATAAATATTAAAGGAAAATGTTTCCCTTTTTTAAAAAAATATAGACCTAACCCTAATCTATCATGAATCAGGGCAGTTACTTAAATTTATGTCAGGTAATGATATTGTAGATACTCCTGATTCTGTAGGAAATTGTATACCCTGTTTACAATGTCCTGGTGAGAAGGGATTGGTATCATTGCACCATTCTCTGTGGCTTCTCCTGTTTTGGAAATGAGTTTGGTAACCTAACAATGCATATTTCCTTGATTTCCAGGACAAAATATGTACAATTTTCCCTCTGTCATTAGAGTAGGTGTTCATGGTATGAAACTGATGAATGTGTGGCCTATCAATGAACCTCATGAAAGGTTTCCAACTTGAAATAATTTCCTAAGCTTAGAAGGCAGTTTGGCCGGGCGCGGTGGCTCACACCTGTAATCCCACCACTTTGGGAGGCCGAGACGGGCAGATTACCTGTGGTCCGGAGTTCAAGAACAGCCTCAACCACATGGAGAAACAGCATCTCTACTAAAAATACAAAATTAGCCGGGCGTGGTGGCACCTGCCTGTAATCCCAGCTACGCAGGAGGCTGAGGCAGGAGAATCACTTGAACCCGGTAGGCGGAGGTTGCAGTGAGCCAAGATTGCGCCCCATTGCACTCCAGCCTGGTCAACAAGAGTGAAAGTCCATCTCAAAAAAAACCCAAAAAAACAAACACACACACACACACACACAAACCTACAACAGGCAGTTTAAGTAAAAAGGAAAAAGATACATATATATAATATTATATATAAATATATATTTACAACACACCATAAGAATGTAATAGAACAAATGCATAGTGTAATTAAAATCACACCACTGAATCACCAATTTAAATAAAGCATCTCTGCAGTTAAATTGTCATATTTTTGCATTCAGTTTTTGTTGGAGAGACAATAATTCATTTTAAAAAGGCTAAATTGAACAGCTAATTTATTAATGAGCATTAATTTTTTGGAGACAGAGCAATATATTGTATGTTTTTTATTTTGCAGATCAGTAATGAAATGTTTCAATTACCTTCAGTTCAGTATCATAACATGTTTTAAATTCTTTAGAAATGACTCTGTCTTCTAAAGAGGAAAAATGATTCCAAACATGTTTACTTCTCAATTCTCATTTTTTCAGTCAATGTGTGCAGAGTTGTAGGTACTCTGGGATCCAAAGGTTTTTTTGCGAATTTGATGCTTTACTTTTGAAATTTTGATAACTGTCAGCACCGGTAATGGTTGACAGTGAGAACTCTTGAGTCAGACCACTGACTCCAAATCTTGACCTGACCATTTAACAAGTGTATATTCATGAGAAGCTTATTAAATTTTCCTAGAGTGCAGTTTTCTTATCTGTAAGGAAACAGTCATAGAACGTTCCTTGGAGTTTTCAGCAATTAAACTTATAGCAGTGAGATAACATATAAGAATTGCTTAGGCCGGGCGTGGTGGCTCACGCCTGTAATCCCAGCACTTTGGGAGGCAGAGGCAGGCGGATCACGAGGTCAGGAGTTCGAGACCAGCCTGACCAACATGGTGAAACCCTGTCTCTACTAAAAATACAAAAATTAGCCAGGCGTGGTGATGCGCCTGTAATTCCAGCCACTCAGGAGACTGAGGCAGGAGAATCACTTGAACCAGGGAGGCGGAGGTTGCAGTGAGCCGTGATTGCGCCATTGCACTCCAGCCTGGTCGACAGAGCAAGACTCCGTCTCAAAAAGACAAAAAAAAAGAAAGAAAGAATTTCTTAGAACACACTGGCATATAAACATTAGGTATTTTATTAAGCACTATGCTAGAAGCCCGGGATACAATGGAGAGCAAAATAGTTATTTTTCTCTTTTTTCACTTGGATAACTTTATTTATTAGTGTAATTCTCAATCCGTAAAGTTCACCATTTGAAATTGTAAAATTAAATGAGTTTTGCACAATTCAGAGTTGTCCAACCATAACTGATAACTTTCTTCCCTCCCAGCTTTACCGGAATAGAATTGGTATGCCAAAACTGCATATAATTAATATATAATTAGCATACCATTTGGTAAGCTTGGACATATGTTTATATTCCTGTTACCTTCACCACAATCAAGGTGACAAACGTACCCATCACCTCTAAAAGTTTTCTTGTGTTGCTTTGCTTTTCATTGGTTTGTTTGTATTGAACACTTAACTTGAGATTTACCCTCTTAACCATTTTTAAGTGAGTGATACTTTATTGTTTACTATAGGAACTATGTTGTTCAGCAGATCTCTAGAACTTACATAACTTTAACTTTATACCCATTGAATAACAGCTCCTCATATTCCCCTCCGTTCACTCCCTGGTAGCCATCATTCTATTGTCTACCTCTGTAAGTGTGACTATTTCATTATTATTATTACTCTTATTATTAATTATTATTATTATTATTTGGAGACAGAGTCATGCTCTGTTGCCCAGGTTGGAGTGCAGTGGCTTAATCTCAGCTCACTGCAACCTCCGCCTCCCGGATTCAAGCGATTCTCCTGCCTCAGCCTCCCAAGTAGCTGGGATTATGGGTATCCACCACCACGTCTGGCTAATTGTTTTGTATTTTTAGTAGAGACAGGGTTTCGCCATGTTGGCTAGGCTGGTTTCGAACTCCTGACATCAAATGATCCACCTGCCTCAGCCTCCCAAACTGCTAGGATTACAGGCGTGAGCCACCGTGCCTGGCCAGTGTGACTATTTTAGATACAGTATTTGTCCTTCTGAGACTAACTTATTTCACTTAGCAGAATGTCTTTCAGGTCTGTCCATTTTGTTGCGAATGGTAGGATTTCTGTCTTTTTTAAGGCTGAATAATATTTTATTATGTGTTTATACCATAGTTTCTTTACTCAATTGTCAGTGAACATTTCAGTTCCTTTATCTTGGCTATTTTCTTCAGTGCTACAATGGACATGGAAGTGCAGATATTTCTTTGAGATCCTAATTTCGGTTCTTTTAAACATATATCCAGAAGTGGGATTGGGATTCCTGGGTCATATGGTAGTTCTATTTTTAATTTTCTGAGGAACCTTCATACTGCTTTCCATAGAGACTGCACTGTTTTACATTCCCAACACAGTGTACAAAGTTTCCTTTTTATCCACACAGCCACCAACAACTATTATCTTTTTTGTTTGTTTTTATAATAGCCATCTTAAGAGTTTGGTGATATTTTATTGTTGTTTTTATTTGCATTCCTTGATGATTAGCGATATTGCACAACTTTTGATATACCTGTTTGCTGTTTTTATGTCTTTTTGGAGAAATGCTTATCCAAGTCCTTTGCCCATTTATAACTGTTTTTTTTTTTTTTTTGCCATTGAGTTTATAAGAGAAGCACTTCTAAAGAATTCTTGCAGAAGGAGATAGGGAGGAGAGAGAGAGAGAGGGGAGAGCTAGAACTATAATGAAATACAGTATGTCTGTATTTCACAAGGTAAAACATGTTTATAGTCCTACAGCTTACTACTGTGATTGTTCTTATTTCAACATTATTGTGCTATTTCAGATATAGCAAGTCTTTTTAGAATGACTTAGAAACTTGAAACAAATTGACTTGATGCTATTTGCCTCTGGGAAAGTGGGGAACATTACTTCCACATTAACAATATCTTTTTAAGGTAAGTAATAAAAGTTAAATTAGTGAACACTAGATGGCGGCATTTAAGAAAAATTAAATCAGAGTAAGTTACTGCGCCACATTAAAAAAAAAATCAGATGTCTCTCACAACAATGACTTGTTTTTCTCATTTATTTGTTTGTTTTGTTCACTATTTGAAATAAGATTTTAGAAGTCTGGAGAAAATATTAAATAGGTGGGAAGGTACTAAAATGTATTTTTCTTGTTTTACAGGTAGAACTCATTGAACACTTGACTCCTGAATGTTCAGATCTATGTTTGAGTTGTTCCGCTAATCCTAGGAGAGTGATTAAAGGTCCACATGTAGTATAAAAGGACCAATGTTTAGGTAGGTGTTTGCTAAGAGGAAACATTTTTGAAAGAAACTTGTTCTGAGTGTAATGCCAGGCATTTAGGCACCAATGATTCCAGAATTTTTTGTTTTTTAAACATACAATAATGGGTAGAATTAATTGAGTGCTTAGGAAAGTCCCAAGTACAGGGATACAAACTTTACATATATCACCTCACTATATCTTTCTACAGTCTAATAAGGTAGGTATATTTTTGGTCCTGTTTTGTAGATGAGGATTTGGAATTTTAGGTTTACGAACTTGTGAAAGCTTATACCATTTTAAATGAGAGTTGAGTTTCAAATATGAAGTCCACATTATTTTGAGTCTAGACTGAGATTTTAACCATTCCACAGATTTTCACAGACCTCAGATTTACAGATTCCTGTAAAATGCACAATTTTGAAACATAGGTATAGCATCAAGCTAAAGTTAAATGTGACTTTGAAATGGGTTGAACTGCAGAGAGGTACCAAATTCCTTACAAACAAACAAACAAACAAAAAAGTAAACTTTTGGACTCATGATCCACAGAAAATATTTGACTCTTTTGATTTTGTTATATCAGAAAATTCAATTAAAATTAATTTTATTTGTAGTTATCTTAATTGCTGTTTTGGATAAACTCAGATATTCATGTAAATTAATCTCTAAAATATTACAGAAAAAAATTATATATTTTGTCCTTAAAAGTAAACAATTGATGAGATTCAAATAAAAGGAAATAATCAAATTACTCTTTTTAATATAGATACAAGTCACACGGCGTAGACGTTTGTTACGTTAAATTACAATATCAATCTGTTGGACCACTTAAAAATATATAATGTCTATAATATAGACATTATATATAATGTATATAGTATGTATTATATATAATGTATATAGTATGTATTATATATAGTATATATTATATATAATGTATATAATATATTATATATAATGTATATAATATATTATATATAATGTATATAATATATTATATATAACGTATATTATATATTATATATAATGTATATTATATATAAAATATTATATTTATATATAATATATACATTATATATAAAATATTATATTTATATATAATATATACATTATATATAATATATAATGTATACACATTATATATAATGTATAATGTATACATTATATATTATATATAATGTATATTGTATACATTACATATATGTAATATATATAATATATATTATATATAATATATATTACATATATGTAATATATATAATATATTATATATATTATATATATTATATATATATTATATATTATATATATATTATATATATTATATATATATTATATATATTATATATTACATATATATATAATTTATATATATATTATATATTACATATATGTAATATATATATATTTTTTGAGATGAAGTCTCGCTCTGTCGCCCAGGCTGGAGTGCAGTGGTGCGATCTCCGCTCACCGCACGCTCCACTTCCCGGGTTCATGCCATTCTCCTGTCTCAACCTCCCCAGTAGCTGGGACTACAGGTGCCCGCCACCATGCCCAGCTAATTTTTTGTATTTATAGTAGAGACAGGGTTTCATCGTGTTAGCCAGGATGGTCTCGATCTCCTGACCTCATGATCCACCTGCCTCGGCCTCCCCAAAAAATTTATTTTATCATAAGTTGATGTAGACAATGTGAAGAATATGGAAGACAAAAATGTTATTAAAATACACGTACTATTACCACCCCATAAATAAGCTTTGTTCATATGTGGTATATTCTTTTTTAGTGTTTTCTTGATGTGTTAACTGTGAATGTAGAAAACACAGATGCACAGCTCCATAAACACAAACACACACACATCAGATGCACACCCATATGTCTGAACATTGGAATAACTTGGAATATAAAACTTTAGGTACTGTTATCTTTTTTTAATTTAACATTATTTTATATGCATGTCCCTTGGCCTGTAAATACTCTTTGAAAAACTACATAATGTGACATTGTATTCATTTAACAAAATGTATTTAAACTTTCCCATATGGGTGTACACTCAAGTTATTTTCTGTTATTCATTGTAATAAATAATTGAAGTGAACAAATGTATATATAATTTTCAACTGTTTTTACTATTTCTTATTATTTCTTTCAGACTGTTTCTTAGAGCTGAAAATTCTGGATTGAAGAGTACAAACATTTTAAAATTCTTATATACATGCCAAATAGATTTTCAGAAAATATGTACCTATTCTTATTTACACCGATATCTTATTAAACTGCTTGTCATTCTCAGCAAATTTTAGCATTTTTATTTTTAAAATCTTAATTAATTGGTGTATAAAAATAGTATCCCATTATTGTTTTAATCCCCACTTTGTTGATTACTAGTAAGCTTAAACAATTGTTTATGCCTGTATTTTTTATTTGTATTTCTTTTGTGCATTGGCTGTTCATGTTCCTTTTAGGCAATTTTATTGAAATGAACATAAAAGCAGCATCAAAACAACGTGGTTGCCATATAACTACCAACCAGTTTGAAGCCAGCTTAACTCTTTTTGTTAGGAATATGAATAATGTACAAAGAATTCCGCAAAAGAAAAATGAAAAAAAAAGTACCTCGAGGGTAGAAAACTGATGCTAATCATAGCATTGTTTTTTCATGAAAATAAGGCATGCTTTGAAGTATTTTTGCTACTTCCCTTCTATTCCCTTGGTTAAATGTTGTTTTCATAATGTTTACACAGTTAACCTCGGTACTTTTAGTACTTATCTAGTCTTGATGCTTTCTCAAAAGCCCTCTCCTTATTTGATTCATGAACTTCGGCTTTCTTAAATTGATTTATATTTCTGTCAAAAATGATTTCATAGTTTAATGCACTGTCCAAAATCCATTTCTTATGGCATGCCTATTGCTTTAGAAAAGTTCATTTTATGTGCATATAATATATATTTCTGCAATCTTTGAGCAGTATTTTCCATTTCTGTAGCAGCAAGCTAGTGCTTTGAAAGATAATACTGTCCAGACGTGACCTAGTGGCAGACTTTTCTAGCTTTCCAATATTGGGTACTGTGCATTTATATATAAAAGAGAAGTGGGCACACTCATGTGGATACATGTTATAAAGCAAAAACAAAATTCTAAGCTCCCCAGCTTACTAAATGGACTTTTCTTCTCAGCCACGGGGACGTCGACGAAACCTGAATAAGTAGTACCGGCCGTAATGGGAAGAGGGGAATTAGACATGCCTCACTATACTCTCCTTTCTTTAGAATTCAGGCACAACTAACCAGGATTAATATTAAAACAGAGATCTTAATAAGAAAGAAATAATACAGGGTGGTCACAGGAGAATAGAATATTTCACGCAGCAGTTTCACATGACTAGCAAGAGGAAACGGTTGAAATAGCTGCATAAACTCGGGGCTGATAAGAGCCTGAAAAACCAGAATGTGGGTCAAGCTGGCCAAGACGGACTGGACGCAACATGGCACTGGATTTGACCTAGGTTTCACCCATGACTTCATCATATGCTCATTTACATACTAAATAATACGACCACCAGCTCCATGACTGTTCCTGGAATACCCATATTTGGTGTTAAAATGGGTGGCATCACAGTTCTGAGAAATCGTTACTTCTTTCTAGGAATACTTATGAATATCCCACCCCTTGGTTAAAGTAATTCATAAAGGTAGAGACCTCAAACTCCATTGCAAAACCCCCTTGAGTATATCTGCACTCTCCTTTCTTGAGTGCGTAGTTTTCTCTTTGCAATAAATCTTTGTACTTTAACTATTTTCCAACTCATCCTTGAATTCCTTCTTGCAACGGTGCCAAGAACCTGGACACCAGCTGGTATTGAGGTCCCATCAGTATTTAGGGACCTCTCCTAAAACATCAGTATCATCAATACTGGCAAAACAGACTCTGTAGCAATAAAATACCAAATTCCAACCTGACTCTAGTATAGCATCACATGACAGGTAGCAGGCCCTGGAAGAAATCAAAATATTCTACCACAAAATATATTTATTTGACATATTTTAAAATGGCCCTGCAAAGCTTTCTCTAGTGAGGGAAATTTACATTTTGTAGAGAATCATTTTCCCTTTCCAGGTCTTTTTTTTTTTTTTTTTTTTTTTTGAGACAGAGTTTCACTCTTGTCGCCCAGGCTGGAGTGCAATGGCGTAATCTTGGGCTCACTGCAACCTCCGCCTCCCAGGTTTAAGCGATTCTCCTGCCTCAGCCTCCCAAGTAACTGAGATTACAGGCATGCGCCACCATGCCCAGCGAATTTTTGTATTTTTTAGTAGAGACGGGCTTTCATCATGTTAATCGGGCTGGCCTCAAACTCTTGACCTCAGGTGATCCATGCGCCTCAGCCTCCCGAAGTGCTGGGATTACAGGCATGAGAGACCATGCCCAGCCTTCCAGATCTTTTTTGATTCTGAAAAGATTAGCTGAGAGTCTAGCACCTTTTAAAGGTGTGAATAGGAAACATTTGCCATCTATTGCTTCTAAGGGTGGGCACCTATGAAACTCCATCTACATAATAAGAACCTTGGTCTCCACCAACCCTTATCTCTTAACCCAGACACCTTTCTATTGATTTCTATCTTTAGATAATAACTTAACTCTTTCAAACAATTACCAACCAGAAAAAAAATCTTTGAATCCACCTGTGACTTTCAAGTGCCTTCTCTCCCTGCCACTACTTCAAGTTGTCCCACCTTTCCAGACAGAAACAATGTACAACTTACATGTATTAATTGATGTCTTTTATCTCCCTAAAACATATAAAGCCAGGCTGTAACCCAATCACCTAGAGCACATGTTCTCAGGACCTCTTGAGACTGTGCCTCAGGCCAATGTCACTCATATTTGGCTCAGAATAAACCTCTTTATATATTTTACAGAGTTTGACTCTTTTCATCAACAAAGTAGTGAAATGAAATTTCTATCCCCATCCTTGAGAGAGACATATATGTATTTATATGTAAAATATATAGAGAATATACACCCACGTGTTGCTTAATGAGGGAGATACATTCTGAGAAATGTGTTGTTAGGTGATTTTATCATTGTGTGAACATCACAGAGTGAAATGAGAAAAACTAGGCATTATAGCCTACGACACACCTAGGATTCATGGTCTTGCCTGTTGCTCCTAAACTACAAACCTGTGCAGTATGTTACTGTACTGAATATTCTAGACAATTGTAACACGATGGGAAGTATTTTTGTATTTAAACATGTAAACATAGAAAAGGTACAGTAGAAGTATGGTGTTATAACCTTGTGGGACTACCATTGTGTATGCAATTTCTCATTGAAACATCATAATGTGGTGCATGGCTGTGTGTGTGTGTGTGTGTGTGTGTGTGTATACACACACACACATATATTTTCTATGTTGACGTATATATCAACACATATGCCAAATATATATTTTTTTTCTGTGTTTTCATGGAAGCTTTTTAGTGAAAATGTGTTGAAACTGCTGAAAGAAAAAGGGAAGAGGCCTTTTACTTTCAGTTTAATTAGTGGGTGATTGTGAGGGGTGCTTTTTTCCCTTTTTTAAACCTATATGATTGGAATTTCTATTTCCTTCTACAAATGATATACAAAGGCTTAAATGCAGTGGTAAATTTTATGTGTCAAGTTGACTGGCCCCTAAGATGCCCATAGGGCTGGTAAAAGATGATTTCTGGGTGTGTGAGGGTATTTCCCAAACAGATCAGCATTTGAGTCAGCTGAGGGGAGAATATCACCCTCCACAATGTGGGTGAGCATCATCCAATCCACTGAGGGCCCACAAAGATCAACAAGACTGAGGAAGGGTGAACTCCCTCTCTTTCTACCACTTCTTAACTGGGACATCCATCTTTTACTGCCCTGAAACATCAACATTCTGGTTTTCAGGCCTTTATACTCCAAGCCTTACACCATTGATCCAGATTTGCAGGCCTTTGGATTCAGACTAGGAGTTTCACCGTCAGCTCCCCTGGGTCAGACTTTTGGACTCAGACTGAATTAGACCTCAGGGTTTCCTGTTTCTCCAGCTGTAGATGAGAGACCAAGAAACTTTTCAATCTCCGTGATCACATGAGCCAATTCTCAAAATGAATACATATTAATTTTGTTTCTCTGGAGAATCCTGACTAATACATGAAGTAATTAACATTTTCCACAATCACGGTGCTGTATCACCTTGGAATTAGGTAGAATCTTTTACCTGGCTCTGGAATATGTGTGGCAAGAAGCAAAACTCTATAAGAGAATTGTTTCTATTGGAATTAAAATGCCGCAAAGATCCTTTAAGACTGAAGTATATTTCCTCAAGTAAAAAAAGAAAAGATCTATATCATCAGTTGGAAGTAAACTGATTTTGTTCTCTCAAGGGTTGGACAATTAGATCTATGTCTCGTGCATATAGAGAGGGTAAGTAAATCTATAAAAGCAGGCGACAACACTATTCAAAACACTAAGGCTCTCAGCTCTGACTTAAACCAAGTAGATCAATCTCTACCTTAATAAGAAATAGTGTAGCTTCTTTCAATATGTTGTAAATTATTAAAACAATGTTTCCAGAGCCTGAATTTCCCTGAAGTGTATTTTGATATAAATGTCATTTTGTTGATGCTGCTTGCTGACCATCACTTGCCATTTTCCTTTACAACAATCCACATTTTTGTATGTTTAATAATTAAATTAATTTGATTTAAATGGTTGCTGTCTACTGGGCAAAAGGACATATTTTTGCCAGTGTATGATCCATAATGTTGAATGGCAAATTGGTCTGAGTGCTTCTTTTTTTCTGTCAAGAAGCAAAAACATTTTAAAAATAATATTGCAGGGATAATGTAGAGGGAGGGGATTTTTATTACTACTTCTACTTTCACTATCATCATGAGATTTCTATCAAAGTTTAGTCATTAAGGGAAATTAAACCATCTCAATTCTTATCCATGTTGCCAAGTGAGTTTTTCAACTATACATATAATTTTGTTCTTCATGTTCTTCCTCCATTTCTCTTTTCCTTTCAAATTCATTGCTGGAGAGAAAGAAAGAGAGAAAAAGGGAATTGATATTGCACATGGATTTATTTGTCCATTTAAGTACATCTACTTTATGATAGCCAGAGGAATCATTTATGCGTCACCAAATGAAGATCTCAAGGAGTTGATCTGTACTTGTTGAAGCTTAAGTCATTCAAGAAATATTATTTTAATGAACACAGCATTCATACTTGTTTGGGTTAACATATCATTTTTCAGTCCATTAAGATCAATCCTAGTAAAAAGATGCAAGATTTAGCAAATACAAGTAGAGAATATCTAGTTAAATTTAAATTTCAAATACACAAAAATACAACTTTAGTATATCTCTATCTCTATCTATCTGTCTGTCTATCTATCTATCTATCTATCTATCTATATATATATATATATATCTCCCAAATATTGCATGGGACATAGGTAAACTAAAAATGTATTTATTGTTTATCTGAACTTCAAATTTATCAGGACACTGTATTTTTTCTGGCTACACAATTCTGGAACCACTACGCACAGAGCTGGGGCCACTTGTCTCTACTCTCCATTAGCTAGCTAGCTGTTACTGCCTTACTGTCAAATTCTGATAAATACACAATAGATGAGAAATAGGTAAGTGTCCAGGCATGGTGGCTCACACTTGTAGTCCCAGTACTTTGGGAGGCTGAGGTGAAGGGATTTCTTGAGCCCAGGAATTTAAGACCAGCCTGGGTAACATGGCAAGACCTCGTATCTACAGAAAATTGAAAATACATTAGCTGAGTATGGTGGTACACGCCTGCGGTCCCAGCTACTCAGGAAAATTAGGAAGGAGGATCACTTGAGCCCAGGAGGTAAAGGCTGCAGTGATCCATACTTGTACCACTGCACTACAGCCTGGGCAACGGAGTGATGCCATGTCAAAAAAAAATAAAATGAAGGGAACAAAAGAAAGAAAAATAAAGAAAGAAAGAAGGAAAGGAAGGAAGAAAGAAAGAAAAAGAAAAAGAAAAAGAAAGAGGGAAGAAGGAAGGAAGGAAGCAAGGAAGGAAGGGAGGGAGGAAAAGAAGGAAGGAAGAGCCAGGGGTGTGTCATACTTTCACTTTTCTTCTATTCCTGCAAACAAATGTTTTATATTCAAAATTCTAAAGGAGTTTTATCCCTAGATACATATCTGTCACCCTACCCACTCATTCCAAGGAGCCAAGCAGAATATTCCTTCTAATTCTGTACTCAGTCTGAAAAGCAAAAGGTTCTTAAGACAGTCATCTAGAATGTCACAGTCATCATTTCAGTGGCATAAAATATGGATATACTTGGATGACTGCAATATTTAGCTGCTTGTCAGACTTTCAAGTAAACTCATTGTAAAAATTTCTGATTTCCTAGTATATGTATGCTACTGACTATATTTTCTCCCCGACTTTTTGTAGGTAAAACTGGTACTATTATTACTAGTATGCATTAAGAGAATGGGAGCATGGGCAGTCTTTTGTCTTCTAATCAGAAATATAAATCAATTGAGAAATGAACATTTGAGAGGTTAGAATATGTCAGGCACTATGCCATGAATTTATCAATGATTTGTGATTTCATGATTATCTCTTTTAATTTTTAACTCAGTTGTCTTATACTTCCAGGATTTTGATCATGTTGCTCTCTCTGCCCCTCTTATACCTGTCTTATATCATCTCTCTTTACCCTTTGGGACCTAGTTCAAGTACCACCACCTCTAGGTAGTCTTCTAAACCCATTTCAGCTGGTTTGGGAGGCATTTGTCTGTGCTTTCCTCTCCATTGTAAAAGTCACTTCTTTTCTGGCACTGGGTCGTGAGATCATGAAGCTTTGGTTACATATGTTGAGGGGCACCCCCCTAGTGCTTGTCATCCCAGGCTCCCTTCTCTGAATAACTGCCTGATCTATAGTCCAGAGTTTTCTTATGCACAAGAGTTTATTCACTCTATCTGCGACCTTAACCCATGCAGAGTTGATTTAGTGGAGATCTCCCAAAGATGAGGGATTGTCTGGGGCTTGGCCTAAGACATATTCCTATATGATTGATTTTGAGAGGGTCTATCAGGCTAGTTGGGTTAATTAGATCCTCTCTCAGACCTACTGATACAGATAAGGAGAGAATAGCTGAGTTACACTAGTGCCAGATATCTACAGTACTATATGGTAAATTCACCTGCTGCTCAAGAGACAGGGGAAAAAATATTGTTATTGCAGCTAGGCATTCTGTTTGACCCTCACTTTTTTTTAGCAAAGCTATCCTTGACCCCAAACTATGTTAAGCCCACCGATACATGCACTCTTGTTAAGTTTCACTGTTTTAAACTATATATTTATTTGCATGATTAATATCTTCCTCTCTATAAAGCTGTATTAGGTAGAAGTGGATTTGTGCTTCCAGTCCAGACATTCAAAAAGATACACAGCTGAATGAATGTTGAATGACCTGTTATTTTCATCATACTCTTCTCCAAACAGCTGGTAAATTCCTACCTACTAAATTTTACTTAAAACAAAAATCCCTCTGCTTAGAACGGTTTTAGAAATACGTGTTGAAATAGTGACATCAGTTAAGCCCTAGTGCCCATCCTTCCTCCCTTCACACACATTCATGGATTTCCTAGCCACCCAGGATTCTTACATCTGTGAATTCAGAACATTTATTATTTTTATTATTTTAAATGCCAGAGATATTCTGTCTTTCATTGTATGTGTATGCACATAACAAATTGACAACTTCCTGCTGTAAAATGATTATTTCATCTGTAATACACCACAGCAACTATAACTTACTCTTACCTAAGAAGTATAACAAAGCTGGGTGTGGTGCCGCATGCCTGTAATCCCAGCACTTTGGGAGGCCAAGGTGGGTGGATCACCTGAGGTCAGGAGTTTGAGACCAGCCTGGGCAACACGGTGAAACCCCATCCCTACTAAAAACACACAAAAAAATTGGCCAGGTATGGTGGCATGTGGCTGTAATCCCAGCTACTCCTGAGGCTGAGGCAGAAGAGTCGCTTGAACTCAGAAGGCGGAGGTTGCAATGAGCCAGGATCACGCCATTGCACTCCAGCCTAGGTGACAAAGAACTAAACTGTCAAAAAAAAAAAAAAAAAGGTATAACATGATCTGTTTGTTGACTGATACCTGATACGTGTTTTAAAATGAGCATAATTTTGGCCTTTTCTTTTTTTAATGAATATTTATTGAGCCTAATTTTCCACTTAGAGCAAAAGTCCAGGGAGGTTGTCAAGTTCAAGACAGCTAGCTTATTTTATATAACTATCAGTGTTCTGAAGAGAATACACTGGAGCAAGGAGATAGAGAATTACTCAGCCAGGCAGGGAAGGTCAACTCCAGAGTGAGTGGTTGCTGAAAGCCATTTGAACTGAAAACAGCTTTACAAGAAGACCTTACTATGCCTTGCTCTGGGGATAAAGCATGCCAGGCAGAGGGTATATAGCATATGCAAAGATCCTGAGGGCATAAGAACCTGGCCTTCTTAAGGAGCAAACATAACATCAGGGAGTCTGAATCATTGTAAGTAATAGTGAAAGTAGGAACAAGGTGAGATAAAGGAAAGATCAAGGAAAGCTTTGTAGGCTGTGGCAAGGCATTTGGATCTTATTTTATACTGGCTGGAAAGCCATTAGGGGTTAGTACACATTTGTATACATTTGTACAAACTGAAGTTTTTGTACATGCATAATATTTATTAAGCATCTCCTATATACTAAAAACTATTTGCAACCATTGCAATCAGAGATAATTTAAATAGAGACACTCCCTTCTAAAAAACCCCACAATCTATTAGAGAAACACACACACACACACACACACACACACACACACACACAAGCTACTTTGTATACTTAGAATGTAATAAGTGCTATATTAGAGACAGACTAAACTGTTAAGCCCAAGAGGGCAGAAGCATCTTCTGACTTGCTTATTTATGTTTTCTCAGCTTATAACACAGTGGCTGGCACACAGTAGGTACTCAATAACTGTCTATTGAAGAAAACAAAGAGAGAGGAAATATGGTAAATAAGGACATAAGTATGTAGGTATGGATTCTGTCTAGGAATAAAATATGCGTAGTTCAGCTTTTCTATTTGCTTTCTATGAGGGCTCATTCTGTGAACTGACACAGAGTTTATCTAATCTTCATTTTTCCCTGAATAAATCATGTCCTACAGTTATGGAGGCATCACCATTACAGGACCAAGGATTTTCAGTGGTAAATGTAGAAAAAGCTATCATGGATGTCCCAGGTGGGAGATTATATCAGCCAGTCCACTTATCTAGAGCTTGGGTGACATAAATGGACCTCACAAACACCGGGAATTTGCTTGACAGGCTTTGTGGAAATGCCAGCTAGCCTGACAAGTGCTTTATCGTGGGAAGTATGGGTGATAGTGATAAAGCTGAGGACATTGTAAAAAAGTGGGGACACACTAAAGAGTGTCACTGAGAAACAGAGTCAGGGAAGAGGAAAGAAGGCTAGGAGGAAGGCCTAAGGATTGCAGGGGGAAATCTTGGAAACTGAATACTTGACCTGAATAACTAATCAGAAGGAAGGAAATATGTATGTAAATCTTGAAGTGCCTCCTACAAGAAACCAAATACTGAGAAGGCAGCTCCTTGTAGTGTTTGTGAGCGAGTCACTGTGATTTTCATTAGGACCCCAGAGGCAGCCGTGCAGTGAAAGTATTTACCATTGCTTCCTTCTCCCTTCTCCAGCAACAACTGAAGAATGGCAGCAGCAATTGTATTCTGGGAGAGGACCAGGGGGAGTATAGACCCTCAGAACTAGAAGACTGCTTAAAGATCATCTGTTTCAAACTTTCATTCCACAGACAAGGCAACTTAGGGTGAGAGATGTCAAGCAACTTGCCACGGTCACTTTTTTGCTTCACCAGATGAGCCAATAAGAGAATCCAGGTCTCTTGATTCTAGTCCAAAATGTTTCTGGGCAACAGTGGAGCCCCAGCTGCTTTTTAAAGCATGGTGATCTGAAGGCAATTTGGCTTGAAGAGGCGCAAGGAGTGGTCAAGTGAGCTGGAATTCTTCAGCCTGTTCATTGGTCAATAACTGTGTTTATTGTTTAAACATAAATAGCATGAGGTAAGGTTTAGGGATGAAGGCTCAATGGTTAAGTGAGAAACCAAAAATCCTTAGAGACCATTCTAACCAATAACCTTAACTTCCTACATATATCATATTAATTTCCTACATATATCAACTTTGAGTTGTACTCACTTCATGCAAATCTTAAAACTAAGCTGGCATGGAAGGTATTAATTAGTCACTGTGTGGTTAACTAGTCTACTATAAAGTGGTGAAAAGCCATGGCATGGATCCTAGATTTCAAACAGACCTGTGTTTTGAGCTTGACTCTGCCCCGTATAAGTTATGAAATCTTGAGAGGAGATCTCATAATTTGTGCCTCAGTTTCCTTCAGTGTAAGATGAGATTAATGGCCCTGAATAATGATTATCATAATGCTTGGTTATCGTATAAAATAACATAAATACATGCATATACACATATGTACATGTGACAGCCAATAGCAGATGTTAAAATATTCATTGATGTTTATTATAAAAATAGGGCAAAATTATAAAGCTGAGTCAGTACCCACACTGGCAATATTGCTTCGCACTTTAGAGAATTTGATAATTTTGGAGTGAATTTTCAAATTACAAGGATCTATGTTCTTGGTTTTCTCCCTTACTAGTTATTTGAACACCGGACAAGTTACCTAGTAAGTATAAACATTCCTTATCATTAAAAAAAGGTGACAGAAGAAATGGGAACTTAGGGAGTAAGGTGCTATGAGGCTTACATTAGTTAGCCATGTAAAAGTTAGTATTGTGCCTGTCTCAGCTGTAACTATTATTATTTTTATTCACAGGAAGTTGCTTTCAGCCTTTCAGAACATGGTGCTATCTGAGACCGGGTGTTATAAGGAAGAAAGCATGACTTTGAGACAAAGTTTCCCTCTCTACCTCTGCTTCTTTCCCTTCTTATCATCACTAATGTTTTCCTAAAAGGCAGGCAGTTAGAGAACGGGCTACGGCATCATTTCAGAGGACTCAGAGCTTATAACCAAGCCACGCACAACATCCAATGAAAAAACTGGATTACTTGATGGGATTTGTCATGTACAAGCTTGAAGACAATGTATGAGTGTTATATTATTCTCATGTTTCCATAAAACCCAATATAAAAGAAAAAATGTTTTCCCCTGGCTAAGATTATATTTCTATCTCAGATCTAAGGTTGCATACACAGGAAGAAAGGTCTCTTCTCTTTGTTTTCAGATGAGGAACCAGAACAGACAGCATTCCACACTCTTTAGAGGCAGAGCTGGGGCTAAAATTTGGGATTCTATTAAGATGTTTGCATTGGATCGGCCGGGCACGGTGGCTCACGCCTGTAATCCCAGCACTTTGGGAGGCCGAGGCGGGCGGATCACGAGGTCAGGAGATCGAGACCATCCTGGCTAACACGGTGAAACCCCGTCTCTACTAAAAATACAAAAAAATACAAAAAAATTATTCCCAGCTACGCGGGAGGCTGAGGCAGGAGAATGGCATGAACCCGGGAGGCGGAGCTTGCAGTGAGCCGAGATTGCGCCACTGCACTCCAGCCTGGGCGACAGCGAGACTCCGTCTCAAAAAAAAAAAAAAAAAAAAAAAGATGTTTGCATTGGATCACGCTGAATTCATAAATTTCCCTTCTCTTAAACAATTGGTATGGAATGTAATTAGACTGAATAAATAACCAGACATTTAATTTCATGCATATATCTACCTCTTTTGGAAGATACTTTATGAAAGCTGTTCATTCAACATTGAATCCAGGCTCATGAGAATTCTGCAGAATGGAATTATCATCCTTTATTTACCAAGATGTCCATTAAAATAGAATAAACCAGGGATTGGTACTAATTTTAAAGCCATTTTGAAGACAAAAGAAAAAGGCTGGGCTCAGAATCACTACCTACTAAGTGCCAATGAATATCCTATACCAATACCCCTTCTTAGGAAGAAAACAGGAACCCATGGAAACGATCATGGATTCTAGTGTCAGAGAGATGTGGATTACATATCCAGCGCTATCACTGACTGTGGAATATCCTGAGCCTCACCATAAAGTGGGCATCATACCAATCTTACAAGACTACTTGAAAGATTAATTAGAATATAAAATTAAGGAGCATAATAGTAAGTGCTAAGTAAATACCAGTTATGTTCCCTTCCCCTTTCCTTCACTTCTTGGGGATTCATGGCTTTGAAACGTCAGTCTTTCCTCTCCTGGAGTGACTTGTTTTTCTTAAGAGCAGTCCACAGACAACATTCCTTTTAACTTCATGCTTTAAACTTCTGAGTAATCCCCCTTGGTGAAATGAATCATGTCCGCCTTTGACTTACATTATCATGTCTATAATCACCAATAGCTCTTTGGCTTCTGTTCAACTTATGATCATATTTATGTTGATCCCTTTAATTCTGGACTCCAAGGGAAGCATGCCCACCCCACTAAATATGTCAGTAGAGAAGGATATGCAGAATGTTGGTGTCAAAAGTAAATACAAGGGAGTAAATATTACTTAACTTTCACCTGAAAGAGGAGAAACTAAGTTCCCAACCTCCACACTGAGAACTCCAGACATTTGACAGTGACATTTTTAAATATAAAATTTCACCGTATTATATTGGTTAAATTTCTGAGACTGGACTCTGGACAGTAAGAAGAAAATTACCAGAACTAGAGGAAACCTTCTGAAATTGGAATAAGAATAGTTTTATAAAAATTTAATGATTTAGAACCACCAAATTTTATGCTTGGAGGGAGACTACAGAATCTTTAAGCCCGATGGAGGGAAAACCCCAACCTTAACCAAATTTGCTCTTCCTTAGAAAAATTGGAACACATTTTCTAGAACCTGTATGTTTTAACAAGATTTTTTAAACTGCTTTTACTTCCATAATATATTTAATATAAGAATATTTCAGCATCATTTAAATGACAATGTCAAAGTAGAATCATGTCTCAAGAGTTTAGTGCCAACATTTTTGTTTATATTTATAATCACATTGGTACTAAAAAAAATACTTAAGTGGCAGCATTTAAACATGATTGCAGTATTTTTAAAAGTTGGATACATGGAGTATGGAAAGTCTGGATTTTCATTTTCCTGAAGGCACCAACCATATTACTCAAGTATTTGAACCACTACTCTAAAATATTTGATTCGCTGAATGCTATGCATGTGTTTTTGGAAAATGTTTTAAACTTGTAGAAACTGCAGATATTCTCATCTGTAAAGTTGGTATAATAATGATCTTACAGACTAACATTCAATCAAATGACATAATTTAAGATATTTAGCTGTATTGTAGAGGTAAGATATGTACAATAAACTTGACTTAACTCTTTTCCTTCCTCTAAACTCTTTTTATACATTCACTTCTTGAGACCACCAGCAACATACATTTTATATATTATAAACTAAAATAAATAGTGGACTATTTTGTTATGAATAAATCACATAAAATTATTAATGTATCAAATGATGAGGGTAGGTCATCTCAGTAAAAACAGCTCTAAAATAAATAAGAAAGTTTGGAATATGTAGGGAAAATGCTGCTTTTTTAGGACAGTTCTCTTCTCTTACTTGGAGGAGAGACACCTACTCTCTCTCATCCTGGAAGTGGATCCTCTGATTCTATCATCAATAGGCAAAGTACCACCCAGTAAGGAAACCTATATTTAAAGAGATAATAGTACTAGCCAGGTTGCTTCAGGCATTGTATCTAATGAGTTTAGAATAAACCCTGGGTAACTTTGTATCAGAGGGTGACAGTTTTCCCCAGCTTTACTTTCTCTTTCCCTTCACTTGAAGTATTGGCAAAGGCCAGAAATTGTGCTACCATCTCAGTTGTATGCCTGCTACTGAATTTCATGGCTTGAGTGAGGACCCATCCTATAGTTTATGGCCCTGCCACACTTTTCCCTATGTCCTGGAAGACTGAATATTTTTCCTAAATCTCCCTAACATTTAATAAAGAGGAAGGTATTGGCCTGATAGGAACCATTCAAATACTGTAAAACAATGTTTGATTATATAATAAATAATTATTGAATCTGTAAATTTTCAGGATCATTTTGGGTATTAAATGGCTGAACAGGTTAGAATGACTAATGCAGTGTCTGGAACACACAGTAGATACTCTTAATTATGAGACACTTATTTTAATTATCTTTATTCAATTAGTGGAGGCTTTACAAATCTCTGTAGGAATTTGAAATATAATTTAGCTCTTTCTTAGCTACTTAACACTTAATGTAATAAGAATGTAGAGGCTGGAGTGGTGGGAGAAATATTTAGTAGGGTTCAAATCACTAATAGGAATAGATGAGATGGAAAGGTCTGGATTTAGGCAGATGTTGTCTATGTCTATGGGGATCAAGGCTTAATCATGAAAGACAGGAGAGTAAAGGCCAAACTGTATTCACATTGTAAATAGGTAAACACAAAGATAGAAATCATCCTGTAGAGAATGGCCAGATCCTGGTGGTTAAGAGTCTGGAAGGGGGCGGGCTCACATGTGATAAACAGATAAGGGGTGGATCATGGGAGTGATAACAGTAAGGGATGTTTAACCACGAAGCATCTGCAGAAAGAGGAAAATCCAGTTGCATAATCCAAAGTGACAGCATCCAGGCAGGGTCTGTGCTCTGTAGGCTGAATGTTCGAGGAGTCTGGAGAGGTGGGGTGTAATTAGTTTACAGATTTATCGTAAACAGAGATTTCCAAACTGATTTGTATCATTGAATGAGCCTAAACAGCTAATGTTGGCTGCTTCTTGTCTTTCATCTTTTTAAATATCATCTCCTCAGTGCCAAGAAACATGTACTGAGTGTAAAACCCAAGAGCAAGAATAAATCCCGGAAAAATGAGATAAAAGTATAACTGGGAATTTGTGCATGTGAGAGTACTTTGACTTTCTGGGTGACTTTACATACACACTTGCACCCAGCTGGGTTCATCTTGTGAGGAAGTAGATGAAATATGATGATGAGATGATAAGTCAGATTTTTAAAAACAATCTTGTCATTTCTTTCTGCATGCAAAGATGTCCTATATTCACAACAGTGAATGCAATGTAACTAATCCAGTTATTTTTATTTAGAACAATTTCAAAATTTCTTTTGAGCCACTCTTTGGTGAAATATATACCAACTTTTTTTATTTTTAAATGAAAAATTCTACTGTTCAGTTGAATCACTCTACTCTTTCATTAGTATTCACTCTGGCTAATGTTTGGCAGTTTCCAAAATTCAAATCCACCTTCAAATGGTGATGAATTTTATCATTGGTGATATTCAATATAGAATCAGTTGAAAATAATATTTTTACCAATTTTCATTCTAAGTAAGATGTGATTCTAAGGAAGAGCAAAGCCGTTTACAGTGCCTGTGGAAATAGCTAGATGATATGTTTTTCTGTAGACTCATCTTATGTATCTTTCATTTACTCTTTGTATTGACATTGATCTTTCACACAGCATAGGACTGATCTGATTTTACATAAAGCAAAGGGAACATGTCAATAGAATAAAATAATCAGGGTTAAGGTAGTTGCCTTGCGGTTTGTCTCATACAACTATATAATCAGTCTGTTACCTCAGTCATGTCTTGATGTTCGTTTGGATAATAATTGCAATTTGTTACTTTTGTCACTATTTCAGTGTTTACAGGACTTCGTCCATGGACATCATTCCATTTGATCTTCATAAACACTGTAGGATATTCATTGCAGAATATAAGATATTTTCTATTTCCATTATGAAGATGACGACTGTTGAGAGAGTTTAAGTGATTTGCACAAGTTACATAGGAGACTAAAAGAGTTCTAGTTTAAACATATTTCATGAAAGAACTCTTTCCATTCTACTATGTGAAACTCTAAAAAAAATTGTCTGCCATAAAATGAAGGTTTGCCTAAAAAACCAAGCCTAAAAATTTAGCAGAGAAGAAGTATAGAAAATATCACATAGCAAGGTAATTTGTTTATATGCATGTTATGCACATGCATGCACATGCCATAGAGAGAGAGACACACAGAGGCAGAGACAGAGAGAGAGAGAGCATGTCTGTGGTTAAGTGTATTTATTGGGTAGCTGATATAGCTCAAGTAGATTAAATGTACTGAGAGCATTCTTAATTTTTTTATATACAAGTCTTAGAAATGACATAGGAAAAACTAAAACAATTGTGGCCATTATTGATGCTATCTATGAGCCAAATAGGTATAGACTTTTGAAAGTATATATTGAGATTAAACTATCATTCTCTACAAATGATTGTGCTTATTGACGTTCTACCCCTTGCTGTTTTCACACAAGTTTTGCTCACTTTTCTTGAAAAACTGCTGTTTAAAGTTGACTTTGTTCAATAATGTTTTCCAGATTCAAAGTGTGCATATTGATTTATTTTTTGTCTCAACTTCAGTAACTCAATACTTCATGGTTAGTGTTTAATTATTCTCAAATTTTGTCTCATCTATCAATTTCTTTTCATTTAGAAAATAATTACTGAATGGACCCATGAATTGATTCTTTTTTATTAATTGGTTAATATTTTTAATTGATACATTGTAATTGTACATATTTCTGAGATAAAATTTTATGTTTTGATACATATCTATATTGTATAGTGATCCAATCAAGGTAGTGCCTCTATCACCTCATGCATTTAAATGTATTAACCACTCACTGTTCTACTTTCTGCTGCTATGATATCATATATTTTTTTTTATTCCACATATAAGTGAGCACATGCAGTATTTGTCTTTCTTTGTCTGGCTTTTTTCACTTAATGTGATGTCCTTTAAGTGCATCTATATTGCCACAAATGTCAGGATTTCATTTTTTTAAAAAGACTGAATAATATTCTATTGACACATTTTCTTTATCCATTTATCCATTCTTTGACACTTAGGTTGATTCCATATCTTTGCTATGATAGATAATGCTCCAATATCTCTTCAAAATACTGATTTAATTACATTTGTGTCTATACTTAGTAGTGTGATTGCTACTGTGCATATGGCAGTTCAATTTTTAAATTTTTTGATGTATCTTCCATATTGTTTTCATAATGACAGTACTAGTTTACAATTCAACCAACAGCGTAAAAGGGTTCCCTTTTCTCAATATCCTCATCAATACTTGTTTCTTTTGTCTTTTTGTTAAATAGTCTAATTGGGTAAGATATCACATTGCAACTCTTATTTAAATTTCCCTAGTGATTTGTGATGTTGAGCATTATTTATATACCTGTTGGCCATTTGTCTGTCTTCTTTTGACAGAAAGTTCTGTTGATCATTTTTTAATTATGTTCCTCATATATTCTGGATATTAACCCCTCATCAGATGTATAGTTTACAAATATGTTTTCCCATTTTGTAGTTTGTCTTTTCACTTCAATAAGAGTTTCCTTTGCTGTGCAAAAGCTTTTTAGCTTGATGAAATCCCATTTGTTTATTTTTGTTTTTATTTCCTGTGCTTTGAGGTATTTCAAAAATCTTTGCTCAACCCAATGGTAGGGAAGCATTTCCTCTCTTTTTGTGTTTTATCGTTTCAGGTAATACACTTAAGTCTTTGATCTATTTTGAGTCTATATTTGTGCATGGTGACAGGTGGAGGTCTAGTATGAATATTCACTTTTCCTAGCAGCATTAATTGAAGAGAGTTTTTGCCATAATGTGTGTCCTTGGCAGCTTTGTCATCAATCAGTTGGCTATAGATACATGAGTTTATTCCCAGTCTCTCTCTTCTATTGATCCATGTGTCTGTTTTTATGTCAGTACCATATTTTATTGGTTATTACAGGTTTGTAGTATATTTTGAAGTCAAGTAGAGTGATACCACCAATTTTGTTCTTTTTGCTATGCTTTGTTCAGGCTATTTGGGATTTTTGTTGTTGTTGTTCCATATGAATTTTACTTCTTTTCTATTTTTGTGAAGAATGTCATTGGAATTTTGATAGGAATTGCATTACATGTGTATATCTCTTATGGTATGGCCATTTTAATAATATGAATTCTTTCAGTTCATGAACATGGGATATCTTTTCATTTATGTGTGTCCTCTTCAATTTCTTTCATCAAAGTTTATAGTTTTGGTATAGAGATCTTTTGCATCCTTGCTTAAATTCATTCTTAGTTATCTTATTTTTGTAGCTCTTGTAAATGAAATTTTCTTAATTTTTTTCAGAAAGTTAACTATTAGCATACAGAAACACTATTGACCTTTGTATGTTATGTTTCTGTTTTTCTTAGTTTAGCTAAAAGTTGATTGACTTTATTTATCTTTCCAAAAACCAGTCTGTTTTGTTGATTTTTTTGAATTTTTGAAGTATTTTATCTCTGCTCTGAGCTTCATTTTCCTTCTTCTATGAATTTTGAGTTTAATTTGTTCTTGTTTTTATAGTTTCTTAAGGTGCATCATTAGATTATTTATTGGAAATCCTTTTCTTTTTATTTAGATGTTGCTTCATATAAATTTACCTCTTAGAACTGCTTTTGCTGTTTCTCACAGGTGTTGGTTTAATATCTTTCCATTCTCATTTGTCTTAGGAATTTTTTAACTTCCCTGTTAATTTCTTCATTGTCTCATTGTTTGTTTAGGAACACGTTGTTTAATTTTAAGCTATTTATTGTTTCCAAAGTTTTTCGTATTGTTGATTTCTAGTTTTATGTCATGTGGAGTCAGAAAACATACCAGGACCAGGCTGGGCTCGGTGGCTCACCCCTGTAATCCCAGCACTTTGGGAGGCGGAGGTGGACGGATCTTGAGGTCAGGAGATGGAGACCATCCTGGCTAACACAGTGAAACCCCGTCTCTACTAAAAATACAAAAAATTAGCTGGGCTGGTGGCATGTGCCTGTAGTCCCAGCTACTCGGGAGGCTGAGGCAGGAAAATGGCGTGAACCCGGAAGGCAGAGCTTGCAGTGAGCCGAGATCGCATCACTGCACGCCAGCCTGGGCGACAGAGTGAGACTCCGTTTCAGTAAATAAATAAATAAATAAATAAATAAATAAATAAATAAATAAATAAAAGATACCTGGACCTCTAGCTTCATCAGTTTAAGACTTATTTTGTGGCCTAACATGTAATCTATTCTGGAGAATGTTTCTTGTGCACTTGAGAAAAATGTGATTTCTGCAACTATTGGATGGAATGCTCTGTAAATGTCTGTTAGGTCCATTTGGTCTCTGATGCATTTAAGTCCAATTTTTCTTTGTTAATGTTTTGACTACATGGTCTGCCCATAGTTGAAAGTTGAGTGGTAAAGTCCCCTACTGTTATTGTATTGCCATTTATCTTCCCCTTTAGGTCTAATAATATTTGCTTTATATATCTGCATGCTATAATGTTGGATGCAAATGTATTTATAATTGTTACATTCTTTTGCTGAATTGATCCCTTTTATCATTAAATAAAGACCTTTTTCTCTTTTACGGTTGTTGTCTTCAAGTCTTTTTTATTTGATATAATTATGACTACATATACTTGCTTTTGGTTTTTATTTGCATGAAATATATTTCCTTTCCTTCACTTTCAGTCTATGTTTGTCTTTAACAGTGAAACAGTGAGATGAATCTCTTGTAGGTAACATAGAAATCGAGTCTTATTTCTTTCATCTACTAACCACTCTACAGCTTTTATTTGGAGAATTTAATATATTTACATTCAAGGTTATTATTGATAGATAAGGAATTACTTCTGCCATTTTATTAATTTTCTGGTTGTTTTGTTAATGCTTTGTTCCTTTCTTCCTCTTCCATTGTTTACTTCTGTGGTTTGATGGTTGTCTGTGGTACTAAGCTTTGTTTCCTTTATCTTTCTCATTTGTGTATTTGCTATAATTACATTTTTGTGGTAACCATGGGTCTAACATCAAGAGTCTTAAAGTTATAACAGATTAATTTAAGCTGATAGCAACTTAAATTTGGTCATATAAAAAGACTCTATATTATTTCCCTTTCCCCACAATTTATATTTGTGTTGCCATAATTTGCTTATCTATTATTGTTTCTTAGCCACCAATTGAATCTGTTGATTTTTACTTTTATTTATTTATTTATTTTTAGATGGGGTTTTGCTCTTGCTGCCTAGGCTGGAGTGCAATGGTGTGCTCTTGGCTCACTGCCACCTCCACCTCCCGGGTTCAAACAATTCTCCGATCTCAGCTTCCCAAGTAGCTGGGATTACAGGCACCCGTCACCACACCTGGCTAATTTTTGTATTTTTTAGTAGAGACAGGGTTTCACCATGTTGGCCTGACCTCAGGTAATCCACCTACCATGGCCTCCCAAAGTGTTTTTTTTACTATTTTTACTTCAAAACTTCATACTAGACAATTGAAAGATGTACATAGCACCATTACATCACTGGGGTATTCTGGGTATAAGTTATAACTTTATGTCTACTGGTGAGTTTTATACATTCATGTGTTTTCATGATAGTGATCATTATCCTTTGTTTCCAGTTGCAGCACTCTTTAAGCAATTCTTATCAGGCCAGTCTAATGGTGAATTCTCTTTGCTTTTTTTTTTTTTTTTTTTTTTTGTCAGGAAAGGCCTTTATTTCTCCTTTATTTCCGAAGAATAGCTTTGCTGGAATAGTTTTATTGGCTGACAGTTATTTGCTTTATTTGAGCACTTTGAATATATGATTCCATTCTCTCCTCGTCTGCAAGGTTTCTGCTAAGAAATGTGATGATACTGTAAAGGTGACTGTTTTATACGTGAGTTGACACTTTCTCTTGCTGCTTTTAGAAATCTCTCTTTATCTTTGGCTTTTGACAGTTTGATTATAATGTTCTTCAGAGAGTTTGTATTGAATATAATTAGGGCTTTTGAGCTTCCTGAATCTGTATGTTCATATCCATCTCACCACTTAGAAAGTTTTCAGTTATTATTTTGCAGAATAGGGTTTCTGCACGTTTTTCCACCTATTCTCTCTCTAGTACTCATATAATAGTAATAAAAAAAATTGTCAGCTTAATGATCCCACAAGCCTTTTAGGATTTCTTCTTTCCTTGTTTTTAATTCTTATTTCTTTATTTTTCCTCTGATTGCATTATTTCTTTTGGTTGATATAATGTGTTGTTGAAGCTCTTAATTTTATTTATCTATTTATTTATTTTGAAGCCAACTGAATGGCATGATGTTCTTGGCTTTTGCCTTCCAGTGTACTGTCAGACACACTGTGGAAAGGCCCTCAGGTTTCTGTCACCTCCATATCATTCTCACTATCCTCCCCTTCTTTCCAAGGATCCCATGTCCTGGGATTCCACACTGTCTTGCTCAGAATCATCCAGATTTTAGGCCATAACTCTTTTGCCACCCCCCACGTGGAGGGATTGTCTGGTTAGAGTCTCTGTATTCTCCTTGCTTTTATCCCCCTCCCTTTTATCTAGCTTCTTCACAAAATTCCCATGCAGGGCAACATGAACGCTCACATATCAGTCTCTCTATCAATTGTATTTTAAAACTTAATTCATTGACTTATTCAGCTCCATCATTTAGTTTGTTCTTTTTTATGATATCTATCAAAATTCCTTATTTAGATCATGAACTGTTTCCTGATTTTATTAAATTGACTGTGTTCTTTTGTAACTTCCCGACTTTCCTTATGATTATCAATTTGAATTCCTTTTCAGGCATTTAATAAATGGCGAGTTATTTTACTTAAGAGGTATTGTTTTTTTGGAGGGTGACAATGTTTTCCTGCCTTTTTTTTGTTTTTGTTTCTTATGTCCCCAAATTGATATCTGTGCATCTGGTTGTTGAGCTAGGCATGTGCAGATACAGAAAGCCAACAGGCTGTCTGTAGGGCTTTTGGGGGAGGTGGTAGGAACTTCCAGGCTGGTTGTTGGGCAAGGCTTGGGCATATGTTGGTGCAACCGCCCAGTGGCTGTCAGGCTATCTCTTCAGAGTGAGGGGGGCACCACCAGACCAGCCATCAGGCCAGTCACAGGTACAGGCAGATGCTGCAGGGCCACATGCCTCTGTGGCAGTCTGTTTGTGTCTTGGGATTTGATATGGTTTTGCTGTGTCGCCACCCAAATCTCAACTTGAATTGTGTCTCCCAGAATTCCCACGTATTGTGGGAGGGACCCAGGGGGAGGTAATTGAATCATGGGGGCCAATCTTTCCCATGCTATTCTCGTGATAGTAAATAAGTCTCACAAAATCTGATGGGTTTATTAGGGGATTCTGCTTTTGCTTCTTCCTCATTTGCTCTTGCTGCCACCATGTAAGAAGTGCCTTTCACCTCCTACCGTAATTCTGAGGCCACCCCAGCCAAGTGGAACTGTAAGTCCACTTAAACCTCTTTTTCTTCCCAGTCTTGGGGATGTCTTTATCAGCAGCATGAAAACAGACTAATACAGTAAATTAGGACCAGTAGAATGGGGCATTGCTGAAGATACCCAAAAAATGTGGAAGCAACTTTGGAACTGGGTAACAGGCAGAGGCTGGAACAGTTTGGAGGGCTCAGAACAAGACAGGAAAATGTAGGAAAGTTTGGAACCTCCTAGAGACTTGTTGATGGTGGAGCAAAGGTAACTCTTGTTATGTTTTAGCAAAGAGATTAGCGGCTTTTTGCACCTGCCCTAGAGATTTTTGGAACTTTGAACTTGAGAGAGGTGATTTAGGGTATCTGGCAGAAGAAATTTCTAAGCAGAAAAGCATTCAAGAGGTGACTTGAGTGCGATTAAAGGCATTCAGTTTTATAAGGGAAGCAGAGGATAAAAGCTTGGAAAATTTGCAGCCTGACTATACAAGAGAAAAGAAAAACCTGTTTCCTGTGGAGAAATTCAAGGCAGCTGCAGAAATTTGCGTAAGTAGCAAGGAGCCTAATGTTAATCCCCAAGACCATGGAGAAAATGTCTCCAGGCCATGTCAGAGACCCTCACAGCAGCCCCTTCCATCACAGGCCAGGAGGCTGAGGAGGAAAATGTGGTTCTGTGGGCTGGGCCTGGGGTCTCTGTGCTGTGTGCAGCCTGGGGACTTGGTTCCCTGTGTCCCAGCTACTCCAGCCATGGCTGAAAGGGGCCAACCTACAGCTTGGGTTGTGGCTTCAGAGGGTGGAAGCCCCAACCCTTGGCAGCTTCCATGTGATGTTAAGCTTGAAAGTTCACAGAAGTCAAGAATTGAGATTTGGGAACCTCCGCGTAGATTTCAGAAGATGTATGGAAATGCCTGGATGCCCAGGGAAGTTTGCTGCAGGGGTGGGGCCCTCATGGACACCCTCTGCTAGCGAATTGCAGAAGGGAAATGTGGGGTTAGGGCCCCCACACAGAGTCCCTACTGGGGAACTGCCTAGTGGAGCTATAAGAAGAGGGCCACCCTCATCCAGACCCCAGAATGATAGATCCACTGACAGCTTGCACTGTGCACCTGGGAAAACCACAGACACTCAACACCAGCCCATGAAGGCAGCTAGAAGGGAGGATGTACCATGCAAAGCCACAGGAGTGGAGATGCCCAACACTATGGGAACCCACCTCTGGCATCAGCGTGACCTGGATGTGAGACCTGGAGTCAAGGAGATCATTTTACAGCTTTAAAATTTGACTGCCCCACTGGATTTTGGACTTGCATGGACTCTGTAACCCCTTTGTTTTCTCCAATTTCTCCCATTTAGAATGGCTGTATTTATCCAACACCTGTACCCCCATTGTATCCAGGAAGTAACTAGCTTTCTTTTGATTTTACAGGCTCACAGGTGGAAGGGACTTGCCTTGTCTCAGATGAGAGTTTGGACTGTGGACTTTTGTGTTAATGCTGAAATGAGTTAACACTTTGGGGGAACTGTTGGGAAGGCATGATTTGTTTTGAAATGTGAGGACGTGATATTTGGAGAGGCCAGGAGGGGAATGACATGGTTTGGCTGTGTCCCCACCCAAATCTCAACTTGAATTGTATCTCCCAGAATTCCCACATGTTGTGGGAGGGACCCAAGGGGAGGTAACTGAATCATGGGGGCCAGTCCTTCCCATGCTATTCTTGTGATAATGAATAAGTCTCATGAGATCTGCTGGGTTTATCGGGCATTTCTGCATTTGCTTCTTCCTCATTTTCTCTTGCCACTGCCGTGTAAGAAGTGCCTTTCACCTCCCACCATGTTTCTGAGGCCTCCCCAGCCATGTGGAACTGTAAGTCCAATTAAACATTTTTTTCTTCCCGGTCTTGGTGGGTATGTCTTTATCAGCAGCATGAAAATGGACTAATACAGGATTGCTACATGATTGGCTATCAAAATAGGCATACATGAGTGCAGGAAGAGTGGAATTGCAGGGCTCTGTGGTGGTTCCTCTGTAGGATGGGGCCACTGTAGTACTGGCTGTATAGCTGGTGGTGGGTATGTGCAGACTTGGGGGCTGCCAGTTGTGTGACAAATCTGTGTAGGCAAAGTGGCCAGTCTGCTGTTTGGCAGCTTCCCTGCTGTACAGGTTATCCTGTGTGTGTTGCATGGGTTTGGACACCAGGATCTCAGCTATCTCATCTGGTCTAGGCTGTGGGCAGCCAGGTCACGGTGCTGGAGGCATCCATATAAATAAAGTAGAGTTATAGTGAGGCTTCAGGGATGGCGAGGTCTCCAGGAAGAACACACTCTAGTAGTGGGTCTGGTTTCAAGATGGCACTATGCTGTAGCAGCTCTGATCACAGGAGTGAATGGTACACAAGGTGGGCTTGTATTCAAAGGCAATGCAGATGCACAGGCTGATGGCTACTTTCCACACTGGATTTGGGGCCTGTGAGGACCAAAGCCCTCTCTTACAGCAAGGATAGCTGGTGTTTGTGGCAGCAATGGGGACCCCTGGAGATCTCAGCTTCCCTTTTCTCCATAAGAAGTCCCTCCTGACTCTGTGCCAACAGCAGTGGGGGAAACTCTGTGGCAGAGGCAGGATATCTCACTGCCCTCTCTACAGTGCTATCCTGGGCTTCCATACTTCACAGCGATTTCACTGTGCCTCTGGTGCTCTCCAGTATACTTCCTAGGTCACTCTACTCAAAATATATTTGCTGATTCATTTGTTTTCCTTCTCTTTTGTGGGAGCAGGGAGGATCAGTGTCAGGTAATTCTAATTGGCCATTAGAATTATGAAGTCATAAATTCATATGACTTCAACCCATATGAATTTAGATATAGGTTCCTGCTCTGTGTCAGCACCACAATAGATAGCAAAATGCTTAAAATCAGAATAAGAATATCGCACTTCATGTTCACCATACCTACAAAAGCTTACCACACAATAGAAAACACAATTGTTTCATAATTGATTGATTATAATCTATTTGGAACCCATATTAAAATTAATAAAATATTAGGAAAATTATAAGAGAAGACGTTACTTGATGTCTAGTTGTAATTGAGTTATAATTGATGTAAAAATAACTGTAACAAAATGAAGATAGATAAGGGAATTAAAAGATATTTTGTTCTCATAAGGTTAAATATGTCTCCTAAACCAAAATATTATTATACAATTACTTTATCAATACTATTTCATCACAGATAAAGCAAATTCAGTTGAGTTTTTTAAATTATCAATTACATATGTTGATATAAAAATAAACATGACGTTGTATGAGTGTGTGCATGCGTGAGTGCATATGAATTCAACTAAAAATATTCCTGATGAAATACTTTTAAGGGGAAGGTGAGAACATAGGCCTTTTTGCTCAATCACATGGGTCCATTTAGTAGATAACTATGATATTTATTTATTTGTTTTTGAGACAGCGTTTCACTCTGTCACTCAGGCTGGAGTACAGTGGCATGATCACAGCTCACTGTAGCCTTGATCTCTCCATCTCTTGGGCTCAAGTGATCCTCCCACCTCAGCCTACCAAGCAGCTGGGACTGCAGCCACTCACCACCATGCCTGGTTAATTTTTGTATTTTTTTGTAGAGACGGGGTCTTGCCATGTTGCTCAGTTTGGTGTTAAACTTCTGGGTTTAAGTGATCTGCCCTCTTCAGCCTCCCAAAGTGTTAGGATTACAGACAGGAGCCACCGCACCTAGCCCCACGGTTTTTATTGTCCCTCATCTTTTCAGAAGTAAACATCAAGCATCTGGAATGAATTTCAAAACTGCTTTTTAATAGTGATTTGCCTTATCCTACAAAAAGACTGCCATGCTTTAGACATTTAAAAATATAGAGGGATAATTCTAGTCAATTGGTCACCTGGGTACTCTGGATACATGACAGAGAAGAGGAGTGATATAATAATATGTGGTTGCAAAATTCCACTGAGATCGAACGTGCCAATGTACAATTTCAAACTCCATTTGCATTTTAAAAGAAGTGCACTCTAAAATAATTTCACTTCGAACATTTTATGCCTGAATGTATTTTCCATAACCCCCGGGGGACACACATTTTCTGTTAGTAATTGAATACATTTTCTTGCTCTAGTATTACAGCCATTTATTGAGCAAGTTATGCCAAAATACCTATCAAAATTATTTTGAGGTGTAAAAATATTGTGTCACCTGCTTCTAATTCCAAAACAATCCAAGTTATATTTTATTTAAAATTTCCAGCCAAATATTCAGTTAACAGAAAAATATAATTAGTGAAAATGATCTCCAAAATTTACAATCTGAAAGAGTTTTAACTGGGTTCCCAGGAGATTGGAAATATTTCTGTTTGTTGATGACATTTCCATTGAGATTCTAGAGCACCCACATTTGTAGGAAAAATACATAATTCAAATGCCATACATTGGACTGGGTTTTGCTATTTGAAAAACAAAGAATAATAACATTTTTCAGCTGAAAAGCATCTTCATAATTTACTCTTCTAGTCTTTTCATTTCAGAGATGAAGAAAAGGAAGCTCAGAAATGTTCATTTATTCCCACATATCACACAGCAAATAAAAAAGTCTAAATAAAATAGAGGTGATTAGATTTTCACTGAGTCTTGAAAGATTCCTTGCTGACCAGGAAACCAAGGTAGAAGAGTCAGATGAACAAAAAGAGTGATACTCAGAGAGAAGGATATATTTTCCCTAATTTGCATAACTACCAGCTGAATTAAAACTGCAGTCCACTGTGGGTTTCTCCACAGCCTCCTTTAGACCTCAAAGTTTATCTCTGCATTCATTTCCTTTCACACATTACTCTTAGATTAAGTTTCTCCAAGTAGGTCCATCCTATACTACTCTGGGCTTCATTTCAAAACTGGAGCTTCCCAGAGCCAACACATTAACCCATGGCAATTTGAAGTCCTGCCAAGTAATAGAGAAGAGGCTGACTGCCTTGTAAAAACACCAGTGCTTTGTTCCTCCTGCCTTAAGCTGGCCCTCTAATGGATTACTTGAGCCTTCTGAGAATGCTGATATTAGGCAGATATCTAAAGCTGCACAGAAGGATCTGCTTCTATACCACTGGAATGTTCCCTGAGACCTGAGATATTAAACGAGATCTCGAAATGATGCTCTATCTGAATCTTTTCAAATTATTGTTTTGGGAAATTAAAGTGAGTGGTACAATGGGAGCATGAGGGCCAGGTAGGGAGAAAAAAATAAATGAATGTATAGTGAGCAACTAACATTCAGTGGAGTGAGTAACTAATTAGGGCAGAGGTATCATCCTATCCTAGTTAAGAAGTTTTAAAACATGTCTGCAACCCCTTTGATGCTCTGATGTGGTTTGGCTATGTCCCCACCCAAATCTCATCTTGAACTGTAGCTCCCATAATCCCCACGTATCATGAGAGGGACCTGGTGGGAGGTAATCGAATCATGGGGGTGGGTTTTTCCCATGCTGTTCTTGTGGTAGTGAACAAATCTCATGAGATCTGATTGTTTTATAAATGGGAGTTCCCCTGCACAAGATCTCTTGCCTATCGGGTGGAATTCAGCCCCTGATATTTCACGTGGGTCCTTTTCTATTTTCCCTAAGTGTCGTCCAGTCTGAGAAATAAAGGGAAAGAGAGAAATTTTAAAGCTGGGCGTCCGGGGGAGACATCACATGTCAGCAGGTTCCGTGATGCCCCCCAAGCCTCAAAACCAGCAAGTTTTTATTAGTGATTTTTAAAAGGGGAGGGAGTGTACGAATGGGGTGTGGATCACAGAGATCACATGCTTCACAAGGTAATAAAATATCACAAGGCAAATGGAGGCAGGGCGAGATCACAGGACCTGGGCGAAATTAAAATTGCTAATGAAGTTTCGGCACACATTGTCATTGATAACACCTTATCAGGAGGCAGGGTTTGAGAGCAGACAACTGGTCTGACCAAAATTTATTAGGCAGGAGTTTCCTCATCCTAATAAGCCTGGGAGCGCTACGGGATACCAGGGCTTATTTCATCCCTTATCTACAACCATAAAAGACAGACGTCCCCAGAGCGGCCATTTTAGAGGCTTACCCCTAGACATGCATTCTCTTTCTCAGGGCTGTTCCTTGCTGAGAAAAAGAATTCAGTGATATTTCTCCTATTTGCTTTTGAAAGAAGAGAGATATGGCTCTGTTCCACCCAGCTCACAGGCAACCAGACTTTAAGGTTATATCCTTTGTTCCCTGAACATCACTGTTTTCCTGTTCTGTTTTCAAGGTGCCCAGATTTCATATAGTTTAAACAATTTGTGCAGTTAACGCAATCATCACAGGGTCCTGAGGCGACATTCATTCTCAGCTTATGAAGATGATGGGATTAAGAGATTAAATACAGGCATAGGAAGTCACAAGAGTATTGATTGGGGAAGTGATAAGTGTCCATGAAATCTTCACAATGTATGTTCAGAGATTGCAGTAAAGACAGGCATAAGAAATTATAAAAGTATTAATTTGGGGAACTAATAAATGTCCATGAAATCTTCACAATTTTTGTTCTTCTGCCATGGATTCATCCGGTCCCTCTGTTCGGGATCCCTGACTTCCCGCAACACTTGCCTGTTGCCATGTAAGATGTGCCTTTGCTTTTTGTTTGCCTTCCACCATGATTGTGAGGTCTCTCCAGCCATGTGGAACTGTGAGTTCATTAAACCTCTTCTTTTATAAGTTACCCAGTCTCAAGAATGTCTTTATCAGCAGCATGAGAACAGACTAATACATGCTTCTTCTACAAGAAGTGTGATATAATTGCTCACCCCTTAAATTTGCATCAACATGAAATGATTCACTTCTAATCAATAGGATGCTGTATGAACTATATACAGTTACTACCTGGTTCTCTCTCTCTCTCTTCCTCCTTCTCTTTTATTCTGTCTTGGGTACTGAGGTCTTTGGAGTCCTGCACCTCCATGTAAGAAGTTTAGCTCCCTTGAACTTAGATTATATGGAGATAGACTAGCCCAAGGGGCTTCAGCTGCTCCATCTCAGAGCTGTTCAAGTCCAGATGCCAGCATGTGAATGAGGAAGACTTCAGATAGTCCAGCCCCTGGCCTTTGAGGCACTCCTGCTGATGGTAAGAATAGCAGAAAAAAACTTCCTCATAGGGTCCTGTCCAGATTGCAGATATATGAGCAAAAGTCATGATGTTTTGTTGAAACCACCAGATGGGAGTGGTTTATTACATAGCCTCAGCACCTGGAACTTGGTCACAGGTGACTCAGTTGAGTCTCAGAAATATTTAGCCTTGGCTTTCACAGATCTGACTAGTGCAGAGCCAGAAGCTGAATACTGGTTTTGCTTCCACCAATGCTTCTGCCTTTTCATCAGACTACATAGACCAATATTTTTTCATTTCAGCTGCAAACCCATGATTTCCTGCTTCCCTAATGTGCTGTCTACTGCAGTACAGTCTGAATGTATAACTAAAAGATTCCTGTTGACTCTCAATAACAGTCACAAAGCTGTTATCTGGATGCAAAGTCTCTGTGCAAAGAACCTGCGACACTGATAAAATAGACAATATAACATTGGTACTTTAAATGAATCATACCTTTGGCAGCTAATCTCCAGATAATTTCCTATATACACATGCTACTCTGCCCTTTAAGAGGAAACATATATCCTCTCTCCTTGGTATCCTCTCCCCTTTAAGCCTGTGACTGATAGGACCAATAGAATACAGACAATGTGGTGTCCTAGGACTTCTGAGTTCTGACCTCTGCTTCCTTTCTCTTGACACCCCAAGCACTGTCTTAGTCAATTCAAGCTGCTATAAGAAAAATACCATAGGCTAGGTGGCTTAAACAACAGAAATTTATTTCTCACAGTTCTGGAGGCTGGGAAGTCCAAGATCAAGGTGTCAGCAGATCCGTTGACTAGCAAGTGGCCTTTTCTTGGCTTGCACATGGCCATGTTTGGATTTAATCTCACATGGCAGAGAATCAGAGCTCTTTATCTTCTTAAAGTGGCCACTTTAAGAAGATAAGGGATTAATTGTCATTCAAAGATCCCATCTCCAAATACAGTAGACCCTGCTTATCTACATATTGCTTTCCATGGTTTTAGTTACCTCAGATGCAGTACAATAAGACATTTTGAGGGAGAGAGAGAGAAAAAGAGACCATATTCACACAACTGTTATGACAATACAACATAATAACTTTTATTTTATAAATAATTATTGTTGTTACACTCTTACTATGCCTAATTTACAAATTAAACTTTATCATAGGTACATGTGCATAGAAAAAAAATCACATTAAATATATGATTTTTTAGTATCTGCGGTTTCAAGTATTCACTAGGGCCTTGAGACACATTTCCCAGGAAGAAGGGAGGTCTACCTTACCAACCCACTGGGAATTTAGGCTTTACCACATGAATTTAGGGGAGTAAAATATTCATTCCATAACAGCCACCATAAAAGAAACCCAGGCTAGTTTGCCCAAAAGAATGGCCACACGACAAGGCCATGGAGGGTAACTTGCTGTGTGGAGAAGGGGCACATGGGTGCACACAGGGGAGAGTTAAGCAGCTCCAGTCACAGCCACCATCTGATTGGAACACAGAAAAGACCTCACATGAGGCCAGGAAGGAGAATACTCAGTTGAGCTCGGGCCTACCCTTGGAATCATGAAGTGTGATACAACCGTTTTCAATTTTAGCCATTATATTTTTAGGTGGCTATATACTCAGCTATAGCTAATCAGAACAATACATATTATTGTCATTGTTAATCATGCACAGAATAATAAAAACTATCAACTATTGGGACTTCACATGTTTGATGAAGTATTTGAAATACTGTTTAATCATCAATAAATTCTGTGTTCAAAACAGTAGTTATTGTTATCAACATTCTTTAGATGTGAAAACTGAACTGTTGGCAGGTAAAGTTTGTTGATGAGTTTATGCAGTTATTAGGTAATACAAGTTGGCTATTAACTCAACTTATTTTGAGCCCACAATCTGTTTTACTTGCTTCATTATTACTCACAAAGATCTCACGTTTGTTATGATGCTAGTGTAAACAAACCTACTGTACTGTCAGTCCTATAAAAGTCTAGCACATACAATCATGAAGAGTACATGATAATTGATCATAATAATAAATGACTATTTTATGACTAATTTAAGTCATAGTAATAAAAAAGACTAATTTAAGTATTTACTAAACTGCTTGTTATTTTTGGGTCTACTTCTTTAGTTTATTTTAAAAAGAAAGTTAACTGTAGAACAGCAAGCAGTTTCTTCAGGACATATTCCAGAAGAAGGCATCATTATCACAGACAGCTCCATGCACAGTATTGCCCCTGAAGATTTTCCAGTGGGAGAAGACATGAAGATGGATGACAGTAATATCAATGATCCTGACTCAGTGTAAGCCTAGGCTAATGTATGTGTTTGTATCTTTGTTTTCATACAAAAGTCTAAAAAGTAATTAAAAAGGGAAAAAGCTTATAGAAATAAAGGTATAAAGAAACAAGATAGCTGTATAACGCATTTGTGTTTGAAGTTAGGTGTTATTACAAAAGTTAAATAAATTAGGCTGATCACCGTGGCTCACGACTGTAATCTCAGCACTTTGGGAGGCTGAGGCCAGTGGATAGCTTGAGCCCAGGAGTTTGAGACCAGCCTGGGCAACATGGTGAAACCTCATCTCTAGGAAAAAATACAAAAAATAGCCAGGCATGATGTGCACCTGTAGTACGAGCTACTTGGGAGGCTGTGGTGAGAGCATGGCTTGAGCCTAGGAGACAGAGGTTGCAGTGAGCTGAGATTGCGCCACTGTCCACCAGCCTGGGGAAAAGAGCAAGACTCTATCTCAAAAAAAAAAAAAATCAAAATGCTTATAAAGTAAAAAAGTTATAGCAAGCTAAGTTTAATTTATTATTAAAGAAAGACATTTTCAATAAATTTAGTGTAGCCTAAGTATACAGTGTTTATAAAGTCTACAGTAGTGTTCAGTAATCTCATAGGGCTACACATTCACTCACCACTCACTGATTCACCCAGAGCAACTTTCAGTTCTCCAACTCCATTTATCATAAGTGCCCTATACAGATGTTCTGGGTTGTTTCTTTTTTTTTTTTAATCTCTTACAACATATTTTTACTGTACCTTACCTATATTTACCTATTTTTAGATACATAAACACCACTGTGTTACAATTGCCTGCAGTATTCAGTACAGTAACATGTTATACAAGTTTGCAGCCTAAGAGAAACAGGCCATTTCATGTAGCCTAGGTGTGTAGTAGCCTACACCATCCAGGTTTGTGGAAGTGCACCCTATGATGTTTGCACAATTAGGAAATTGCCTAAGGACACCCTTCTCAGAAACTATCCCTGTCATTAAGTGGTGCATGACTGTACTTGTAAGTGAATGCTTTACAGGCATTTTGGAAAGCAAGTTGTTTCAGGGTACTGGTGCTTCCTGGAGGAATCATCAATCACAATTCACGACATCTTCTAGGAGGTGAGAAGTTCTTGAGTGACTGGGGGCCTTCTGTGCTGTAAAGATAATTAGGATTTCTGAATGACTTAGGCAATGTTAGCAACCTATGAAACTGACAAGATTCCTAACCATAAAGCTGCCATTCGAGGATGAAGCCTTCTGGGTCTTCAGAGGTTGATCCAGAATTTGGAGGCACATTTCCTTAGGATAAACATGGGGAGAAAATAGTTCCACATTCTATTAAGTGATGATAGCTAATAAAGTGCAATAGATGTCACCTTGGAAAGATTCCCAGTTTGAACTGAAGAGCTCTAGCAGCAGCATGTGAGCTAGCATTGTTCTATACTTCCAAAAAGTGCGGAACATGAGTTATGGCCTCTCTCCCTACTGTGTCTTGAGTTATAGAAATTATCCATTTGTCCTCTGATGGATTTTAACCCTTCAGCTTAAAGTCCTAAGCACCTTGATTACATATTTTCCCTAGAGTTGGCTTTTACAAATTAAATCAAGAAAAGTTTTGGAGGAAAATTTCTCTTTTAAGGATGACTTTCTTCCCATTTTAGTTTTCATTCAAAAATTATTTATTAATGTTTACTAAGTCTCAGGAAATACTTTTGGTTCTGGGATATAGTGGTAAATAACATAGAAATGAATTCATTCTTTAAGGGGATTTTTTTTTTCTTTTCTTTTTTTCTTTTTGCTTCAAAAGTAAGATTTCTCTTGAACTCCATGTTTCTCCAAACTTGGGGAAATGTTTATCCATGATAATGTGTCCCTGTTCTATATATAAGATCAAATAATACTCAAAGAGAAAATGAGATTATGCATGTGCACAATTTCACAGACTTATAGATAGTTACAAAAGAGACCTTGGAGATAAATACTTCCCAACAAAGCCAAATGAATTGCTTCAATATGTCAAAGGCCCCAGTATCTTACATAAACCAAAACGTCTAATATGCAGTTCTTCATTCTTTATTACCAAACTCTCCCTGACTTTTACATTATTATTCTTTCAGGACACAGCAAGATGTTGCCTGTGTCATTAAAGCATCAGATTGATTACTGCAAGCACAGTGATGAAGTTCATAGGCTTTGGAGTCAGTTTATATCATATTCCCAAGGTTCATGTTAAAACAATTCTCTATACTGGTGGCATAATCTTAAAGAAAATGATATATTTCTAGCAGTCTCACTACTCTTATGTTTAAAATCAAGAAATACATGTGAACCCTGGCACCTTGGAATTATTCAATGTATGATAATTATGAATTAAAATTTTTTCCCTATTGGACGTCCATTTCAATTTTTATACTTGAAAATGCTTTCCTTGATAACTCTCAGTTACAAAATAAAACAACACTTTTGTGGTTCTGAATGTCCAGTCTCTGGTGCAAATGGTTACAAATAGGCAGTTGGTAAACTAAAGTTATTTTAAAAGGACAAGGGACCCACACTCCGAAAAAAAGACATATCTGCCTCCATGTATTTCAAAAATACTTTTTTCGATGCCAACAATCACTATTAATTTGAAATGGAATGAAAAACTGTGAAAAGTTATGAGCAATAATTTCATTCACAAAACGGTAGATAGCCAACATTGGATAGCCAAGGACAACTGGACATTGTTTCAGGTTCATAGGTCATTGCCAAAGATCCTTTCATCATCTGGGTAATTTGACTTTCTCCCTCTTGGAAAACTGACACTGGTTCTCTGTTGTATGTTCTAGAGCTACACAGGGGAGTCAGTTTTTGTATCATTCATTGGTTTGTCTCTTCACTATATTCAGTGAAAATGTCTTTAGCCGAAGTTAATCAAAATAAGTGTCAAGTCATAAACTTCAGATAGTTTTTTACCCAATATTGGAAGAAAAACGACTTTGGCTCTATTTATTTTCTACAAATGAGTTAGCTTGATTCTTAGTGAATTACATTTATTATTAGCAAGTGTTTTAAGGCAATAAAGTCTGACTTTTCCTAAACTCATCAGCACGTACACATCCAGACACCTGCTCCCGTGCCTTTAGTTAACTAGGAAAGTTGTAACTGCTCTAAAACAATGTAGTCTCTGCTCAAATCATAGCATGTGTAATTAAATGCATAAGATCTAAACTATCTAAGTTCAAACTCCAGAAATATAAATTTACCAGATGTGTGTTTTCTATTAACTTGGCAGGCCTTTGCTTAGACGAAGTTTCCTCATCTGTAAAATATGACTAATTATTGTTCTTGGTTTTAGGGTTGTTGTGAGCAGTGCCTAGCTCTTGGAAATCTCTCAATATGTGATTATTATTATTATTGTACTTTTTTGACAAATACATTTAAATAATTAGTCATAGAGAACAAAATCAGTCATTTATAAAAGAGACTGTTTCCTGAACATTGGCTGTGTGCCCAGCCCTGTACTAAAACTGTTATTTCTCATTGCTTAACCTTATCAAGAGGGGTCTGCAACATTTTGTCTGGAAGCACTGTGGAAGTTAAAGAAACACAGTCCAGCCAAAAAAAAAATTGCCGAATATTCCCATTTACTTTCATTTTTAAAAATATGTGGGAGATTCCGTTGTATTTTCCACAGAGGCATTTCATTTTTTTTTTTTTTTTTTGCTTTCCCTTTTAAAAATACATGTCCATCATATACCACACACCACCATAACTGAAACATCTTTTTCCCAGGAGCCTCCAATTGCTCCTCAGAGCCAAGCCGCACATCGCTTTTTTCTGCTAATACCCATCCCCTTTCTCCATTTTTAAAAGTAGAACTACTTTGCCTTTCATTAGCAAGAAAGAATGTTATTTCTTGAGGAAGCATAGTGACAGGAGGTGAAGGGGGTAGGAATTGATGTGGAAATTGCTCAGTTCTCTTTGGTAATTGGAGGAAACACATCCAAATTACCAATTTTTCTTCAGTCACATCCAGTTTACTGTCTTAACCATCTATGAAGTAGTATTACCACTATTTTATTGATGAGGAACTTGAATTTTCAAAAAAAACTTTAATCTATCAAGCCATCAATCTGGATTTTAATCCCTAGTTCATAACATTTGCAAAGTTAATGTTTTTCTCACTGGACTATTTCACATGATTGTTACCCTATATTAGGATACACACTCTGAGTCAAGAAAATATACACCAAAGAAGTCTTTAGAAACAAGCCTCACATAGCTCCACTTGGGGTATACACGTTTTTGATGCAGTGTCTGCCTAGAACCAATCTCAGCTCTGGGCTGAGGTCCCTAGATTTTTATTTTTTCCCTGCTTCTTAAATCTTTACGTTTGTAAGGTTGGGCCAAGCTTCACGTTCTTGGTTCATCTATGACACAATCCCATCATATCCGGGGTCATTATGGTTATTCCCATGATCTTATTCCGCAATTGTAATTTATCCCTTATGTTTCTGCGGCAAACTCTACCAGTTTCGTAACTGATATCCATTCTTCTCTTCATTTCTAAAGGCATCCAGGCCAGCAATGCACCCACTAAGAAACATTCTTATCCCTTTAGGATGCAGTGATAAGGAGTCTGAGGCAAAGTTATAGGGTGCTTCTAATGATCTGTGCCTTCATCTGGGCACAGACTGAACTGGTATGTTCTATCAGTAAAATTGTATCACATTGTGCACTTTTCATACCTATGTCTTTCGGTCGGTGAATCATTCTTTAATAATAAGTGAAAAAAGAAAGAAAATAGTTACTATAACAACAACAAAAAAACACTTTTCGCAGCTAATGGTGTCCATGTGGTCTACTTTGAGATATTAAGATACAAGCAGCATTCTACAGGATGGGACTTTGTGGTAAGACCATTGTTTTCCGGATAGAAGACTCAGACCATGACTTTTGACTTTTATCCTCGTCCATTCCCCGTTCTTCATTCCTGAGAGTTGGGCATGAATTTAGAGGTAGATCAAGTACTTTATAAGTATAAGAATAAAAATTATATGCTAAAATAAAAAAGCTGGAAGAAACCTAGGCCTTGATTCTGAGCAAGGTAATTTGTCCTGGATTGTGACTTCCGGACTTCTTGTTATTTGAGAAATACATATTCTTTTTTTCTTTTTTGCTTTTATTATTATTTTAATTGACACAATCATTATACATATTTTTGGCATGCAGTGTGATATTTTGGTATATTTATACCATGTATAATGATCAAATCAGGGTAATTAGTATATACGTCACCTCAAACATTTATCATTTATTTGTGTTGGGAACATTCAAAATCCACTTTTCTAGCTATTTGAAAATATTCAATCAATTGTTGTTTGTTATGCTTACCATACAGTGCTACAGGACACTAGAATGCATTCCTCCCATTGCTGTACTTTCGTACCTGCTAAGCAGCCTTTGACTATCTTTAATATTCATGACTGTTACATCCTTCCTTTTTTTCTTTTCTTTTCTTTCTTTCCTTTCCTTTCTTTTTCCTTCCTTCTTTCTTCCTTCTTTCTTTTTTCTTCCTTCCTTCTTTCTTTTTTTCATTCTTTTTATTCAAGCCTAACGTTCCAACATTTCCTGAGAAACTGTAATATTCTCTCTGATTTACATCTATTTGAATAAAATCTTACCATTATTATGGCCAAAGTACGTGAAGTTAAAATGTTTTATAGATTGGACTATAAAAACCAATCAGGACAACCTCAGTAAATACATATGGACAGGTTAAGTCTTTTGTGGAGAATTACTAGTTTCTTGCACAGGTAATATTACAGTGAAGTTTTTCAGACTATTTTTTTTCTACCTTTTACATTCACTGTTTTCAAATACTGATGTTATCTTATGCCTAATAAATTGAAATCATGTCTTTTAAAGAGTCAAAAATAAGGTATCCAGTGCTTAAGAATGAAGATTGAGACTGAATATCCTGTATGGCTCATAAAATTGAAAGACATTCTTAAGGAGGAAATTTTAACTGTTCCGAGCTGAGCAGCGTTACAGTACCAAATAGATATTTTTCTAAGAAAAGTCATTTGAACTACAGCATTAATTTCTGTATGTAAATTTTCATGCTAGCAAAAGAATTAAACTAAAAAATGAAATAAAATCAGCCATCCAGTAAATGTCACATTTGTACTTGCAGTTGTTCAGACCCCAAACGTTGAAGTCACACTTATCTCCTCTATTTCTGTCACAGTGCATATCTAGTCACCCAAATGCTGTCTTCTTTACTATCAAAATACATGCAGAATCTGTCCACTTTTCCACCAGCAGAACCCTGTCCATTTTTCTCCAAACACTTGCAACAGGCTCTTTCTCAACAACTTCTATTTAGGGTCTTGATCCCTGTCTCTTCTCCCTGCAGCCAGAAATTAGTTCATGCCTCTGCTCAAAAGCCTCCCATACCTTCCCATCTCATTCATACTATGATGGATGGACTTTATTTTGACACACGATTTCTTTAATACCCTGGCTTACTCTTGCCAAGCTCACATCTTACCACTTTTCTCTTACTTTATCAGGATGTGCTTCAGGCTCAGGGACTTTGCACTTGCTGTTGGCTCTGCCTGAAGCACCCTTATCCCAAATGACATCTCAACTTACTGCCTTACTTTGTTCTCTTCAGAGATTGGATCAAATGTCACATATCATAGAGCCTTAACCTGACTACCTTATCTAAAATAACTAACGTATGTTACTTTGTTCCCTTCAGAGGCTGGATCTTACTTGGTTCTCTATTTTCTCTTCAGAGGTTGGATCAAATGTCACATATCATACAGCCTAATCCTGACTACCCTAACTAAAATAACTAACCACATCTCCTCTTCCTCCTGTTTTGACTATCCCCTCTCCAGCTCATTATTTTTTTATCATAGCATGCATTATGAGGATTAGTATATTTTAATTTATCTAATTATTTTCTGAGTAAAATATAAGCTCCCTGATAGCAATAATTTAGCATATTTTATTTACTCCATAAAAATGGACTGAATAGGCTGGGCATGGTGGCTCAGGCCTGTAATCCCAGCAATTTGGGAGGCCGAGGCGGGCGGATCATGAGTTCAGGAGTTTGAGATCAGCCTGACCAACATGGTGAAACCCTGTCTCTACAAAAAATACAAAAATTAGCCAGGCATGGTGGTGTGTGCCTGTAATCCCAGCTACTCAGGAGGCTGAGACAGGAGAATCGCTTGAACCCGGGAGGTGGAGGTTGCAGTGAGCTGAGATCGTGCCTTTGCACTCCAGATTGCACCCCAGCCTGGGCAACAGGGAGAGATTCCGTCTCAAAAAAAAAAAAAAAAATGGGCTGAATAAATAAATTCTTTAAGGAATGAAAAAGATAAAATTCTGCTTCATTTTTAGACATTTGTTTAATTATTGGAGCAAAAGTTGGGTGGGGTTGGGGGGAGAGAAAAGAAAGAAACATTGAAGAAATCTGCTTCCCTGGAATTCTTTGCAAAAGACATTCTGACAATTCTTTGTCAAATGCCCATTGCTAACAATGCAGTTACTCAGGCATCATTCCTCATGGTCAGCATTCCACATGCAGTGAGAGGAGGGAGCCAGCCATTTTTGCTGACAACCAACTCCCTGCACAGACCCACTGCACTGTCTCCTGTCACCCAGGAGAATCCCTGCCCACAAATGACAGACCCGCAATTTCAGTCCAGAGACACGAGACAGGCAGGGAAGCTCTGTTTTGCTCCTTCAAAAGATAAGGGGTTGCTCTGAGTCTTCTGGTTTAAGATTTATGATTATAAATCTGATAAATAATCAGAGATAAATGTGGTTTGTTTTACTGTCTCTTGCCAAAGATTATGCCCTCCCAGACTTCCAAAATATCTGTAGGTTGCACCATGCTATCACTACAAGAATAGTGTAGAACTATGTGAAATGCCCACTGAAATCCCATGCCAGCATCCTCTTCTTCCTCTAGCTCCTCCTTCTCAGCCTCACTTCCTTTTTTCCTGAGGTAAAGCAGTAATGCATGCACCTACACATGCACACATACTTACACACACAGGAACACACACATACTGTCATTTTTTTGTGTGTGAGTAGTAGTTTTGGACATGCATTGCATGAGCAGTTTCAACTGTGAACTCTGACCTGCTTATCCAGGCAATGCATTCCAGGTTTCAGCAGAAAGGCTTTTTAATAAAACCATCATCTTAAGAAAGCAAGCGATGGTGTTTTATTCAAACATATCTAATTCTTAAAAGGTTACATAAATAACCTAAGACAAGATCACATTCAGTCCTGTTTTTCTTTCTGCTATTAGACTGTTTTTTTTTTTTTTGCTATTTTTTCCTTCTCATATGGGGTCATATCATTAGGAGAACCATGGATTAAAGCAGAAAATTTGGAAATGGGCCAAACATACTGAGTTTCCATTCCCATTTTCTAACCACTTCAGAGCAAGCAAGTGAACACATCATTTTAATGAAATGAATATTTGATCTCATAAGCTAAAAATTATTTGAATGTTTGATTTTAAAATATTTTCAAATCATAAAACTTTTTTAGTGATTCCACAGGCAAATTTGGTATTATGTCAAAAATACTGAGAAAATCCCCACCCTTCCTAATCATAGAATGTCAATACTTTCATTCCAATTTCCTGGACTAAACATGCTTGAACATTGAAGTACTCAAGAAAAATATAAAAGGTACCTAAGTTTTGGAAAAGGATGCCATACATGCAAGGTGCTTTAAGTATTTTTCTCATCTCATTCTTACAGTATTTCTATATGGGAAGATTATTACAACCAGTTTAAAAATGGGAGAAGAAAGATACCCCCTGGCAAGTGGAAAAGTTAATGGTTAAAAATGGGTCTGACCTCCACCTGTGTACCCAAGAAAAGAAACTCTATGGAGGTTCTGACTTGAAACTTCAAATACTTTATAATGTCTTGGTCTTTGGTTCTTTAGAATATGAGGTCTGGGAAGCAACATAAGAAATCTCTGTAGACAAAGTAAAATTTGAACTGGATCTCAATGGAGAAGTAATCTTATAACAAGGATAAAGAAAGATTAAAAAGGTAGAAGGGATGAGGGAAATATATACTGTAATGAGAGAAAGGAAATACATGTTTGGGCAGACAAAGCCTGGATCAATAAGAGCATATAATGTTGTAAAGCCATATATTATGACTGGAGATCATTGGTATTATTAGGAGGTAGAGGGTTCTGGCAAATAAGGCTATGAGGATTCTGCAGATATAGGAGAGACCCTGAAGATTTTGGGTAGGAGATCACATGAACAAAGCCAGGGATTAGAATTATTTATATGACAGTGGAGTATGAACAAATGATAAGGGAAAAAAATAGAGATAAACTGCAATTAGCAACCTGACTGATACAACACATTAGACCAGATGGTTGTAGTTAATGCAGCTTTATGGGAAAGGTCTAAACAATCATGAGTGGCATATTTTGCATATCACATAAAAATAATATGATGTGCCCTGAAGTCTTTGTTACCCTGGATGCATTCACTATTTTATTACTGTTTAGTGAGTACTTCCTCCATTGTTAAGAGTTTGGAATACATAATGGACACATATAGTCCCTGACCTCAAAGAGCTTAGTGTCTAAGAAGAGAGACAAACAACTAATCAGGGATTTGCAGTACACTGTGCTTATTGCCATAAAGGTGCCAAATACAGGGAGCCACTGGAACATGTAGAAATTCGTCAGAATTGCAGTTTTACTGCATCTTTGATCCTCAGGTTTTTGGAGACTGATTTGAACTACATGTTATATTTGATTTTAGTTTTCAAGTGCATGGTGAGTGAATAATCATGTGAAAAGAAATGTAATGCAAATGAGAAACAAAAGCAGAGATCTAGTTGCACTGGATAACCAAACACTCCAGAAGTTGAGTGACAACTTTGGAAAACAAGATAGGCCTGAACATAGGGTATAAAATCTTCCATGCTTCCAAACAGCAATTCTGGAGAAGCCTCTAGTAGTATCTAGATAATGAACCATTGCAGCTGTAATTTAGAAGCAAAAGCAATTATTGAAGGGTATGAATGTGAGGAGGCAGTTTTCATGGTGAATTAAAGTGCTTTGATAATGAAATAGTTATTTCAAGTTAAATTAACCATTAAAGCATTTCAGATTTTATATCTAAAGTTACAGTGAAAAATATAAAGATCTGCAGCTATATTTTTCTAGAATAAATATATTTGCTAGAAGCAAAAAGGAGGAGGTAGTATATGATCTGGCAAAAACAAAACGAAGACAAGATTGAATTGGACCATCAGAAATCTCATCTTGACTACAGCGATAGTCTAGGTGACCTTGGGAACTAATAATGATCTAATATTAGCTAACATCTATGCAGTTCCTTGTTGTTCTCTTTCTCTCCTTTCACACTCTGTTTATAACACATCTATTCACCAATATAATTGTCTACGCCCCAAGCCTCCCTTCTTGGTACATACCTGTTAAAATTGCTATGGAAAATAACTTAGTCAAATGCTTAAAAACATAGACTTTGGAGCTACAGGTTCCTGAATTCCAAAACATTCAGGATCTGAGGTGACTTTTTCTCTTTCATCTCTTGTAGTTGAAGTTTCTTCATTCATAAAGTGAGCATAACATTCTATTGCCTACTTAGTAGAGTGCTTTTGAGGATAAAGGTGATGCTGTATATGAGGTGCTTAATTAACACAGTCCTCAACATATGGTAAGGAATCAATTATGTTTATTACTATTAGGTATTAAGCCCTTAAAATTGATTTTTCAATTTAATGTCTCATATACATTTTCAGATGCACTGTTATCTATAATAAAGGGTAATAGAATGCCCCCTTCTATCTATAAAACTCTGCAACTCAATACTATGCTTATGCATTCAAGTCATTTAGCTCCTCTGAACTGAACAGGAAAATAGGGTGAGTTTTGCACTTGTACCCTGAAAATTCTCAAACTAGGACTACATGCACACCCACATACACACAAACACACATATCTTAAGACCATCATACCTCATGTAAGGTGAATGTGATGGCCACTTTTCATTTTTACATTTCATTCTCCCAGTTTATATGACTTGTTGATGGCTAATTGGTAAGAAATTTGAAGAACCCAGCACTGTCTAAAGATGGAAGCTAATCTCATGATTTGTGTAATATGACCTGCTTTGGAGCTAACAAGAGAGTCTGCTACTCAGTTTTCCCACCTTGTGTTTAACATAGTCCCACACATATCTTATGTAGAAGGAAATCATGGAGCAAGGAAGAATAGAAAAGGAAATTGCCACCTGAGTTATAGTATTGCATGTATTTATCTTTTTATCTCTTTTTATACAGTATCTTAGATGAAATGAGTATTAAGATTATAAGGTAGGAATATAGTTAACCAAGGAGGTGAAAGATCTCTATAAGGAGAACTACAAAACACTCCTGAAGGAAATTATAGAGGACACAAATAGAAAAATATCCCATTCTCATGAATTGGAAGAATCAATATTGTTAAAATGACCATACTGCCCAAAGCAATCTACAAATTGAATGCAATCTCTATCAAATTATCAATGTGATTTTTCACAGAATTAGAAAAAAGAATTCTAAAATTCATATGAAACCAAAAAGAGCCAGAGTAGCCAAAGCAAACCTAAGCAAAAAGAATAAAACATGAGGTGTCACATTACCTGACTTCAAATTATACTACAAGGCTATAGTAACAAAACGTCATGTTATTAATGTAAAAATAGATCAATGGAACAGAGTAGAGAACCCAGAAATGAAGCTACATACTACCACCAACTGATATTCAACAAAGTTAACAAAAATATGCACTGGGGATAGGGTACCATATTAAATAAATGGTGCTGGGAAAATTGGATATCCCTATGTAGAAAGATGAAACAGGAACCATAATTCTTATTACATACAAAAATTAACCAAGATAGATTGAAGACATAAATATAAGACCTCAAACTACAAAATTTTAGAGGAAAAATTCTTCTGGGTATTGGCCTAGGCAAAGAATTTATGACCAACTCCTCAAAAGTAAACATAACAAAAAAACAATAATATACAAATAGCACTTAATTAAACTTAAAAGCTACTGCATAGTAAAACAATCCACAGAGCAAACAGACAACCTATAGACTGGAAAAAATATTTGTTATCTATGTATCAAGCAAAGGGCTAATATGCAGAATCTTCAAGGAACTCAAACAGTTCAATGAGAAAAAAAAATAACGCCATTAAAAAGTGGACAAAAGACATGAACAGACATTTTCCAAAAGAAGGTATACAAGTGGCCAACAAACACATGAAAAAATACTTAACATTACTAATCATCAGAAAAATACAAATTAAAACCACAATGAGATACCATCTTACACCAGTCAGAATGGCTATTATTACAAACTCTAAAAACTACAGATGTTGTTGAGGATGAGGAGAAAAGCGACCACTGGACCACTGATACATTGTGTGTAGGAATGTGAATAGGTGAAACCTTTATGGGAAACTGTATGGAGAGTTCTCAAAAAACTAAAAATAGAAGTACCATTCAACCCAGCAGACCCACTACTGGCTACATTTCCAAAATGAAAGAAATCATTATATCCAAAAGATAACTGCACTCAAATGTTTATTCCAACACTGTTCACAATATCAAACAAAGGTATGGAATCAGTCTAAGTGTCTATCAGTGGAGGACTGGACAAAGAAAATGTGGTACACATATACAACAGAATACTATTCAGCCGTAAAAGAGAATTAAATCATGTCTTTTGCAGCAACATGGAGGAAACTGGAAGCCATTATCCTGAAATGATTCAGAAGCAGAAAGTTAAATTCTGCATGTTTTCACTTATAAGTGGGAGTTAAACATGGGTACATATAGACGTACAGAGTGGAATGACAGACACTAGAAACCACAAAAGGTGAGAGGGTAGGAGTAGGGTGATGGTTAAAAGATTACCTGTTGGATACAATGTTTATTATTTGTGTGATGGGTACACAAGAATTTCAGACTTCACCGTTATGCCTGTAAGACATCTGCAGTTGTACCCTCTAAATATATAAAAATAAACTTTTAAAAGATTATAAGAAAGTCTCAAGGAATATCAAAATAATTAATCTCACATAATAAAGAAGCATATATGTGCAATATCTGAGATGAGCTGTTTGCACATGCTGCCTTTTACAGCAAACATTATAATATTTTCATTAGAGATCAAAATAGCCTGTCATTCACTGAAAGAATATCATGAAAGTTTTATGTCTAATGAAAAGACTCAATGAATTCTTTCATTTTGTAACAGTAACAGATAAGAGTAGGACTAGCTATTTTCTAGTTCAAGGACAGATTTTTCTCGTAAAATGTTTAGATTCAGCAGTCTCCTTTGAGGTTGTAGTAGAATTCAAATTTGAAAGCAGTGACTCTTCATTTTTATGGGTTATCTACTTCTGTGAGTATATAATGAAAATTATGGATTCTTCTGTAGGAAGAATATACATATCCATATATATTCAAAATATTTCAGTTTAATATCCTTATTTCCCCCTTTTCTGAAATATTTTTATTGTTGAGAAGTCGTGAACCTCTTCTTTTTAGAATAATATTGTCTTTCAAAACTAAATAATTGTCCCAGGAAATCCAGAATTTCACTTTTCACGCTACTGCACAAAACAATCAAGAAAACTTGTATAATTGTAAAGATGATGAATTTTTAGAGGCAGACTTTATCTAGCTTACTAATTCAGAAGAGAATACAGCAAACTAAGTCATTTTGAAGGAAAAAGGTAGTTCAAGGAAAACTCCTTTTGTTTCCTTTTGAAGATGGACTTTATCCTTGTACAAACTTTTCAGAGGTAAGCCCAAGAGGCCAACGTAGAGTGAGAATAAATAAAAGTAATATGGAGGAACCACCTGCTCAATGCCATTGCTCTTTCAAGTACTTTGCATACATTATCACTTTTATCACCATCAGAATTATATGAGGTAGGTTCAAGTGTTAATACCATTTAAGGAAACTGAGATAGAGAAAATTCAAAGTCAAGTTGATAAAGTGGAATGGTTAATTTTAGCTGTCAGCTTGGCTAGGCTTTGGTGCCAGTTTTTGTTTTTTTTGTTTTTGCCAAACATCAGTCTAAATGTTGCTGTCAAGGTACTTTTTAGATATATTTCACATTTAAGTCAGTAGGCTCAGAAAAGCAGATTGCCCTCCACACTGTGGATAGCCCATGAGTTGAAGGCCTTCTGAGCAATGTTTGAGGTTCTCTGAAGTAATTCTTCTCAAGGCAGCAATATAGAAACCCTGACTAAGTATCAGCCTGCTCCTTTGCAGAATCTGGACTCAAAGCTGCAATATCAACTTTTACCTGAATTTCCAGCCTGCCAGCCTTCCCTATGGATTTCTGACTTGCCAGCTCCCACAACTGTGGAAGCGAATTCCTTTGAAAAATCTCTTTCCATGCAAAAGCTCCTAGTGGAAGGCCTGTTTTTTTCCAAGTAGTTTCCTCTCAGAAAAGAGATGCAGAGTTTTATTGGAAATGTAGAGTAATGTAATACCTCATCTGACTTTCTAAATGCAGGACCATGGCGTTAATTGGGATTGTTGACAAACAGGAGATGATAGATAATTATGAAAATTTAATTTAGGATTTCTCAAGTTTTATGTCTGAACAGAAAGCTCTGTAAATATATATCTTTCATTGTCCATAGTCAGAAAATGTTATTTTATGCCTTTGGGTTTAGGGTTTTTTTGTTTTGTTTTGTTTTTTACTATTTTCTAATAAAAATAAAACAGTACTAAGTCAACAAAAAGAATCTCTTTCTTCTTCTCCCTCTTTGTTTCTTTTCTTTTTCTATCTCGCTACCCACAGCTGTCTTCTCAGATGAGGATGGTGCCTAGAATTCAAGCCCTCAGCGCATGTGTTTGTGATGATTATTGTGGCAAGGGAGACTAACTGTCCAATTAAAATCTCTGCTTACCCTTCCATAGTTTATATAGTTGCCTCTGTCAAAAGGATTCCCAGTTAGGACCTTTATTTAGCAGCACATTTTTGCACACAGATGGGACAAGGTGACAATCTTGACCCAAAAATGTGAGGAGAGATGAGGAAAATTGACCAACAAGAGTTAAAAAATAGAAGGAACTTCACGTTGCCTTCCAACTTCTGTTTGATGGCTTCAGAGGACCCCAAGCGAATGGTGAGAACACAAAATTAAAGGGTGTTGTGTCTTATTTATTTTTTTTAAGACAGGGTCTTACTCTGTCACTGAGGTTGGAGTGCCATGGCACGATCACGGCTCACTGCAGCCTTGACTTCCCAGGACTTAGGTGATCCTCCCACCTCAGCTTCCTGAGTAGCTGGGACTACAGGCATGCACCAACATACCCAGCTAATTTTTGTACTTTTGTTTGTAGAGATGGGGTTTCACGATGTTGCCCAGGCTGGTCTTGATCTCCTGGGCTCAAGAGATCCCCCTGCCTTAGCCTCACAAGTGCTGGGATTACAGGCATGAACCACTATGCCTGGCCATGTCTTTGAATTTTTATAGGGAGAAGATAATGGTACCAGAAATGCCTATCTTGGACAGTAATATTAACAAGAAATAAATATTCAAGGAATTAAGCAGCTGAAATTTTGGTGTTTATTTGTCAGACTTGCCAACTTAATCTCAACTAAAATAACGATAATGATAAAGATTATCATAACATAATATTTTCCCAAGCACGAAAATTTATTAAGTAGTAGAGTCACTATCAAAACCTACGTATATCTAGACCTAGATCTAACATGCCCTATCTATTCATCTATCAACTTTCAGTTTTTCCTGCAGTAAAAAACAACCGTAATATTCCATTGTTTTAAAAAATATATTTCTTGTTCATCTACACAGAACTAGCAATCTACAGTTCGATTAGACTGGTCATAGTTTTTCACGGCTTCTGGGAAATGTTGGCCTTAGCTCGATGCATCTTCTCATTTCAGAAACAAGACTAAAACGGTAGCTCCTCTCTGAGGCATGGTTTTCTCATGATGAAGTTCAAGAACAAGTACATTTGAAGTTTTGACTTACATGTGGTATATAGTATATGTGTTCACATTTTAGTTTCCAAAGGAGATCACAGGTCCAAGCCAAAAGGCATTAGGGCAGAAAAGTATATTCTGTGTATAGGAAAATATGGCAAGTATAGGGAAAAAATAAAGTTATGACCCAATATTACAATCTACTACATTTTGGGGCATGGTTTTCTGTTTTGTTGTTTTTTTGTTTGTTTTTGAGATGGAGTCTCGCTCTGCTGCCCAGGCTGGAGTACAGTGGTGTGATCTCGGCTCATTGCAAGTTCCACCGCTGGGGTTCACACCATTCTCCTGCCTCAGCCTCCTGAGTAGCTGGGACTACAGGCGCCCACCACCAGCCCCGGCTAATTTTTTTGTATTTTTAGTAGAGACAGGGTTTCACCGTGTTAGCCAGGATGGTGGGGCATGTGTTTTTTACATTACAACATTCTATCAATAGCAATATAGTTTGAATGTTTGTCCCATCCAAATCTCATGTTGAGGTATAATCAGCAATATTGGGGGTGGGACGTGGTGAGGAGTGTGCAGGTCCTGGGGGCAGATCTCTCATGAATGGCCTGGTGCTATCCTCATGATAATGAGTGAGTTTTCACTCTGATAGTTTATGCGAGAGCTGGTGACTTAAGAGCCTGGGACCTCCCACTTCTCTCTCTTGTTTGCACTCACAATGTGATGTGCCTGCTCCCACTTCACCTTCCCCCATGAGTAAAAGCTCCTTGAGTCCCCACCAGAAGCTGAACGGATACCTGAACCATGCTTCTTGTACAGCCTGCAGAACCCTGAGCCAATTAAAACTCTTTTATTCATATGTTACCCAGTCTCAGATATTCCTTTATAGTAACACAAAATTGTTAAGGAAAGAGATTTTGCACATCATCGTATATTCCTTCTAAAATTACTTAACAAATTGAGTAATCAATTGACTTCACAAAAAGGCAACCTAGGCCCTAAATATGGGCCTTCTGTAGGGAAGACTCATATTGAAGACAACATTTAAAAGTGGAATATTGGAAAGAATACACGGTAGTTTCAAGCAGGTATCTGAGCCCTCATAATAAAAATGTATTTGTTTTTCTACATGTGTAAAACATTCATAAAAATAATCAAACTCTAAATTTGTGCAATTCCACAGGTGGTCAAATTTACTTACTGAAGATTCCCTGAGTAGATATGAGTAATACAGGTACTGTACTGATTTTTTTTTAACGGAGGTATTTGTACTAATCACCCTCAATGTACCTATAACCTTCAACAAATACTTTCCTCCTATTTTTTCTTCTTATAACATGTGGCTTGAGGAATACAAATACCTTCTTGGAAAACTACTTGTTGAGTATGGCCACCCATGTTTGAAGTCAGTCATGTAATTTAATTTATCTAGCTGTTTTCAAATCATCTAATTGTTTGATGAAATCAATCTAATGTCTACTTTGCTTTCTCTTTAAGCTGGAATTATGGGTGTGCACAATATCCTCAGCCCCAAGTTTCACTTACTCGTGTAAGTTAAATAAAATGTTTCATCTAAACAATTATGTTAGCCTAATGATGGCCAATTGGGTAAATTTCCCACTTTTCACTCAGACACTCAGATGTTTTGGTCTTTTATAGAAGACATTGTATAAAGATAAATTGGCCCAGAAATGAACTAGAGAATTTAGTATGTTGAGAATAAATAGCTTGGGACCAGTGCCATGGCTCATGCCGGTAATCCCAGCGATTTGGGAGGCTGAGACAGTTGGATCACCTGAGGTCAAGAGTTCGAGACCAGCCTGTCCAACACGGAGAAACCCCGTCTCTACTAAAAATACAAAAAACAGCCGGGCGTCTTGGTAGGCGCCTGTAATCCCAGCTACTCGGTAGGCTGAGGCAGGAGGATTGCTTGAACCCAAGAGGCTGAGGTTGCAGTGAGCTGAGATCACGCCAATGCACTCCAGCCTGGGTGACAGAGCGATTCTCAAAGAAAGAAAAAAAAGAAAAGAGAAAAAAGAAAAAAAAGAATAAGCAGTTCAAATATTTTTAATTTTTTCATTTGCATTAATGATGGGCAGGGGTATACAGTCTCTGCATTAAGTTTAAAAAGTTGTATACAGACTTCGTTCTATTTATCCTCACATCAACACATTAATGTAGGTGCTATAATCCCAACCTATCCATGCGTGAGGCTCACACGTATTAAATGATGGTAATACCTGTATGTATCAAAGCACAGTCGTTCATTTCTTCCTAGATATACCAGAGTTTCCTTTATTTCATAGAATAAATGATACTGATTTATGTGAATCCCTTAAGTACTACATTAGGTTATTAGTTTGTGATTAGATGCATAATAATAATGATTTAAAATGTTATTAAAAATAAATAATTATCAAATAGACATGATCTTTACCCCCTGACAGTTGATTGGATAATCTCTGTGCCATCAGGATGGATATATTTCTCCTGGTATGTCAAACAATTCAGACATCATTGAAATCCTGGCAGCCACAGTTATTACTGACTAAAAATAAAATATTTACATTGTCATTCAAAATATATACGCTGCAGCATTTGTCTTAAGGCCAATGACTTAAAGAGAGATTAACCAATTTGGTCTGCTTCTAAGAAGAAAAATCAGTTGACCTCAATCTGGAATTTTATTCTTACAGTAAACTTTAGGATAAAATGGGTGAAGTACCATCTTCTTCATGTTTTGTAAGTTGGAGTATGCTGCAAGGAATTAATTTTAGAAGAATGTAAGGCAATAAGCTCTTATGACTTCACCATTTTTATTTATAAACAAAGATTACAAAATTTTTCAATGCTCAGCAGTTGTGTGAAAGGAAACAAATATTTGAAAGGAAGAAAACAAGATTTAAATAAATATTATATTCTAAATAATAATTAGTAAAATAATTGATGTAATTTTAACCACATAATCAAGTCCATACTATGTTTAATTGTGAAAAAATAGAAAGATACTAAATATCTGTAAACAGGAAACAGTTACTCAAATTATGACACACCAATACAATTTAACATTAGGTAGCTACCAATACAATGTACCTTTTTGGTACAACCTACTATGTAAATAGTGCAATTCCAACTATGAAAATATAGAGGAAATAATGGAAAAAAAAATAAAACGTACAATATTAACATTACATACTTTCAAGAAATAGGAACATTTAATTTTCCTTTTATTTAAAAATTTCTAATATAATAGTAGATAGTAAGCATGGTTCTAAGCATGTTCTGAATGTTAATTCATTTGATCTTCCAAAACACTATATGGTAGATGAAGTCTCCATTAGTTTTTGATTTCTGTGTAATAAGTTACTGCAAAGTTAGCAGCTTAAGAGAACATACACTTGTAATAGCACAGTTTTTGTTGGTCAGGAGTCCAGGCATGGCTTAGCTGGATTTTATGCTCAGGGTCTCATAAAGTGGTAATTACACTTTAACAAAGCTGCATTCTCATCTAGGGGCTCAACAAGGGAAGAATCTGCTTCCAAGTTCATTCAGATTGTAGGCAGAATTCATTTCCTGTGGCTTTATGACTGAAGGCTCTGGCTTCCACTGGTGGTCAGTCGGAGGCTACCCTCAGCTCTTTCTGGCCACCTGCAGTTCCCTGCCACATGGTCTTCTCCATAGGCCATTCACAACACAGCTGTTTGCATTCCTAAGCTCAGTAGGGAATCTTTCTTAAACTATAGTTTTAGACAGAGATCTATATAATGTAATGTAGTCATGGAAATGGCATTCCATTCCTGTATTAGTCTGTTCTAGCACTGCTATAAAGAAATACCTGAGACTGGGTAATTTATAAAGAAAGCAGGTTTAACTGGCTCACGATTCTGCAGGCTGTGCAGAAAGCATGGCTGGGGAGGCCTTGGGAAACTTACAATTATGGTGGAAGGCAATGAAGAAGCCCGCACGAGTTACACAGCCAGAGCAGGAGCGAGAGAGGGTGGGAGGAGGTGCCACACAAATTTAAACTACCAGATCTCATGAGAACTCATTATCATGATGACAGAACCAAGGGGGATGGTGTTAAATCATGAGAAACTGCCCCCATGATCCAATCACCTCCCACCAGGCCGCACCTCCAACACTGAGGATTACAACTGAACATGAGATTTGGGTGGGGACACGGATCCAAACTATATCAATTCCCTTTGCCATATAATGTAGCATAATCAATGGAATGACATCCCATCATTTTAATATATTCCAATGATTAGAAACAATTCATAAATTCAGCCTGAACTCAAGGGTTGGAACTCCTACAAGGCCATGACTCATAATGGGTCGCCATCATTTGTATCTTCTGTACACTATTTTTATTATCATTTTACAGATAAGTGAATCAGGGCTCAGAGAGATTTAGTATTCTGCCTATAGTCCAAAGTTAACAACTGAAAAAGTTGTGATTTGCATTCAAACAATATGAATTTAGAGTCCTTGCTCTTAACCACTGTGGTGTGTGTCTTGGAGTAATCCTTTTGTTAACATTTAATATGTATTCCATTTATATCTATGGAGTGGCTCAAATGTGTTAGATATTATCATAAATATTGAAAATACCATTGCAGAAGAGATACAATCCTTGTCCTCTGAGAGTCTGTCATCTAGTGGGAATATGTTATACCCAGGTAAGCAACAAATATAGTATATAGACAATGACTGAAGAAGTGTGGGGTTCTGTGGAAGCCCAGGGGAGGGGCATGTAACCTAGAGTTGTAGACTCAAAGGAGAGTTCCAGGAAAACATGCATGCAAGCTCTGGCCAGAAGGATGGATAGAAAGTAAAAGGGAGAATGGGAAATGAGTGAAGGTAGCAGGTAGATGCAGTGTTTCTGGTGACGAGAAAACAATGCTAGAGGTCCTTTGGTGAGGGGGAACTCCAGACTGTCATGAAATTAAAAGTGTTTCCACAGATTTATCCAAACAGTGTGAAGCACTTATGAGAAGGGTATAGTTGCAAAATGCAAAACTCCTAAATTAGGAAGGGGCTTCTTATGGGATTGGGGTTTATATTTAGACAATAAGAAATCGCTGAAGCAAAATTTTATCAACTGCATAAGCATTTTATGGACAAACACAGAAGGATAACTGAAGGCTGCAATGCCAGCTAGAATATGGTTGTAATAATCCAGGTAAGAGAGAACAATGGCTCGGACCAGGTTAATGAGATCCGGGAAGGACAAAAGTAAATACATGAAGGGATTAACTTTGTGCTTATTTCCTCTTATATTTTTGGGTATATTTTGCTATTTATTTCAATAAGAATACCTCAATTTTAACATCAATAATATATTCATTTAAGAAAAAGTAAATAAAGCAGATATCCTCACCAAATGTGATGCCTGCATTAGTCTGTTCTCCCACTGCTATAAAGAACTACCCAAGGCTGCATAATTTAAATAGAAAAGAGGTTTAATTGACTCACAGTTCCACAGGCTGTGCAAGAAGCATGGCTAGAGAGGCCTCAAAAAACTTACAGTCATGGTGGAAGGTGAAGGGGAAGCCAGCATGTCTTACCTTCGTGGAGCAGGAGAGAGAGAGAGAAGGGGTTGTTCTCTACACTTTTAAACAACCAGATCTCATGAGAAGTCACTCACTATCACAAAAACACCAATGGGGAAATCTGCCCCATGATCCAATCACCTCCCACCAGGTCCTTCCCCTAACACTGGTAATTACAATTCAACATGATATTTGGGTGGGGACACAGAGCTAAATCATATCATTTCATCCCAGCCACTCCTAAATCTCATGTCCTTCTCATATTTCAAAACATAATCATGCCCTCATAACAGTCCCCCAAAGTCTTAACTCATTCCAATATTAACTCAAAAGTCGAAGTCCAAAGTCTCACTGAGACAACGCAAGTCCCTCCCACTTATGAGCCTGTAAAATCAAAAACAAGTTAATTACTTCCATGATGCAATGGAAGCACAGGCATTGGTAAATGCTCCCATTTCAAATGGGAGAAATTGGCCAACACAAAGGGGCATCAGGCCCCATGCAAGTTGGAAACCCAGCAGGACAGTCATTAAATCTTAAATCTCCAAAATAATCTCCTTTGACTCCATGGTTCACGTCCAGGCTATGCTGATGTGAGGGGTGGGCTCCAAAGTCCTTGGGAAGCTCTGCTCCTGTGGCTTTTCAGAGTACAGCCCCCACAGCTGCTTTCACAGTCTGGCATTGAGTGCCTGTGGCTTTTACAGGCACAGGGTGCAAGGTGGTCTGTGGTCTGGAGGATGATGGCCCTCTTCTTACAGCTCTACTAGGCAGCGTTCCAGCAGGGAGTCAGTGTAGGGGCTCGAACCTCACATTTTCCTGTTGCACTGCCCTAGTAGAGATTTTCCAGAAGGGCTCCACCCCTACATCAGACATCTGCCTGAACATCCAGGTGTTTCCATACAGTCTCTGAAATCCAGGCAGAAGCTCCCTAATTTCAGCTACTACCTTCTGTGCACCCACAGGACCAAGACCACATGTAATCCACTGAGGCTTGGGGCTTGCACCCTCTAAAGCAATGGCCCAAGGTGCCCACCTTGGCCTCCCGAAATGCTGGTATTACAGGCCACCACACCCAGCCCCAATTTTCTATATTAGTTTATTCTCACTCTGCTATAAAGAACTATGTGAGACTGGGTAATTTGTGAAGGAAAGAGATTTAATTGACTCACAGTTCCACAGGCTATAGAGGAAGCATGGCTGGGAGGCCTCAGGAAACTTAAAATTGTGGCAGGAAGCTAAGGGAAAGTGAGAACATCTTACCATGGTGAAGCAGGAGAGACAGAGTAAAGGGGAAAGGGCTACACACCTTTAAGCAACGAGATCTCATGAGAACTCACTCATTATCATGAGAACAGCAATGGGGAAATCTGCCTACATGATCTAATAACCTCCCACCAGCTCCATCCCCCAACATTTTTGGATACAATTCAACATGAAATTTGAGTGTGGGCACAAAACCAAACCATATCAATGCCCTATCAGTTTTCCTATTAAAGCTATGTTCATTTACTCAGAGAAATAATTTTTTACCAGCTGATAACCTACACACTTACACATCTTTTCCTACCTTTTCTCCTGAAGAGCTTAGAATTTCATAATGAAAATCTGTTTCACTGATTCTAGTGGTCTTTCTGCCTGATGTATCCATCCAGAATTTGCTTTCTATCTTATAAAAAAAATTGGAAAAACATTCGACATGGATAGGAAGAATCAGTATCTTGAAAATGGCCATACTGCCCAAAGTAATATATAGATTCAATGCTATCCCCATCAAGTTACCTCTGGCTTTCTTTACATAATTGGGAAAAAAACACTTTAAATTCTATATGGAACCAAAAAAAAAAAGCCTACATAGCCAAGGCAATACTAAGCAAATAGAATAAAGATGGAAGGATCATGCTACCTGACTTCAAACTATACTGCAAGGCTACAGTAACCAAAACAGCATGGTACTGATATCAAAACAGATATATAGACCAATGGAGAAGAAAGGAGTCCTCAGAAATAACACCACACATCTACAACCATATGATCTTTGACACAGTTGACAAAAACAAGCAACGGGGAAAAGATTTCCTATTTAATATATGATACTGCAAAAACTGGCTAGCCATATGCAGAAAACTGAAATTGGACCCCTTCCTCAAACCTTATACAAAAATTAACTCAAGATGGATTAAAGATTTAAACGTAAGACCTAAAACCATAAAAACTCTACCAGAAAACCTAGGCAATACCATTCAGGATATAGGCATGAGCAAAGACTTCATGACTATAACATCAAAAGCAATGGCAATAAAAGCCAAAATTGACAAATGAGATCTAATTAAATTAACGAGCTTCTGCACAGCGAAAGAAACTATCACCAGAGTGAACAGGCAACCTACAGAATGGGAGAAAATGTTTGCAATCTATCCATCTGACAAAGGACTAATATCCAGAATCTACAAAGAACTTAAACAAATTTACAAGAAATAAAACAAACCCTATCAAAAAGTGGGTGAAGGATATGAACAGACACTTCTCAAAAGAAGACATTTATGCAGCCAACAAACATATTTTAAAAAGATCATCATCACTGGTCATTAGAGAAATGCAAATCAAAACCACAATAAGATACCATCTCACACCAGTTAGAATGGTGATCATTAAAAAGTCAGGAAACGACAGATGCTGGAGAGGTTGAGGAGAAATAGGAATGGTTTTACACTGTTGGTGGGAGTTTAAATTAGTACAACCATTGTGGAAGACAGTGTGGCAATTCCTCAAGGATCTAGAACTAGAAATACCATTTGACCCAGCAATCCCATTACTGCATATATACCCAAAGGATTATAAATCATTCCACTATTAAGACACACGCACATGTATGTTTGTTCCAGCACTGTTCACAATAGCAAAGACTTGGAACCAACCCAAATACCCATCAATGATAGACTGGATAAAGAAAATGTGGCACTTTTACCCCATGGAATACTATGCAGCCATAAAAAGGATGAGTTCACGTCCTTTGCATAAAGGGACATGGATGAAGCTGGAAACCATCATTCTCAGCAAACTAACACAAGAACAGAAAACCATACACCACATGTTTTCACTCATAAGTGGGAGTTGAACCATGAGAACACATGGCCATTGGGAGTGGAATATCACACACCGGGGCCTGTAGGGGGCTTGGGGACTAGGGGAGGGATACCATTAGGAGAAATACCTAATGTAGATGACGGGTTGATGGGTGCAGCAAACTGCCATGGCACATGTATACCAATGTAATAAACCTGCACGTTCTGCACATGTACCCCAGAACTTAAAGTATAGTAGTAATAATAATAATAATAATAATAAAGAAAAGTGAATGTCCCAAGATCATATCTGGTTTATCAGGGCCATACACTATGTGAATGCTAAGCTTTTACCAGAAACAGGTTGCAGAGCTTATTTTTCAACAAACAAGGATGTCGTGGCACATAAAAAGAATTGGTAAACAACTTTCTATGTGTCTCAGGATTGTCTTCTCTCCAACAGGTCAAAGAACTATGGTGTAAAAAGCCAGGCAGAAAATTTGCAGCCTTAACTTTGGGAGCATCTGCCACATTGCCATCACCTCTAAAGCTCTGTTGGACAGCCTTGGTGTATACATCTTCCCCAAGTTTTACAATAACATGGCTAAATTAAATTCCTTGTCCCTAATACCACTAAGATGTAGGTGTGCTTGGAACCCCTTATCTGTCTGAAAAACTGTGCTCTGTCCATCATGCTGTCTCTAAGATCAGGCTGTTATGCGGAAGCATTTTGGGAGGTATAGTTGCATGAATAGTGGCCACCCAAAGATATCAAGTCCTAATCCTTGGAACTTGTAAATGCTGCCTTATTTGGGAAAGGGATCATTGCAGATATAATTAAGTTATGGATCTTGAGATATTTCCTTTGATTATGTAGATGGACCTGAATAACACCAAAAGTATCCTTATAAAAGAGAAACAAAAGGGTATAAAACAGACACTCAGGGAAGAAGGTGATGTAAAGATGAATGACAGAGAAAAGCATTCACAAGCCAAGGAATGCTGACAGCTGACACAAGTTGGAAGAGGCAAGGACTGGATTCATCCCTGGAGCTTTCAGAGTGTGTGCAGCACTGCTGACACCCTCATTTTATACTCTAGCCTCTACAACTGTAAAATAATAAGTTTCTGTTGTTTTAAGTCACAGAGAATGATAATTCGTTATGGCAACCCTAGAAAAGTAATACAGGAAGGATAGAATAAGGTTAGGGCATGTTGTTGTAAATTAGAAAAGAGCTTCATTTTCTAAATGGACAGTGCTCCATAGACAACCTCATGGACCAGGAAACACCTGAGCTGTGCTTCAGACTCCATTTATTACCTCTTCAAAATTTTGTGGAGTAAACAGCCTGCACAACTGTACATGACGACTCTGGGAATGGAAGAGAGACAAGCCTCTGGGTTTACAGAAAGTCAGGAACTCAACAAAGAGAAAGAATGCCAAAGTGAGAGTCCTGTGGTATGAAAACACATAATTACTGCTCTCTTTTCAGAATGCTTCTTAAACATTCTTCATGTGATTTATCTCTGTGCTTTCACAATATCTCTGTGAGAAGGCATTAGACCCGTTGCCTCTAAACTCTACTGGGTGTTTTCTGATGGTTAAGTACCAAATTTTCGTCTCCTCTGTTTTCTTGTTTCCTATCATCATTGGGATGACTAAGCAGAATCATTTTATTGTATAGAGAGTTTAATTAGGCAATTCTTTCAGGAAGTCTATCAAGTCTAAATTGATTAAGACTGCTTTCAGAATGATATTAAATTGGGATAATGGTTTAAATTGGTTATTGATGAGGGAAGATTTGATTGTGACTAGCTTAATTCCCTCTGCATGACAGCATAAAGCTTTCCTGGGTCAGTGTTAAGTTCCCCAGATAATTTTAAAAATATTTATCTATATTAGGCATGAAAATCAGCAATTAAGATAATGATTAACCAAGGTGAGGCAAAAATTTAGCCAAACCATTAGGAGTGTAAATTCTGTAGAGGAGACACACTCTAAGGGACAAGGTGACTTTCTAACACTGAGTGTGAAATTCGTGCTAATTCTGGACTTCTATTATGTACACTAAAGATCAGAGATAGGCATATGTGGGGTGAGTGACAACTTTCAAGTTTGAGTCCTGCCAGCAACAGAGTTAGGCGCTTGATACTCTCTCCCTTCAATTACCAGACTGCTCTGAGCAGAAGCTATCACCGTCCTCATTTAAGAAGACTGAGATATCAAACAATTCATCCAAAATCACACAATGAGGGAGGGGAGAAGAGATTTTAATAATTACAAGGAGATTTTAATAATATAGATTGTTGAATTTCTCAAATCACTCCCATCTAATCACATTTATCACCCCATTTATTTGCTATTCACTGATGCTCTGGAAAAAGCTGGCACAACTTTTTATCAGAGTCTAGGTTTCTAAGGTAAGACCACCCAGGTTGAAACACTGTTCTGTTACCCCTTAACTGAGCCTTAGTTTCCTTATTTGTAAAGGGGACTGTGGAGCCATTGGGCAAGCTCAGGAAAAGTGCTTATGAAGGGGCTTGCTATATACTAAATGCTCAATACATGCTAGTGGTTAATACAAACCATCATTATTTCAAGATATTTTATGGCGGAGAAACAGGGGATTGGGCAAGGCCTTTGATAACAAAGGCCTGAGGCAAGACTTCATTCTCTCCCTAACTCCCACCCCAGCTTATCCTAATTACCCACCTCCCTTGTGTCTGTCTCACAATTCATATGCTTTATTTAGTTTTTCCTTTTCCCCATACTTGCAGGAGCATGTGCTTGTCAACTTGAACATCAATAACCTTAAGTTTTGACTTTGCCTCTTTGTACCTGTGTGGATTTCAGCAAGTTTTCTAACTATCCAGATCTAAGTTCTCTTGTTTTTCAAAATTAGGACAGTAACTTCATTCCAGCATTATTATGGAGGTGAACAATTGCTAATGCTATCTAAAAATTATTGAAAGTTTATTTGTATCAAGCAGTGGTAAAATACTATATAAATATACCTCCTTCGTTTTTCACAGTCATGTCCAGGATTTTTTCTAATATTTTGTACAGATGAGTAAACTGAGGTGTAATGGCTGAACATGGATGAGATTGAATATGAAAAAGTTATTCAAAACTCAATAACAAAAAGGAGTGACTTAACAAAACAAACATGAATTAATTTCCTTTAGAGGACCTGTAAAATTGCTATGGTTAGGTACAATGCTTAAAGGAATTGAGTTATTTAAATTGGGATTTAAAGGACCTTGAAGACTTTGATGAGCCAAGGTAGCTGACAGTGCACATTTTATATAACTACATTATCACACATCTTTTTGCATCCTGTAATACTTCCGGAAAAAGAAAAGTGACTTAAAATTAATAAATGCATTTTAAGTGGGTATTTATTATTTTCTGTAAAAATGTCTATGATCAAACAATAATTTTGTTTTGTTTTGATTCATTTTTTAAAATAATTAATGTTGCCTAGAATTAGGAAGACTGAAATTATTCATGTTTACTGTATACATCTCCGAGGAGATATTTACCTCAATTTGCTTCCAATAATCAAAAACAGTCCCTGCTTTGAATCAATTAAAGAACCAGAATTGCATTTCTGTGCATGTAAAAATACACTGGGTTTGGTATCAGGAGAGCTGGCAGAATTCTAATTCTCTGTTTTCTACTCATTAGTGATATAACTAAGGTCAAGTATTGAACCATTTGGGCATCAGATTCGTCAGCTATGAAACCAGGATAATTTTCCTGTCCAACTCATAGGATTGATTTCAGGTTTGATAATGTGACATTTTGAATATTCCCTATTAAGTATCTTTTATATTTTTCCAAATTGTCTTTATGACTATCAAAAACATTTAATTCATTCTTTCTCTTTGCTTCTCAGGCCATGGGCACCATGTACCTGTTGAATTAACACAAGATTGAATAGTTATCTTAGTAAAATCATTTGAAAAAGTGTAAAATGAAAAAAAAATAACCACATGAGTTATTGTTGCTCAATCAAATAGTTGATCACTTGAAACCTAAGAACCATCTAAATTTCATTCCTGTATTATCTCAATACGTACTTATCTCTTATTATGTGGCCACACTATATTAGAAGACTAGGGATATGGCAATGAGTAAGACAGACACAAGCCCTACCCACAATGCCTTATAATGTTGAAAGGTTTTCAAGCATTTGTGTACACTTAAACAGAGGCAGTAGCAGGCTAAGTGTGTGTGTGTGCACACGTGGGGAATTACATTTTCTTTTAAAAATATACTTTGTAAACAAGTAAATTAGTCTGATTATTCAGGTTAACTTATCACAGTTTTCAAGTAAGCACGAATAGTCATAGAATTAGAGAAACTATGTTTCAAAACTTCGATAAAACTCATTTTGTTTTCTGACATTGGTTATTGTAACATTTCGGCAAAAAGAAATAAAATAATGAATTAAATTCACTGATCTTTAAAATGATGTCTTTTATTTTGAAAACTGGCATAACTAAATTAATATATTTTATTTTAAATACACTTTCATATTACTTTTTCATAGAAATTTGCCATAAAATAGAGAAATAAGGCATCTAGGCCGGGCATGGTGGCTCACGCCTATAAAACCAGCACTTTTGGGAGGCCGAGGCTGGCAGATCACGAGGTCAGGAGACCGAGACCATCCTGGACAACATGGTGAAACCCAATCTCTACTAAAAAATACAAAAATTAGCTGGGCATGGTGGCACATGCCTGTAATCTCACCTACTCGGGAGGCTGAGGCAGGAGAATCGCTTGAACCAGGGAGTGGGAGGTTGCAGTGAGCCAAGATCGCCCCACTGCACTCCAGCCTGGTGTCAGTGTGAGACTCTGTCTCAAAAAAAATGAAAGAAAGAAAAGAAAGAAAGAAAGAAAGAAAGAAAGAAAGAAGGAAAGAAAGAAAGAAAGAAAGAAGGAAGGAAGGAAGGAAGGAAGGAAGGAAGGAAGGAAGGAAGGAAGGAAGGAAAGAAAGAAAGAAAGAAAGAAAGAAAGAAAGAAAGAAAGAAAGAAAAGCCATGAAGAACCATAGCAAGACTTTCCCTCAAAATTAATAATAAAGCTCTCTAGATTCCAGTAGCATTCTAATAAGTAGATGGATGTCTAAAAGGACAAATTAATCTGTAAGAGCTACCTGCATGTGCACAAAATTCTGTCAAATATTTGAATAATTATCTAGATATCATTGTGGTAGTAGTCTTTCCAGAACTCCAAATGAGATGACAAAAAGATTGCCTCTGAAGGGATATGTTTATTTTCAAATTAATAAGGAACATCAGAAGAGAGGTTTCCATGCTCCATGTATTAAAAGAGACTGATTTCTTTTCTAATATAGTATAGCTAATATCTTAATTATTCTGGATTTATTTGTGATAAATTTAACAAACCAAAATAATATGCCAAATTCATTATCTTGTTAAATATTTGTTAAATATATGTTAAATAATATTTTTTTTCTTTTTTTAACTTTTAAAGTTGGGGGTACTTGTCAAGGTTTGTTATTTAGATAAACTTGTGTCACGGGAGTTTGTTGTGTACATTATTTCATTATCCAGGTATTAAGCCTAGTACACAATAGTTACGTTTTCTGCTCCTCTCCCTTCTCCCATCCTCCACCCTCAAGTAGATCCCAGTCTCTGTTTTCTTGTCTTTGTGTTCATAAGTTCTTATCATTTAGCTCCTACTTATACATGAGAACATGTGATATTTGGTGTTTTGTTCCTGCGTTAGTTTGCTAATGATAGTAGCCTCCAGGTTCATTCATGTTCCCACAAAAGACACAAGTTCATTCTTTTTTATGGCTGCATAGTATTCCATAGTGTATAAACACCATATTTTCTCTATCCCATTTGTCATTGATGGGCATCTAGGTTGATTCCATGTCTTTGCTACTGTGAATAGTGCTACAATGAACATTCATGTGCATGTGTCTTTATGGTAAAATGATTTATATTCCTTTGGGTGTATAGTGAGTAATGGGATTGCTGGGTCAGCTAAAAGCTTGACTATCATTTGAGGAATTGCCATACTGCTTTCCACAATGGTTGAACTAATTTACACTCACATCAATGGTGTATAAACGTTCCTTTTTCTCCATAACATCAACAGCATCTGTATTTCTGGGCTTTTATTAATGACATTGTAAGTGGTGTAAGTTGGAATCTCACTGTGGTTTTGATTAGCATTTCCCTAATGATCAGTGATATTGAGCTTTTTTTCATTTGCTTGTTGGCCGCATGTACGTCTTCTTTTGAGAAGTGTCTGTTCATGTCCTTTGCCTACACTGTGATGGGTTATTTTTCTCTTGTAAATTTGTTACAGTTCCTTATAGAGCCTGGATATTAGATCTTTAATAGATTCATAGTTGCAAATATTTTCTTTCATTCTATAGGTTGTCTGTTTACTCTGTTGATAGTTTCTCCTGCTATGCAGAAGGTCTTAAGCTAAATTAGATCCCATTCATGAATTTTTGCTTTTGTTGCAATTGCTTTTGATGTTTTCGTCATGAAATCTTTTGCCGTGCCATGACGTTTTCATCATGAAATCTATATCCTGTCTTCTATGTTTTTTATAGTTTTAGGTTATACATTTAAGCCTTTAATCCTTCTTGGTTAATTGTTGTATAAGGTGTAAGGAGGGGGTCCAGTTTCAATTTTCTGTATATGGCTAGCCAGTTCTCTCAGCATCACTTATTAAATAGGGAATCTTTTCCCCATTGCCTGTCTTTGTCAGGTTTGTCAAAGATCAGATGGTTATAGATGTGAGGTCTTATTTCTCAGTTCTCTATTCTGTTCCCCTGGTCTATGTGTCTGTTTTTGTACCAGTACTATGCTGTTTTGTTTACTGTAGCCCTCAGTATATTAGTTTAAAGTTGGGTAATGTGATGCCTCCAGCTTTGTTCTTTTAGCTTAGGATTGCCTTGGCTATTTGGATTCTTCTTTGATTCCACATGAATTTTAAAATACTTTTTTTCTAGTTCTGTGAAGAATCTCAATGTAAGTTGACAGGAATAGCATTGAATTTGTTCATTGCTTTGGGCAATATGGGCATCTTAGTGATGTTGATTCATGGGAGGTTTTTCCATTTGTTTGTGTCTCTCTGATTTCTTTCCGCAGGGCATTGTAATATCACTGTAGAGATCTTTTACCCCCCTAGTTAGGTGTATTCCTAGGTATTTTGTTTTTTATGGCAATTTTGAATGTGATTTCATATCTGATTTGGCTCTCAGCTTGGCTGTTTGTTGTTGGTGTATAGGAATGCTAGTGATTTATGCACATTGATTTTGTACCCTGAAACTTTGCTGAAGTTGCTTATCAACTAAAAGAACTTTTGGGCTGAGACTATAGGGTTTTCTAGACATAGAATCATGTTCTATGCCAACAGGGATACTTTGAATGCCTCTCTTCCTATTTGGATGCCCTTTATTTCTTTTTCTTGCCTGATCGCTCTGGCTAGACCTTCCAATACTATGTGGAATAGGAGTGGTTAGAGAAGGCATCTTTGTCTTGTGCTGGTTTTCAAGCGGAATGCTTCCAGCTTTTGCCCATTCAATATGAATTTGGCTTTGGGTTTTTCATAGACAGCTTTTATTATTTTGTGTATGTTCCTTAAATACCTAGTATATTGGGAGTTTTTAACATGAAGATGTGTTGAATTTTATTGAATGCCTTTTCTACATCTGAGATAATCCTGTGGTTTTTGTCTTTAGATCTCTTTATGTAATGAATCACATTTATTGAATGGTATATGTTGAACCAACTTTTCGTCTGAGGGATGAAGCCTACTTGCTGTGGTGGATTCGCTTTTTGATGGGCTGCTGGATTCAGTTTGCATGCACTTTGTTGAGGCTTTTTGCATCCATATTTATCAAGGACATTAGCTTGAAGTTTTCTGTTGTTGTTGTTGTGTCTCAGCAATGTTTTTGTATCAGGATGATGCTGGCCTCATAGAATGAGTTGGGGAAGATTCTGTCCTTCTCAGTTTTTTGAAATGGTTTCAATAGGAATGGTACCAGCTATTCTTTGTACATCTGGTAGAATTCAGGTATGAACCCATAGGTCCCGGGTTTTGTTCTCTTGGTGGTGGTGGTGGTAGGCTATATATTGCTGATTGAATTTTTGACCTTGTTATTGGTTTGTTCAGAGAATCAATTTCTTCCTGGCTGTCTTGGGAGGATAAATGTGTCCAGGAATTTATTCATCTCTTCTAAGGTTTTCTAGTTTGTCTGTATGGAGGTTTTTGTAGTAGTTTCTAATGGTTATTTTTGTTTCTGTGGGGGCAGTGGTAACATCCTCCTTGTCATTTCTAATTGTGTTTATCTCAGTCTTCTCTCCTCTCTTCATTATTATTCTAGCTAGTGGCCAATCTTATTAATTTTTTCAAAAAAACAACTTATGGATATGTTAATCTTTTGAACGGTTTTATGTTTCTTGATTTCCTTCAGTTGAGCACTGATTTTGGTTATTTCTTGTCCTCTGCTAGCTTTCGGGTTTATTTGCTCTTGCTTCTCTAATTCTTTCAGTTGTAATGTTAGGCTGTTCATTTGAGATCTTTGTAACTCTTTGATGTGGACATTTAGTGCTATGAATTTCACTATTAACACTGCCTTAGCTGTGTCCCAGAGATTCACTCATGTTGTATCTTTATTCTCATTAGTTTCAAATAAGTTCTTGACTTTTGCCTTAATTTCATTATCCAAAAGTCGTTCAGGAGCATGTTGTTTAATTTCCATGTAATTGCCTGAGTTTGAGGTATTTTTTTAGTCTTGACTTCTATTTTTATTGTGCTGTGTCCCAAGAGTGTGTTTGGTAGGATTTCAGTTCTTTTGCATTTGCTGAAGATTGTTTTATGTCCAATTGGACATTTTGTGGTCAATTTTAGAGTATGTGTCCTGTGGCAAAAAAAATGATGTCTATTCTTTGTTTTCAAGTGGAGAGTTCTATAGAGGTCTATCAGATCTATTTGGCTCAATGTTGAGTTCAGGTCCTGAATATCTTTGTTGATTTCCTGCCTTGATGATCTGTCTAATACTTTCAGTGGAATATTGAAGTCTCCCACTATTATTGTGTGGGAGTCTAAGACCTTTTGCAGGTGTCTAAGAACTTGCATTATGAATCTAGATGCTCCTGTGTTGGGTGCATACATATTTAAAAGTTAAGCCTTGTTGCTGTGTTAATTATGTTAATTATGGTAATTATTACATAATTGCCATTATGTAATATCTTCTTTGTCCTTTTTTTATCTTTATTGGTTTAAAATCTGTTTTGTCTGAAATTAGGATTGTAATTTCTGCTTTTTTTTCCTGATTTCCATTTGCTTGGTAGATTTTCCATTATCCCTTACTTTTAGTCTATAGGTGCCATTACCTGTGAGGTGGGTCTCTTGTAGACAGCATATCATTAGCTCCTGCTTTTTTGTCTAGCTTACCACTCTGTGCTTTTTAAGTGGATCATTTATCCCATTTACATTCAAGTTTAGTATTGAAATATGTGGATTTGATCCTGTCATTGTATTGTTAGCTGGTTATTGCAATGACTTGTTTGTCTGGTTGCTTTATAGTGTCACCGGTCTTCATATGTAAATGTGTTTTTGTATTGGCTGATAGCATTCTTCCTTCTATATTTAATGCTCCTTTCAAGATCTCTTGTAAGGCAGGTCTGGTGGAATGAATTCCCTCAACATTTGCTTATCTGAAAATGATCTTATCTCTCCTTCACTTAGGAAACTTAGTTTGGCTGGATATAAAATTCTTGGTTGGAGATATTTTTCTTTAATAATATTGAATATAGGTTCCCCAACTCTTCTAGCTTGTAGGGTTTCAGCTGAGATGTCTTCTCTTAGCCTGATGGGGTTCCCTTTGTAGGTGACCTGCCCTTTCTCTCTAGCTGCCTTTAGTGTTCTTTCTTTAATTTCAACCTTGGAAAATCTGATGATTATATTTCTGGGGAATGATCTTCTTGTGTAGAATCTAGCAGGAGTTCTCTGTATTTCCCAAATTTCACTGTTGGCCTTTCTAGCAAGGTTAGGGAAGTTTTCACAGATTATATTCTAAAATATGTTTTCTATGTTGCTGGCTTTCTCCTCTTCCTTTTCAGAGATGCTGATGATTCATAGATTTGGCTTCTTTATATAATTCCATACATCTTGGAGGTTTTGTTCATTCTGTTTTCTTTATTTTTGTCTGACTGTCTTCTTTTTTTTTTTTTTTTGTGACAGAGTCTCATCTGTTGCCCAGGCTGGAGTGCAGTAGCACAATCTCAGCTCACTGCAACCTCCGCCTCCCAGGTTCAAGTGATTTCTGGCTAATTTTTGTTATTTTCAATAGAGACGGGGTTTCACCATGTTTGCCAGGCTGGTCTCAAACTCCTGACCTCAAGTGATCAGCCCCCCTCAGCCTCCCAAAGTGCTAGGATTACAAGCATGAGCCACTGCTCCCGTCAATGACTGTCTGTTTTTAGGGAGCCAGTCTTCATGTCCTAAGATTTGTTCTTTAGCTTGATCTATTCTGCTGTTAATAGTTGTGATTGCATTTGAAATTTGTACATTGTGTTATTCAGTTCCATCAAATCCATTAGGTTCTTTTTTATACTGGCTATTCCATCCTTCAGCTCCTGTACCATTTCATTGTGATTCTTATTTTCCTTGGATTGGGTTTTGCTGTCCCCCTGAATCTTGATGATCTTTGTTCCTATCCATATTCTGAATCCTATTCCTGTCAGCCAGCTCTGCCTGGTTAAGAACTCTTGTTGGAGGACCTATTTGAGTTATTAGAGTTCTTGCGTTGGTTCTTTCTCATCTCTGCATGTGGGTGTTCCTTTACATGAAGTGTAGATTGAGTGCAGTCAGTAGACTTATTTTCTGGATGTTTTCACTAGGCCAGGGCTTTGTGCAGTCTTTATTGGAAGCTGGTTTCTTGTCTCTGGTTTCAGAAGTGGGGTATGTTAGCAAGATATTTTTGATGTTGAAGCTTTGGGGTGTGATCCAGTAGGTGGCACTTAAATGATTCTTTTAACATAGCTGAAGAGGTATATGTTCAATCCACCTTCCCAAAAGAAATGAAGAAATTGTCTCTTAAAACAAGGTGGCAGGGCCAGATCAAACATAACTTTTATATCAAGTATTGGCTCAAAAAGAAAAAGTATATACCATGTAAAATAAAAAAGTGGAAACAACATGAGTCACAAAAATTTGAAATGAAAGGATGGGTTAAGACATAGAAGATAACATAATATAAAGACTACAGGAGGCTTGGGCAGAAACACAATGGTTTTATGAGATAAAAACATTTTTTTTTACATCTACTTGCCAGTTGAAGCAGACAAAGAAAAATAACAATATAGAGAACATGCTTGTGAGTAGCCATAAAAATATTTTTAATGATCATATAATAGACAAAAATAAAACCATTTTTATAAAATTTTAACTAGTGGAATTAGTCCATGTCGGATGCTTTGACACAGACTAATTTCTGATTTTAACTTTACCCCCCTATGCAAGCCAAATAATCTCTTTGTGTTTCAGTGTTCTTCTTGCAAAATGGAAATAGTAATGTTACCTACCTTATTTATTGTAAGAGTTTATTTATTGTAAGTAGTCAATGTTCTAGATCTTTCACTTAGTATTAACACTTACAAGACTTAAATACTTACAAGTATTTATTTAAATGCCAGCTACTACTACTTCTAGTTTTCTTATTCTCAAATACCTATTTCTCTGTTTCATATATCTCTTTTTTGCAATCATTTTCTTTATTTTCCTTTGCTTCTGCATTCAAGTGACCAAGAATATGAATTTATCTCACAGTGACTAGCACTTTTCCCCTACAGCACTTATGCCATATGTAATTATACATGTATTTGTCTATTTGTCTGTTGAATAACTGTCTTCATCATTAGATTGTAAGCTCATTAAGGACAGGGTGCATACCTGATTTGGTTATTAGTCTAAGCCTACTAAAATGCTTGGCCCATATAAAATGTTAATTATTATTTGTGGAAGCAATGAGAGAAAAGTTAACAGAAGATACTTGATAAACATGTGTTCATTGAACACATTACCAAAAAAAAAGGGAAGAAGAAGGAGACAAAACTGTGGAAAATGTTATATAACCAAGGAAATAATGCAGGAAATGAAGAGAAAAATTATTCAGAAAATTGAAAGTACAAGGAAAAGAAAGATTTGTTCAATCTAATGTTTTTCTTAGCTTCATTTCTCTTGCAGAAAAATGTCTAAGAAGTATATATTTTAATTAAGAATGAAATGTGTATCTCATTACCAAGACACTTCAAGTTAGCACAAATATTCCTTTCATAACGATGGTAGAAAAATAACCTCATGTATAAAATAATATTTCATGCTTCATGTGGAAGATTCAGCAAAGACATTCACTGGAGACTAGTCCTCTAATTCATGCTCGTATCTAAAGAGGAATTACTCTGATTTCTGCAAGAAATTGGATTGGGTCAAAAAGGTTAGGCAAGGTTATAGAGCATTCAAGTATTTAAGTTGCTAGGAACTCTCTATGAGACATCAGAAAAAGTAGGGAGCATATGTTGATAGGATTCTGTTTTCCAGAGGAAGAGAGAAAGAAGAAGGGAAGGCAAAAAAGAATTATTATTTTTGTCTCATAAAACATCATCTGCTCAGTAAGCAGGAACTGTGAAGCTCCCTGTGGAGTGCACAGGTCAGGATTTCTCTCATCCTGCTTAAGGAAAGTTGTATAGGGAGAATGTTTTCTAAACAAACACATTTCATTTTTCTCACTTAAGAGATTCCTGCTTGAAAACTGCTTGAAAACAGGAAGCACCGGGAAGTTAAAAGGAAATAAAATTCTTGAAAGATTTCTAGGGGCTTCTTGAAAATTCACGTACTTCAGGGCATTCCAGGAAAAATGAGCCTCCAGCATGAAATACAGATCTCAGTGGAAGGAAATGAATGCATTTGAAACAACAGAGCCCACTTTTCCAATGGTCCATCCTAAGAGAGTTAAGCTAGGGATGTTCTAGAGACTTGCTTTCCCCTATCAGTCACTCATTGAGGTCAGAAGAAATTCAGGAGTGGTAAAAGAGAGTTCAACAAACAATATGCATTAATAGCATCTCAAAAAAAGTAGAAAAAATATTGTCTTCCATTTTAGAATATTAAGGAAATAATTCTTGTAAACTCATTAAATGTCAATCACAATAAGCAGAGTAAGCAATAGTGGAATGGGAAGGAGAGGGAACTTCAGACAGAGAGCATTTGGACATTCTGCCTTCCAGAGAAAAAGAACCAGAGCCAAAGCTACCATCTTGTATTTATGACAAATTTAGTTACAGATATAATTGGCTTTTATTTGTGATTCATGAACTAAGGCAACCTCCAGTCTACAAAAAAGAATGAGTATTCCCACTGGGCAATACCAGAACAGTGGGTTTTGTAAATGGGAAACCAAGAAACAGAACAATAGGAAAAACAAAACCAACCAACCAAACAAACAAAATGAATAAATTGGTTAACATCAGGTTACTTCCAGTTACATTTTTCAAGGGTTAAAGCACAGGGCACATCCTAATTACTCTGACTCAGGAAGATGCAATCTTCCGTTTTCAGGAAAAAAAAAAAAAAAAAAAAAAAAAGACAGTCCTAAGATCGATCTGCTTGCTTTGTGGTATTTAGCATGAGTGACTCCATTTTGGCTTTGTCTGGTCTGTTGGGGCCTAGTGCAGTAGCTCAGTCCAACACAATGGTCTCACATAATTTTTGTTTAATACCTCATAATGCAATTTGACCTCTTCCTATCAACTTCTAAGAATATAGACATTTGAATTTTGCAATTGCCTATAAAATAAGAAATTTGAAGAACAAAGTTCAGATTTATAGTGTAAGGAAAGGGAAAAGAAGGACGTTATTCATATGAGATTATTTATTACTATTATTTTATTTTTACTATTAATAATAACAAACGGTTTTTAATTTTCCAAAGGGAAAGTTCTACTTAGGGAAGACCAGATTTGATTTAAATGGATTGAAAACAGAAAGTATAATAATATTAATTTCAATACATATTTGATAAATTCCAAGGACTCTTTTCTTTCTGTTTCTGGACTAATGGAGGGATTTTGGCTTTATGAGTCCTGAGCTTCTAAAGCAATAGAAGTAAAACTGCAAGATGAAACCAAAGGAGCACAGTGATTGACAATGTGGCTTAGGGGTGCCATGGGGTGTGAGTCACAGCATTGCCTTCCCAGATTGACTTACTTTCTAGTAAAATGGCAGCAACTTTAAACTTCATCTTGCTTGCCTGGTGAAAAGTATTCCCTCCAAATAGTTTATTTTTATACCTTTTTTGGTACAATAATGTACCACCTATTTAAACCTAGAAAACTTTAAAGTACTAAGAAATACAATCACCTGGCCGGGTGCGGTGGCTCACGCCTGTAATCCCAGCACTTTGGGAGGCCGAGGCGGGCGGATCACGAGGTCAGGAGATCGAGACCATCCCGGCTAAAACGGTGAAACCCCGTCTCTACTAAAAATACAAAAAATTAGCCGGGCGTAGTGGCGGGCGCCTGTAGTCCCAGCTACTTGGGAGGCTGAGGCAGGAGAATGGCGTGAACCCGGGAGGCGGAGCTTGCAGTGAGCCGAGATCCCGCCACTGCACTCCAGCCTGGGCTACAGAGCAAGACTCCGTCTCAAAAAAAAAAAAAAAAAAGAAATACAATCACCTTCAGTAATTCATGAAAAAACCCTACAATTTATGTAAATAGACATGAAAAATTATGTAGACATTACAGATCATAACCATTGGAACATCATGCCAACTGACAATTATATCAGATATTTCAGGTATTGACTGTTAATTATATTAAAAATGACAGACTCTTTCTCTTAAACTCCAATAAGCTCACCAAAGACTTAGCTAGTTTTCTGGTTCTCCTGGAAGATAAAGAAGACTCTGACCTCTGCCCTCACTGAGATGATGGTCTTTTCATAAAAATCCATTACTTTAAAGAAAATCTGTTTGGTTCTTCACTCTGTTTAATTTTGTCATTTTAAAAGGATCTTTGCCATGGAAGGCAAGCTAGTAGAGTACTGCTTTTTAGTGGGGGGGTGGGGGTGGGCAGTTTATGAACTCCAGATAAGAACACCTTGATACCTTTACTAACTATATACACTAGATAGGAGAGTGACCTGTAGGGTCTTCCACAGAGGTAATGGTGACCTTCTTAAGGGCTAGAATGTTATATATTTAACAAATGTGTGAGCAATTGCCATCTGGCAAACATCATTCTGGTCTTGTGACTGCTACAAAGATGATACAGAACAGAAGCCTTGTTTAGAAGCTTATCATCTGGCAATGGAGATGAAATATGTACATAAATAACTGCAGTGATAGTCAGAAGCAATATACAACCACCCTAAACAAACCCGATGCGAGAATACAAATCACAGCATAATGAATTCCATTAGAGAGTAGATCATCTACAGAAGTTAAAACACAGACCGTTTCTTCTTCCTGGGAAATTGGGGATGTTTTTATGAAGAACAAGGCAAATTCTAAATGGAAAGACAGAATGTAAATTTGTGAAGTAAAGGACATGTTGGATATAAACAAGAACTTGGGCAAAAGAGATAGGCAAGAAATTACAGGACCTTTAAAGAAAATAAGAAATAGCCTATTTCTAGGGTTCCTAGGGTCACAGGAAATATCCTCGATAACGGCAGTAGAATTGAAGAATTATGGAACAGGATCATGAGCTAAAGAAAGGTGACAGTATTTTGTTTTACCTGATTCTTCATTTACCTACCCCCTCTGTATTTATTTATTTATCTATTTCCATTTTGTATGTAATGTAAACAACCAAAGGGACCTCACATTTTGATTCTTCCACATATCAGTGGGCATAAGACACTAGTGACCAGCTTTTGAGAAACAGCGATGGTAAATCTGCGGTAATCATTGTGTCTTTCTCAGAGTTAATCATACCACTACAGTATTACTCTGCAATCATTTAGCCACAGTAAGAAAATTCATTTTAGACAACGGATTTTCTAATTATTATTTTTTAATTTCTTTTGTTGAATGACTGGGGACTAGGGAGCCATTATTATATATATGCCTTTCAAAGTCAAACCTGGCTAAAGCTCTGAGTCTTTTTCAAACAACTTTATTAAATATTGTCAACACAAACACAGATAAAGTTGGGTTGTTCTGCAAGTTGATTTTCCTTTTCTTCAAATTAAATGATTATTTTAAACTGCAGAAAGAAGACAATCTTTTTTGTGAATGTGAGAGCTATTGATGTTCAGAAAGTATACTTTGACCATGGGTTTAAAAATCATTAAATCAAACACTAACATGCAGACAATTTAGACCAAATGTAACATAAAGTATATAATATCTTTTCAAAATAAGGAAGAGAGATATTGTTACTGAGAATAAACAGTAAAGAAAGGAGAATCGGTAACTGAAAATTTAAACTTTTAAGGATGAAGAGGGTGAGCCATCTGGATTTAATCAGCATAAATCTATAGCTTGCATTAGCTCCACAATTAAGACACTCATAAAAATCCACTGTGTGAGTAAGAGCTTTCCTGAATCATAATTTAACCATGATACTCTATCAAATGACTGTTTCATGCTTCAATTTAAAACCACAAAGAAAATGCATGAAACAAGTGAGTACTGAAAGGGAGAAAATATTTACCAATTGGTTAATTTTCTTCTTGTTAATAAAACTGATAAAAATAATTCTTTTAATGATGTTTACTATTCTAATTTTAATGTTTAGTGTCATTATTTATCAATGACGTACAATAGTATTTACTACTACTAACATAGTAAAATAGATTTATTCTACATTTAATAAGACAAAATGAAAGATATTTTATAATTTAGAGAAAGCAATTATAATATTTTAGAAGAAGGAACTGTAATAGCACCATAGTAATAATGTGTGGGGAACTACGGATGCTAGGTCCAGTGAGCTTGAAGTTTAGGAGACAATTTGCCATGAATTTAAATCGCTGTTTCATTTTGTTGCATTTTACATGTTTTAAAAATAAATTTCTGAAAAGATAGAAGATGCAAAGTTAACTGAAAAGCATAAAGTCTTGGAAAATCGTTAAATTGGAAAATGGTGGATCTCAAAGTCAGAGCTCTCAACACTTGAACAGTGGTATAGTGGGATCAAGTGAAAGTATCTATTGCACTTTTTTTTTCTTTTAAAACAGAAAGAAGAGTTCTAGGAAAGGAGACAGAAGTTGGGATCTGGAGCTCAGCAGAAACAGGAAATTCAGTCAGTAGACATTCAAAGAAATCTTGAAGAAGGGAATGAGATTTTCCATATTTCATGAGATGATGCCATGATCCAATTTTATTTCAATCCCTTTAAGTTAAATAACTTCAGTGGACATCTGGTTTACCAAGTAGCACGCCTGGGCGGACACTCAGCCCATAAAGCTTTGAGTGTGAAAAGAACCAAGAAGCTATGAAGATATGGATGAGACCAGAGCTGAAGTTGGTATAGTAAGAGCTCCACAGAGACTGGTTCAGCTGGATAGAGACAACTATCTGTGTCTATGACATAGGTAAGCAAATGATTTTCTGTAAGTAGAGCTTAGAATTGTGACACTGATAGGCTTGGAGAAGCATGAGACTATCAGAAAACTAGTAAAGAACAGGAGCCAAAGAAGATTTATCATAGAATAGTCAGAATGTAGTATACTCCTGATGAGATGGGAATAATTAAGCACCATCATCTACATGGTTGGGTAAAAGAAGGCTTTTAAACAGAATGATTCTGCAGAACACTGGCCTATAAGAATACGTTTTTCTCAGGTTCTACATTCAAATCAGCTTTGAAAGTGTTGCGGAATTCTGCCACATTCCTGTGTAGCCTCAGAGTTCATATTGACACAATAAATTCCAGAGTAAATGAGCACTGAAAAAGCAACTATTTTTAACCCGTTTACCTTTATTTAACACGGTGTTAAACCCTCCTGCAAGGGACATAGTTTATTCTCCAACAAAAGTGTGATAAAAGTTGGAAAATAGCAGTGTTTACAGGGCATGCCTAAAAGACAATGTTCAAAGATTTAAACTGATGCTGAGCTAAGTTCTTGTGATTTTTCTGAACAACAAATTGCTTTTTCTGGAAACATAATTTTTTGTGTGTTTGGTAATATTTTTTTTCCTGAACTGACATTGAATTTTTGACAAGAATGGGGGGCAAGTCAGATAACAGATGCTGCCGAATAAGGATCAAATATGGAATAGAATATAAATCTGCTTCCTTTGACATTTCCTCTTATTCTTTTGGGTGTAAGAAGGAAAATCAAGATGAATCGTGGCAGAAACTGGACTGAGGGGATTTTCTTTTTGCAAATGCATAGATATAAGACTTCTTATGACAGCCATTAATTGTTATTCTAAGAAGAAAAGATAACTTATAGTGTATACAAATGATAGAATAATACTGGGCAATAAAAAGAAACAAACTACTGACCCATGGCACAATAGGCCTGAATTCTGTACATGATTAGAAAAATAAAACAGACACAGACTATATACTTGTACTGTGTGTATCTATTCACATGAACATTACAGGCAAAAACTTGTATTGAAGAAAGATCAGAAAAGTATTTACTTCAGGAGATTTGTCGACTGCAAAGGGGCACAATAGAACTTTCTTGGAACATGGAAATGTTCGATATCATGACAATGGCATAGGTTATACTGAAGTATGCATTTGTCAAAACCCACCTAACTGCAATAATTAAGATATATATACAGGTATATTTTACCTTACTCATTACAAAGGGAGTATAACCAAATTTTAAATTCTAGTTAGTAGATTTTGTTTTTACAATGATATTGGTTAGAAATGCAGAAATGATTTTTTTGAGAATTTTTGGCTTGAGAAATGTGTAAAATAATATTAAATATAATGAGAGCTAAGTTTCTCACTGTTGGATAAAGAAGTTCCATGTATACATACACACACACACACACACACACACATACATTATGTATATACACACACATATGTATATAAACACACACACACACACACACACACACACACACACACATATATATATATCTCACTGAATATACCCTGGAGTATCAGATTGAAGTTGAAAGTCCCAGAATGAACTCATGTTTTACAAACACACACATAAAATGTATATGCACATATATATGTGTATACATGCAAACACATATATATGTATATGCATATACACAGATAAATATAATTAAATTAATCATTTTATGTTTCTGCATAAACATGTAAACATATAACAGAGAAAGAGATAGAAATAAGAAAATATTTTAATATGTGCATATATGCATATATTTATATACACATGAGTGTGTGTATTTGCATGTGTATTCCAGCTCTGTATGTTGAGGGGGAATAGAGCCATTGGCAAGTCATTAATAATGTGAAAAACTAGTGCTCAAATCTTGGTTTATAATCCCCCTCTCCAGTGACAAGAACTATAGATCCTTGGAGAAAAAGTTAAATCCAAGATTGAGGCAAGGTGTCTGAGCATCTTACTAGACCAGAAATTAAGAAAGTACTTATGCATGATGAGAGTCTACCAATAAGACACAGGAACTATGAACACTTAGGGAGCTCTTGGCCAAAACTGGAAAAACTTGAGAATCAAAATAATGTCAGCAATGTATTATAGCTCATTGAATAAAATAAAAATCCTCAGGCCTATAGTAAATAAATAAATAATTAAACAGTAATACATAAATACACAAAGATGAAAGCTCTTCCTTACAGGGAATATCAAATAAAAAATACAGAAGGAATGATGAAGGTAGAAAATTATTACTAGATGCAAAAACTAGTGAGTGAATTTTTAATGTGTTACAAGACATTTACATAATACCATGACATCTCCTCACAAGTTTCCTATCAGATACAAAGGAAAAACTGGAAAACTTAGGATGAAATACAGTAAAAATTTCCACTATTGGGAAAAACCAATATGTTGTGATATACTGAGAAGGACATATCACTTTTTATACTTCGAAAAAATGTCTAAATAAATCTTAACCCAGATTGAAGGGAATTCTACAAAAGAACTGGCATGTACACTTCAGAACTGTCAAGATCAAAAAAGACACAAAAGAAAACCAAAGAAAAATGACATGTAAACCAGTGAAAGATTCTGCATTGAATCCTGGAATATATAGCTTTAACGAATATTATTGGGGCAGTTAATGAAATTTGAATATGGACTATATAGTTTTATCTGAAGTCAATCATCCATTTTTTCCACAATAAGACTGATAACAAATATTTTAGACCTTCTAGGACGTATAGTATCTTTTGCAATGACTCAACCCTGCTCTGTAGCAAGAAAGCAGCATAAACATTGTGTAAATAAAGGAGTGTGACTGTGTCCAAATGAAATTTCATTTATAAAAATAAGTGGCATGGTAATACAGTCCTGACTGATATATAAAGGAATATTTTCCCCTGTTTTTCTGCCTTTTCTGATTTTAATTGAACATTTTATATGATTCTATTTTATCTTCTCTCTTAGCATATTGTATTTCTTCCTAAATACTTTCTACTGGTTGTCCTAGAAGTTTAAATACACATTTTAAACAAATCAAATTACCTTCAAATAACTCTAGACCATTTCTCCTTCCCATATTTATGCCATTGTTGTCATTCATTTTACCTATCCATATGAAGTCATCAGCCAGTACACTGTTACTATTATTACTTTAAATAGTTTTCTTATAGATGAAGTAAACATAAAAAAGTATTTATTTTAATATTGATTTCTTCACCCATGATCTTTCTTCCTTTATATAGATACAACTTTCTGACCTTTAATATATTTCTTCTATCTAAAAAACTTTTAGATATATTTTCTTAAAATATAGATCTGCAGGTCTAATGAATTCTTTCCACTTTTTAGTTTTTAATCAGATAACATTTATTTCTCTCACTTTTGAAGGATAATTTCACTGGATGCAAAATTCAAGGCTGTGTTTTTGCTTTTTTTTAACTTTACATACAATCATATGTTTCTTAAAAACAGCAATACATTCTAAGAAATGTGTCATTGGGTGAGTTCTTTCTTGTGCAAACATCATAGGGTGTACTTAACTAAACCTCATTGGTATAGCCTACTACACACCTAGACTATTTGGTGTAGCCTGTTTCTCCTAGGCTATAAACCTGTACAGCATGTTACTGTACTGAGTACCCTAAGCAGTTATAACACAATGGTGTTTGTGTATCTAAACCCTTATACATACAAAAGGTACAGTAAAAATACAGTATTATAATCTTATGGGAATGCCATGATATATGCATGCAGTCTGTTCTTGTCTAGAATATTGTTATGTGGTGCATGACTATATTTAACTCTGTTCTTTTCTTATTTGCATGATTTCCGACAAGAAATCTGCCCTAATTCTCATCCTTGTTCATCTATAGGTGAGGTATTTTCCCCGACCTCTGGTCTCTTTCATTATGGTCTTTGGCTCTGGCTTTCAGTGGATTGAATATGATATGCCTAGAAATAAATTTGTTTTTCTTTTTGTTTTTTTTTTGTCTTCATGGAGGAAATATGTATTCTGCTGATCTCTGAGCTTCCTAGATTGTACTTGTTGTCTGTTATTAGTGTTGTAAGATGTTTGGCCATGCTTTAAGTTTTTTTGACTCTATTATTTTTTTCTAGAATTCCAATTATGCATGTGCTAGACCTTTTGTATCATCCTATAATTCTTCAATTCTTGGATGTTCTTTTTGATGACTTTTCCTCCTTTTGTTTTCCCTCCATTTTGTTTTGAAAGGTTTGTATTGATCTAACTTCAAACTCAGTGATCCTCCCTCAATCATGTTTAGTTCTTGATGAGTATATTTAAGGCATTCTTCATTCATTAGTGCTTTTGATTTCTATCATTTAAAACAATTATTTCAATTTCTGGCTCTCTGCTTACGTAACACATCTGTTCTTGCACTTATCTAGTTTTTAAAATTAGAGCTCTTGACTTATTAATTACATCTATGTTTCCTATCAGATGATTTGGATATCTCTGTCATAAGTGAGTCTGTTTATAATGCTTTCTTGGCTTAAGAATATTTTTGGGGGTGGGAATAGAGCACTGCTATGTCTTGTAATGTTTTATTGAAAGCCAGGCAGCTATTGTTTACAGAAATTAAGGTAAATACAATTTTATTGTGGACATGTTTGTTAATTTGGGTAGGAGTTGTGCAGTGTTTAAGGACTGCTGCACCTGTAGGGACAAGAAGCTTCAGTTTACTTTTGTGTGGTGTCTTTTTTTTTTCTCTTTGTTCCTCCCTTGTTTTCTTCAGGTTTCCCTAAGAATGTCTCCTTAAATAGAGTCTGGGTCTTGAAGCGTGTTAATTTGTAATCCACTGTTATATTTGAGCCTTGTTGTGGTGGTGTTAAGGTATGAGGGAGAACAAATGTTCTATAATCTTGTGATTAAATTACATTCTTTTACTGGGCCTATGTCTAGGGACTGTGAACTTCACAGATGTTTCTCCAATAATATATTCCCCTGCCACTCCCTTGCCCTCATGCCTCTTTTGGTGAGATAGGAAGGCTACAGGGGGCGAGAATGGGAGGCATGCCTTTTCCTCAGGTGAAATAAGTTTGGTAAACTATTTCCCTGGAGAGTAGGCCTTTGGCTTGGAGAAAACACTGAGTGTTTCACGTTATTACTCTTACTCTACCTCTGCCAGAGACATGAGGGGATTTTATTGGCTCTTTACAGTGAGAACTTGGAGAGATACTTAAAAGTTAAAACCACAAAAAGTAAGAGGGCATCTCTAAAACTATGACTTTCAGGAGTTTCTCACTGTCATGTTAGTACATACAGAGCCTCCAACAATCTGTCAAAATTGTGATCTAACTATTCCTAAAAGTTCGTGACTTCAGTAGCTTCTGCTCCAGGTAAGCCAATCTCTACTACAACTATCTGAATTCTACTGTCTCCTCAGATTGTTTTCTGTTTTTCTTGTTATAAAGACAGAAGTGAAAACTACATGTCAGAGGTGTATTAAGTACTATTTCATTTGGGTCTTTGAGTTAACTATCTTTATGGGTCCCTTTCAATTCTTACATCTTAAAACGTAAGTAAAATATATACTCATTTTGAGGAAGGGAGATTCTTCACTGAAATAACACTGTAAAATATGTTCAAACTTTATAATAAATGAATGAGCCTTTCAAAGGGTCTGAGTTTTCTAGAAGTGCTTTAGCTCTAGTTCATTCTTATGGTGAAAGCTTACCTTCTGGAGTTTTCATACACATTAGCAAAACCCATTTATCTAATGCTATCCTGGGTAATGCTTAACAAGTTTATGATGGCTTATTTCAAATAAATTTAATAACTCTGACTGAAAAAAAGCATAATTTTAAAGAAAACTCAGAATAATATTTGTTTGTCATAACTCCAAGAACCCAAGACTTAAAGAGAGATAATAACGCTTTGGTAACACTCACTTGTATCCCCAAATTTACTAATTCATTTTCTTTCTCTTTTTTCCTTTTCCCTTCTCTTTTCTTACTTTCCCCATCCTTTTTAAATTTTTTGATTGATTCCTTTTATTCTGTTTTACCTCCTGATATGGTTTGACTGGGTCCCCACCCAAATCTCATCTTGAATTCTCACATGTTGTAGGAGGGACCCCATGGGAGGTAACTGAATCATGGGGCAGGTCTTTCCTGTGCTGTTCTTGTGACACTGAATAAGTCTCACAAGATCTGATGGTATTATAAGGGGGGGTTTCCCTGCACAAGCTCTCTCTTCGCCTGCCACCATCCACATAAGATGTGACTTGCTTCTCTTTGCCTTCCGCCATGATTGTGAGGCCTCCCCAGCCACGTGGAACTGTAAGTTCATGAAACCTCTTGTTTTGTAAATTGCCCAGTTTCAGATGTCTTTATCAGCAGTGTAAAATTGGATTAATATACCTTCTCTCAATTTTAATTAGTTTTACTTTTAAATTGTTATAGTGTTACTGTTTTTCTCTCCCACCTATACTTTTAATGTCTTAAAAGCCAGGAAAGACCCCCTTATATGCACTCTTCCACACAGCAGTGATATTGATGCCTTAAATATTTATGGAACTTCATTTATGGAAAACAGAAGAAAGAAAATGTGGATTTCTAACAGCTCTTTAGGAGACTACTTCCTTTATTCACAGAAAGTAAAGGCATTAATAACTTTTCAGCCTTTGTGTGGCTAATTTTTTAGTTTTTTTGCAGTTTATTCAGGGAAAAGTTACTATTAAAAAAACAGATCAAAATCTGTTTTGTTATTCAGCTGTGGGGTTGAGGTTTAAATTTGCTACTTTCTGGAATGTACTTGAGTGGAAAGCCAAGGTATAGCTTGGTATCTCAAAGTTAATGCAACCTCATTTTTTTCTCAGTGAGGATAAATTAATAAAACTCTAGATATGGAGTATTTTTGGACTTCCGTTTGTAGAGGACAGATTTAGTTCAGAAATGGACACAATAACCAAATAACTACTAGGCGAATCACAGCTATTAAGAATTTTTTAAAAGATAGGAGGGTTCAGATAGGAAGTGAGACTAAGGTCTTGAGCTAAGGAACTCAGTTTTATATTGTCTCTTATTCACTCTAATACCATTACCTACAAGGTGCTAAGAACACAATAGTTTCTAGATTGAGCACATACTACAACCTGTAAGAAGAGATGGATGCTGAAAAGACCAGTTATATGAAAACAGCTGAAGACCTGAATTAAGGCTTTCATGATAGCAGTAGAAAGAAGGTGACAGATGGAAGAAACATTCAGAAAACCAAACAATTCAAGTGAGAAATGAAAAGGCTGATTCAAGTATGATTCCGAGGTTGCAGGCTTGAGTAACTGAATATTTTAACCAGAATTGATCCTCTTAATAGAATGAAAAACAAAACAAGATAGAGATTTTGGGGCTACAAAAACAGAAAGTTGAGTTAGGAAAATATTTAGTTTGAGGTTCCTTATTTTTCTTACATATTGTGACATTAATTTGAATTCATCATTTTAATTTTTTTAGTCCTTTTCAAATATCAGTTTTTCCTTCTGATTTCTGAGTTAATATTCCTACGTTCTATTATTATTGATGATGATAAATGTGAGAAACGGGACTGCATTAAAATGATCCTTCCTTGTGTTCCTACTTTATATGACAACATTCTACATGACAGTCGCATTATTTATGTTAATCTTACACATGTATTACACTGTGACTTTGCAGATGAGAAGTTCAGAGTGATTAATAGTGGAACCTAGGTCTTTATGAAATATACCATTTCTAAGGTCAATCATCCTAGTAAATATATCTAAACACTTTTCATAACCAATGAGATGCTGTAAAAACCTAATGGTAGACAGGAAGAGTCTCAATGTTTTAAGGATAAGAATTTGAGGCATGCAGAATACTCCTTCTGGTTAAATATATTTTATCTCCTTTCAAGTACATTTAATATCTTCTCCATTTCTTTCAGCTTTTACGAGCTGTCAAAATGCTGCCCACCTCTGCTGAGGAGGCCACAGGATGAATTGTGCATTCATGTTGTAAACCACTTAGAGCTTTCTGGGTAGAGTAACTGTTACCACTTGAGGGCATCCTGTCATTATGTTCTGTAATAGTCCTGAACTTCTAAATTCACCTCAAAACCATGGCTCTCTGACAGAAGAGACTAAGAAAAAGAGAGAAAAAGATCTTTGCCGGAAATGCTGAGGCAGCAATGAAAATGATAATTTACCATGCTAAATTGGTGTTTCCTGGAGTACTAGGTCAGTGAAGACTGTATTTCAGGAAATGCTAAGTCAACAGAAGAGGATAAGTGACACAGATAGAAGTTGATGGAATCTTCCTGGCAGGGACCAAAATAGGAACTCAGACACACCAAATGTTCTAAAAGTTCAAAAGGTTTTGGCCAATCAAAGGAGGAATCTGCATTCGAAGTTTCCTGAGTAGAGAAGCAAGAAAAACATCATTCTAACAGCATTTCTTAATATAAAGGTGGCAGTGGTTCTACTTTGAACCTATCAGCTATGGGAATGATATTGAAAATGAATGGCACATCAGGTTGGAAAATTTTAATTGATAGTTTAAACCTGGACATTAGGATTTTTCTTTCCTAGGTTTTCAACAGAGATGATCAAACAAATGCTTTAAAATATGTGCAAATATGTCTGAAAATTTATAATTGCTATTATGATTCAATAAATCTTTCTCCAGTGTTGAATACTAAATAAACATTATTCATGATAATTATGATGACATAATTGCCTTTGGTATTCATCTGTGATTTCAGGAAAAAAACTAACAAATAGATACTAGGAAAAGAGAAATATTTTGTCCTGAAGAAGAAATTATGATTAAAATTAGGGTGAAGTATATAAAGCTATACTTGAAAATATTAAACCAGTAGATTTTACTGATCCAACACAATCTATAGTTTTTGGCAGGCTCAAAGTACTTGTTATAATCTGTAAGTTTATAGTTCATCCAAGTTCTCAATTTTTCTAGCAGTCCATTACAGAATTAGAGTGAATAGTAATGATTTGTTGTACCAAATTACCTTTAATTTGTTGGGAGGGTAGTGGATATGAGATGACATATTTATGAATACAGCACAGGTACCAAGCCTATTTCCTGTATTTGAAGGAAATTGAACTTTTTTCTATTACATTGATGTAGGATGCTGCATATAGTGTAAAGCAGAGAGGATATGTTTTCAATGAGGAAGTCCAACTCAGAAGCAGTCTTAAAGCAATTATTTTTATTTATAATATAAAATATAACTCTTAAGTGAGCAGAGTTAATTATACGCACAGAAAAACTGGTTATTCTTAGGAAATTTGGTTCAATACCATTCCTGACAGTTTTTAAATGAAGGGATCATGAGTACTAGGTTTTTGTTTTTTTGGTTGTTGCTTTTTACGTTTGCTTTTTTCTCATGGTTTAATCCTTAGCAACAGTGGCTGCTTTTAGGTTATTAGCAGCCACATCAGGTCAACAAAGGAAAGAGCTATGTCAAGTAGTTATTAGTTTAGGACCTGTGTTCTTTAACACACTGTCATGATTGCTTTAGTATGACAAGATAGCGTCTTTAAAAGATCTAGAAATAAACTTTTCTCATTAAAGGCAAACTATCAATTCTCTCAACCAGAAACATTTGGCAGGGTTTGTCCAAGACCAAGCTGCACAATTCAAGTTTAGTCTTGGATTTCTATTCAAAATGAAGTTGAAGTTCCACACACACAGTCAAAATAATCCCCTGGGTCCAGAAACAGAGTCTATGACAGGTTGGATAAAATAAAAATTCCAAGTTTGGATTTCCCTGATAGCTTCAGGATGACAGAAAGCTCTAGGGGTAGGAGACTAGAAAAAAAGTCCGTTAGGGAGTTAAAGTCATTTATTGCAGCAAAACCACCGAGGGATAAAAAAAGAAAAAAGAAGAAAATAGAATTCTGGTGAGGTCTAGTTTGTAGTCAGTTTCAAACAAATCATGTGTGTATGTGATGTATAGTAAATAACTACCCTAAATTGATTTCCTTATGGGGAAAAAAAGTTGCCATCCAATAGATTTAAAAAGTATTATCAGAAAAAATGCCAGAGGAGATCATTACTATAAAATTTCCAATCATCTTATAAATGCAGGATAAAAAGCAGCTGATAGCAGGGCTAACTTCTTATTCATCTCAGCAACAAGCTGTTCCTGTTCCGTGAAATGGAGTGAAATGAATGCCATGGCCTTTTTAAGCGGCACAGGGGATCTATTTATTGGGAGAAGAGATTTGCTGAATAACCATAAAATGCAGAGATAATTTTAGAAGTCAGCTAACAGCTTTGATGTGGAGACCCTCAGAATCCACCTGTCCATAATATCTATTCCTCCTCCAGCAGGCATCTCATTTATTGGAAATCATTTTTCTCATCATCGTCACCTAAAGTGTCTGTCCATTTCCAAAAAGGAGTTTAAAAGATCAACATTGACAATGACAAGTGCAACTCCTGGCATAATAAAGATTAGGGACATGGAAAATTGCCATTCAGTGCCCATTAATTTTATTGGAAAACAGAAGAGAGAATGTGTTTTAGATATTTTTTATTAGCACATGTCTGCTTTGGTTCTCTGTGTGCATGACATGAAAGGAAGGTGTAGTGTGAGATGAAAAGGTACATCCAATGTCTTTGGTGGTCCATGCAGGTTTTCTTTGTTGACTAGAAGGATGAATGGGTTTATTAACAGATATTGTTTTAAGTTGAATCTCAGATTTATTTTGTGTATCAATAGCAAACATTTGCGAATGCAATTTTCTGGTATTTTCCTTTTACTATTACTTATAATAAAAATCAAACTCACTGTAGCATCCTTCTTTGTACCAAACTGATGTGGTTTGGACTTGTGTCCCTGCCCAAATCTCATGTTGAATTGTAATCCCCATTGTTGGAGAGGGACCTGATGGGAGATGACTGGATCATGGAGGTGAACTTCCCCCTTGCTGTTCTCATGATAGTGAGTGAGTTCTCACAAGATCTGGTTGTTTGAAAGTGTGTAGCACCTCCCTCTTTGCTCTCTCTTCCTCCTGCTGTAGCCAAGTAGGATGTGCCTGCTTCCCCTTCCCCTTCTGCCATAATTGTAAATTTCCTGAGGCCCCCAGCCATGCTTCCTGTACAGCCTGCAGAACCATGAGCCAATTAAAGCTCTTTTCTTTATAAATTACCAGGTCTCAAGTAGTTTGTTATACCAACGTGAGAATGGACTAATATACAAATATTTAAAGCAAAAAATAATAAACTTCTGATAAAATATAAATACGGTCTCTCAAAGATATAAAATATGTAGTCGTTCCTATTTTAAGCAAAGTAGCTTATAAAAAAAAGAAAAGTGGCCGGGTGCAGTAGCTCACGCCTGTAATCCCAGCACTTTGGGAGGCCGAGGCGGGCAGATCACGAGGTGATGAGATCGAGACCATCCTGGCTAACGCGGTGAAACCCCGTCTCTACTAAAAATACAAAAAATTAGTCAGGCGTGGTGGCAGGCGCCTGTAGTCCCAGCTACTCGGGACACTGAGGCAGGCGAATGGCGTGAACCCAGGAGGCGGAGCTTGCAGTGAGCTGAGATTGTGCCAGCCTGGAAGACAGAGCGAGACTCCGTCTAGAAAAAAATAAAATAATAATAATAATAAAAAGAAAAGCAATAATAAGAATTCAACCAAAAGGGATAAAGTCAGTCTGAACCTACCCACCTCCCTTCTCCCCGCACCAGTTTGCATGCACCCTCTTATGTATATTGTATGGTTAAAATATGTAACTGAATTTTTAAGGGAGGTTAGAAGATAGATGCATTTTAGGCTTGAAGACATTGCTTTGAAATCAAGGAGTGAGGGAAACACAGAACAGATATTGTGATTCAGAACACGATAGTAACATAGTAAGGGAAAGGATATTCCCTTGAACATGTACGACATTCAGTAAAGTCAATGATCAGCCACTGAAGAGTGAAATACTGATGTTTAAGATTGTGTAGGTGTAAATTTGTAGAGATCTACACATAAGAAGGTATGCTGTTACTTCAGCTCTGACTTAAATGGTGAACCTCTATTTCCAGTAGCATGATGGTCTATGTATCCTGAATGACCATCCAATCAAAACCAATAAAGTGTTTGAAAATAAAATATTTCTTAAATCTTATTTATTGGAATACTGAGGAGACACGGTAGAAAAAAAAAATCAGTGTCCCAAAGTTAAACAAAAGCAGAAACACTAGAGAGAATAAATAACCTCCAAAGTCAGCTGAGGATTCCAATAGGAAACTTCAGCATAAAACCAGAAGCTCCAAAGTGCTATCTTTGGGTCTTTCAAACCTCCAGAAATGGAGCTTTTACACATTACATAAACATAGTTGCCTCCTCATGTGAGAAACACCACTGTCCAACACACACAATTTCACATAGACTTCAGGAGCAGTGCAGTTTTCTGATACTTTTTGTACCCAGAAAAATAAAGTTTTGTTTTTAAACTGCTTTAGAATTTATAAGATATTTTGGCATATGTATCTTCATTTTACCTCAAAACCTCCTTATGATGTTAGAATCTTTTATTAATCTGGTTAAGAGATTAAGGAACCTGTGGTAAGAACAAAGACTGATGCAGAATTTGGAATTAAATCTGTTTTTTTCTGATTCTGAAGCTTGTATACTGTCCCAATCTCTCCAAATGCAGTCTGTTAATGTGGTAAATTTCATTTTCTAGGTTCACCCTACATCAGTGGAATAGTTCATGCCCTGGGAAAATTTGGCTCCCTGCCTAATAGATTGTTCAAAGTCTTAAAACAAGAAAAGTGAAGTATTTTCTTCATTTTGTTTTTTTCCTGATGATCCAGCCTAGAAATTGAGTACAGAGCAACAGAAAGCAATGACACCCACAAGTCATTCCAAACTTTCTGGGTTATTAAACTTAATGGATCCAAGTCACGCCTATGTAGTTGGCTCAATAAATCAGTACCAGAGGAGTTCCAATTCAAAATAATCTCTACTTGAGCTTACTACTAATTTCTTATTCTTTATCAAATGCATCAGGTCATCTATGAGCCTGAAGAGTATTTTCAATTAACTATCCTAAAATCTATTTTTATAATTTTTAACTTTATAAATAATCTAATGATGTAAATCAGTAAACATGAAGATATATTAAAAAACTGAAACTAAAACTAAAAACCAGAGGAAACCCAATAATAAAAAATTTGCAGAAAGTTTCTGGCAAATAAAATCTTACACCAAAAGAAACAATAAAATTTAATTTTACATTGAAAGAAATACTTTCAATGATGATGGTAATTATATTGATGAAAACATCTGTGTCTCATATATATCATGTATATATTTATATGTGTATCATATGTATGTGTGTATATGAACATGCATATATATGTGTGTATGTGTACATATATATATATTTTTTACATTTATAATATTAGCCCTTATATGACTTGAGGGAATTATATTAAAATGTTATTTTCCTTTGGTATTTAAGACATTTCAGGAAGGGAAGATTTCAGAGACTGGATTATTACAAGGACAACACTATAACACTCAGAGACTAATAGTGCAATGGAGGACTAGCTTCCACTCTCTGAAGGGATTTGACAGGCATCTCAGTAATCCAGTAGATGACAGTTTCATATCCTAGACCCTAGAGGTCGAGTAAGTGGAAAGAATTTTGAGTACATATTCGGGTGGGTAAATTCCCTCTTGTTCTCTATCTCTGTATCTTTCTTTCCTTTTAATTTTTATCATTAAAGAAAAAGACTGAATTACAATTTTGGCCTGGCCCCTGATAGAGAATGGCTGCATTTGTGAACCTTGCCTCTACCTGAAGTAGAAAAACTTTTTCTAGTTATTCCTTCAAGGTCTGCCATCTCCTTGAGGCTTCTCATAAAATGATAATTGTAACAATACTACTAAATTGCATACTTATCATGTTTCATACGTTTATAAAATTTTTCCCAAACATTTTCTCATTTGATTATCACAATAGCTCTTCGATGCCAGAGAGGACAGGTGATTCCATCTCCATTTTGTTACTGGTTATACCAAAGTCTAGCCTGGAGACGGTTACTACCTAATGTATTCAGCCCTACAATGATTGCTCTCTGCTTTTGAATTCTTACTGCACATGTAGCCTGTACCATTTTCTAAACCTAGATCGTTGGTGGGTATGTCAAGATCTTTCTGGTGGGTAATAATATAATAATAACTCACATATCATTCTCAGAATATGTCAAGTACTGTTTAAGAACTTTACATGTATTAATTCATTTAATCCACATCATAATCCTAAGAAGTTAGCAATATTATTATCTAAATTTTACCAGGAGGAAACTTCAACAAAGAGCTTAAGTGACTTTCTCAACCCACGTCTCTAGTAGGTGGTGGAGGCTGAATACAGAGAAAGTCAGTTGGCTTCCAACACCTGTGCTCTGGTAGACTAGCTTTTGATTGTATAGTTTTAATGTAAATGTCATTGTTCTTACTATTTTAAGTTATAACTAACATACTTCAGGTTTAATAAAAGCAACAAGATAGCTTCTAGTTATCCAATAGAATAATTGTGGAATCTGTTTGAAAGCTACAAGTCTCTAGTCATGGAAGTGTTTTCAGTGGCCTCTGCTGCCCTCAGCCCCATAACTTTTTTATGTACTTGTGTAATAGAATACACTGAAAATGGGAGTGAGGCTCCCACAATAGCCAAGTTCCTTTGGCCAACTATGACTTTACTATTATTGTATTACAATAGCAGGCTGCCTATGACATGAGACAGAAATTGACCGTATTTATAGTTAGTTATCCCATATTTCACAAATCAGTGCCTCAGGGGGTGTGGTGGTGGTTATTTTGTTTATTTGACAATTTTGTTTAATTTTCTATTGCACCTTTAGCTCACATCTCCAAGAACATTTCAACTATAAAATGCTTTCACTGTGAAACTAAAAGTGTTCTAACTTTTCCTGAAGGAACCTCTGTGGCTCCCCAATTGTGAACTTGGCTAGGAGCAAGGTGGTTCACGTATCTCTTCATTGGAAGACTACAAAGGTGGGAAGGTTCACCATAACCACAATTATAGTAGCCCTCTTTGATGTCAAAGTCCACCAGGGTGGTCATCCCTCCTACTAATATTTGTGAGATTAGCTCTCCAGTGTGGTGGGCTCTGACTGTTGGACATTTTTTCTTCCTCTACTATTAACACTTCCAATAGCCAACATGTTGGAAATTATTTAGAGAGTATCTTCACAATTTCAGGTGATTGGTCAGCCAACATATATCCATCAAGTGCTCTTGAGATCCAAATCAGGGAAGCTTGCAAACTTTGATTTAAAACACTACAAGAGGCAATGCAAGAGAGCACATTTCAATGCTCTGGCTTATTCCACTGCACATGTCTGCTCACTTAGCTATTTTCTATGAGAATGGCAAAAATATTGCATGGTGGTGAAAAACAGACTCTGGGAGTAGCCTGCCTGGATTTGCCTGATTCTTCTGCCTGTCAAGATTGCATAGGGAAAGGAAGCATCTTTTCTTCCCATGTTTGGTTCAGGGCTGAAGCCCCCATAATGAAAGACAGATTAAGAAGAGAAAAGCACACAAATGTGTTCAATGTTTTATATGACATTGGAGACTTTATAAGGAAATGAAGTCCCAAAATCCAGGTAAACCTGTGTGTTTTATGCTAGGTTGAATTAAGAAGTGGGTAGTCATGGAGAAACATAATTAGACAAAGAGGATATGATTTAATGGTGATTGATGTAAAGGGGGGTATGATTGAATGGCAGGTTGGGTGCATAGCAAGGCCTATTCATTTAGATTTTTTTTTCTCTGTCCTCTGTCTTCAGAGGTAAAGATCTTTCTTTCTTCTGGGTACAGGGAGGGTACCTCTTGAATGAGGGTCTTATAATCTATTTCAGAAAAAGCTCAGAGAATTATTCTAGGTTGTATGACCTACTTCAGGAAGATGGGTGGGTGGAAGATAAGAGTTATCCTCCAGATTTTGCTGTTTTCTCAAATGCCAAGATGTCATATTTTGGGGTAGCATGCCCTAAACCCCATCAACTGCATTTTCAAATATTTAGAATAGTGCCTGGAACATAGCATCCCATGCCAGGGTTCCTGGTGTTATTATTACCTGCAAAGATGCTATCTTTCAGATGAGTCATTCTCAAAGTATTTTCTACCTAAGAATGCTAAGAATGATATGCAGAGACTTTGAAAACTTAAGATTATTAACTCTACCCCAGGTCTACTCAATATATGTTTGGCAAACTATAGTGTAGAAATTTCTATTTTTAACAAATTAAAATACTCATGCAGGTAGTTCTGATACAATAGCTTAAAGACAAACATTTGAGCAAAATTGATGATTACCTTTTCAATATATATAGTGTTAGCTTTTAAAGATCTATTACTAAATCTTTATATTTGTAAGACATTCACTAAAATCATATAAAAGGTTCATCCACAACTATTTACAAAATACCTAATCTGAATATATGTGCTTTGTTTTCTTGTTAAAATAGACAGGGCGCCTGTAATCCCAGCACTTTGGGAGGCCGAGATGGGTGGATCACGAGGTCAGGAGATCGAGACCATCCTGGCTAACATGGTGAAACCCCATCTCTACTAAAAATACAAAAAAAATTAGCTTGGTGTGGTGGCATGCGACTGTAGTACCAGCTACTCAGGAGGCTGAGGCAAGAGAATTGGTTGAACCTGGGAGGCAGAGGTTGCAGTGAGCTGAGATCATGGCACTGCACTCCAGCCTGGGCAACAAAGCGAGACTCCGTCTCAAAAAAAAAAAAAAAATGGCAGTTTTTCACATTTCGCTCACAACAAAGTGGAGGATATTTAATACTTTCCCAAATTGTCCTTTTACCCATCCCTTAGGACTCTCAGGAGCACATGTCACATGTAGACAACTGAAAGAAGGAAATAATTAAGCAAGTTGTAAGCTTCAGCAGTATAATAGAAAGACAATTAGTAAGAGACTAGACTACTCTTTTGGAAACCTAATATATAAAAATGGAGGGTGGGGGTTTCCTTTAGCCTCCCCCAGTGTGACTATTGGAGTTGGGATACCGTTGGAAACCCCTGCTCAGGGAAGGAGTAAAGACTCCATGATGCTACATAGAAGTGATGAGATCTTAGAACAATGGAAAAGCAATGCCAACTAGCAACAAAGACCCAAGGCCACGCCAAATGGCATTGAATCAGCACAGCAGCAAAATTAAGAGAAAAGAACAGCTTAAAATGTAAGCCATTACTAGAGAGAAGGTGTCAACAATTAAGAAACATTTTGAGTCCAATTAAGGAAGATTTTGAGCCAAGCTAGTTCAAGAGAGTTATGCTGGGCTCTCTCTGTTCTGCATATAGAGATGTAGACTACCCTTACATCATCACATAAGGAGGGCTAGACTCCCTCAAGATGAAGAATAGAGTCTCAGTTTAACCCTACTCTGTGAAGTGGAAACAAACAAACCAATGGTAATTACATCATCAGGTCGTTGTTGAAGGTTTACAGGGATCACATGGAAAAACACATAGAAAAATCCTTTGCCTGTGATAATGTTACATAATTACCAGGGTAAATATTGCACATATAATAGTTCATTTTGAGATTACTTTATACTAGCAGTTCTCAAATTTATGGCCTGGAGACGCCTGGAGGTCCCAGAAAACATTTAAAGCTTTAGAAAGCTCAAAAATATCTTTGACAAATGTTTATTTTTGGTTAAAACAAACAAATACATAACATAATAAATAAGCATATGTGGCACACACATACAGTGGAATATTATTAAATCTTAAAAAGGAGGGAAATCTCACATACTACAACATGGATGAACTTCTAGGATATTATGCTAAGTAAAATAAGCCAGTCACAAAAAGACAAATATTGTATGATACCACTTATATGCGTTAACTAGATACAGAAAGTAGAATGATGGTCAAAACTATTTTAAAACAATATTCCATTAGTCTGCTCACAGTGCCATAGTAAAATACTGTACGGTAGGAAAATAATTTATTTCTCAATCCTCATAAATTTTAGTTAGATTGAATTCCTATAACAAAAGACAAATTTACAAGAAAAAAACCCAGAATTTTATTCACATGCATATTTTCCTATATACATGAGAGGTACCCATGGAATAAGTAGTTCTTAAAGAGGTAGCTTTGATTTCTAGCTTTAGCATTTTCAGAAAGAAAGGTTTATTTTTGGAACAGTGACAAGAAATTTGGGGTAAGCAAATTAAGGGAAGGCAAACAAATGGCAGATTCAGTTGAGTAAATAATGTTGATTCCTCTGGTGTATCTGTAGGGCAGTAAGGGTTTAAATTGTCTTCAGTGCTTTACTTTTGTTCTCTCTGGTGAAAGGAACAGTGGGATACCTTCTGTGTCTGTAACTGTATGTACTGCTTTTAGGCAAATAGAAAGCAGAGAGCTTTGCTGCATCTGCTTCATAACTGCTTTCAGCTCAATGATCCTTATGCCAAAACAGGCATGTTTTGGAGTGGTATGTTCTGGTCTCCCATAATACGATTCACTGGTTGGCTTAAGCAACAGGAATTTACTTATCTCAGGACTTTTTTGTTTGTTTTTTGTTTTGTTTTTGTTGGGGGGGTGGACAGAGTCTTGCTGTTGTCACCCAGGCTGGAGTACAGTGGTGCAATCTTGGCTCACTGCAACCTCCATCTCCTGGGTTCAAGCTATTCTCCTGCCTCAGCCTCTTGAGTAGATGGGATTACAGGTGCCCACCACCACACCTGGCTAATGTTTGTATTTTTAGTAGACATGGGGTTTCGCCATGTTGGTCAGCCTGGTCTCGAACTCTTGACCTCGAACTCCTGACCTTAGCTGATCCACTCGCCTTGGCCTCCCAAAGTGCTGGGATTACAGGTGTGAGCCACCACACCGGGCCTTCTCTCAGTTCTGAAGGCTAGAAGTCTAGAAGTCTGAGATCAGGATGACAACCTATTTGGTTCTTGGTGAAGGCTGTCTTCATGGCTTGCACATGGCCACCAGATTCTTGCAGACGAGCAGATTCTTGCTATGTTCCATGGCTTTTCCTTGGTGTGAGCAGGGAAGGGAGGGGGTTGGAGCTCTGCTCTTTCTTCTTAAAAAGCCACTAATCATGTCATGGGCCACCCTCCGCTCCATCATAAAGGCAAACATTAAAGTGATTTACAAAAAACTAAAACAATGTTTTCCTTTTTCTAATGTTCCTTCTTATTTTATAAATTATATTTTCATAAAACACTATTTATATCAACAGGTATTTGGTTCATTATGTTTAACATAAATATATATATAATATATATATATATAATATATATATTATATATATATAATATATATATATTTTATATATATATATATACTTTTTTTATTTTTTTTGAGACGGAGTCTTGCTCTGTCACCAGGCTAGAGTGCAGTGGTGATATCGCCACTCACTGCAAGCTCCACCTCCCAGGTTCATGCCATTCCCCTGCCTCAGCCTCCTGAGTTGCTGGGACTACAGGCACCCGCCACCACACCTGGCTAATTTTTTGTATTTTTAGTAGAGACGGGTTTTCACCGTGTTAGCCAGGATGGTCTCGATCTCCTGACCTCGTGATCCGCCTGCCTCGGCCTCCCAAAGTGCTGGGATTACAGGCATGAGCCACTGCGCCTGGCCAATATATATTTTAAATACATTCTCAGTTTTAATTTCTAATGTAGGAAATATTGATAAATGCAATCAGGTAAGCACATGTTCTTCAGGTCTATAATAATATGTAAGAGTGTAAAGGGATCCCAAGGCCAAAACTTTTAAGAACTATGCCTTATATCAAATGTTTAGCAATCCTCCTATAACTTTTTGGTATAATCTTCAATACACTGCATTTTTATTGATTATTTTATGTCAGAAAGGTATGGCTTGTTATAGTGGAAATTATAACAGTAGAGTTTTATGTAAAGTGAGCACTAGACTGAATGGGCCTCAGGAGACAAAGGTATTAATCATAGATATGCTGCAGACTAAAGTTGCCAGGTTTAATTCAGTTAAATTTGAATTTTAGATAAAGATCGAATAATATTTCAGTGTTAAATATGTCTCATATGCTATTTGGGACATACCTATTCTAAAAATAAATTCATTGTTTTTTAAAAATTCAAATGTAATAAACATCCTGTATTTCATCTGGCAACTCTTTCTCAGATTACTCTGACTTTAAGCTACTTTACATCTACATTTTTTTTTCTTATCAGTAAAATAATGAATATGAATTTCCCCAGCTGACACCCTAGTCACTCTATGAATCAAATGTCAATATACCTAACCTTGGGCTAAATGTCAGGGAAAATGAGAAAGATTAAGTTATTAGAGCCTTCGAAGAGAAATATGTGCTTGGTACAATTGATGTGAACAAGGAGAGCTTTGAGGAAACTTCTCAAGGGCAAAATTGGATCATTTTGGTTAGAATCATCCTTCATTCCCAGGGCTGTGTCAGGCAGTCCACCTAGAGAATAAAAGATAATGCCTGGATCACAGCTATTATTTCTCTTGAGTTTGATGGCCTGGGGCATGCTATTTAAGATGATATAGATTGGGTGACCATATGACCTAGTTTGCCCTGACAAGTTCCAGTTTAGATCTCTTGTCCTAGTATCCTTCCCAGTTTAGTACTTTTTCCTCTAATAGGGACTGAAAATGACAAAAAGCCATACCCATCATGAATCATGAGAGAGTCTTAAGGAAAGACAACCTTACTGAGGTCTGGCAAAAAGGAAATACATGGCCAACACTGTATCCCTCAACTTCCTGTATTAATCCCTACCTCCAGGAAAAGGCATAAGAAAGGATTATATTTGAACACTCCCTAACTATTCATATTTTAATAAAAAATAAAAACATCAAATAATGTATAATCTGGTAGAGGAAGACAGGAATTTCTCAGAAGAAGAAATGAAAGCAAAGGCTGTCAAGGAAACCTCTCCCTATGGAGAGGTTAGGGAATTGGTTATCTAGTTTACAGTTCCAGAAATTTTAGATAGATTAATAATCCAAACATATTTCTCCTTTAGAAAAATATGCCCTAAATTCTGTATCACTTTCATATAGCCTACCAAATATGATAATGTAATTTCTGATGATTCTTATATAAACCCAAAGTATTATGTTTAAAAGTAGATTTAAGTGTGTAATTAGATTAGATTGTCTATAAATTTTATGTAATGATAGTAAAAGTGATGCTATAAATATTTTTTACAAAGTGAAGTATTAGAAATATAGGGCTGACAGCCACTTTACTCATAGTCAAAGAGAAGGTAAAATCAAATACCCTACACAGAGAAGCACTTACTGTGTGTCAGATACTATTCCAACTCTTCTACTGTGTTAACTCATTTAGTCCTTATAAAAAAACTAGAGATAAATGCTATAGTTATTCTCATTTAAAAGTAATGACACTGAGGCCTCAAGAGTTTAAGTGACTTTATC